>NC_000015.10:41155661-41458692 GCF_000001405.40 Homo sapiens | reverse complement strand
ACTGCAACCTCCATCTCCTGGGTTGAAGCAATTCTCCTGCCTCGGCCTCCTGAGTAGCTGGGACTACGGGTGCACAACACCACACCAGGCTAATTTTTTTGTATTTTTAGTAGAGATGGGTTTTCACCATGTTGGCCAGGCTGGTCTAGAACTCCTGATCTCTGGTGATCCGTCCACCTCGGCCTCCCAAAGTATGTAATTCCCTTTAGAATGCTGCCTGTAGTGCGGTGTTACAGAATAGGTAAAATGACAGGAAATGTGACGCAGGAGAGGATATGGCCACAGCGTGTTTTATGGTGTCAGATGGTCCCAGGTTTGAAATCCAGTTCTACCACTTACCAGCTAAATCACCTTGGGCAAGTTTCTTCATTCATTCACTCAACTAGTATTTAGTGCATATCTCTGTGCCAGGTACTGTTCTAGGCACTAAGAATAGAGTGGCGAAAAGGACAAAGTCTCTCCCTTCATGCAGCTTACTCTTTAGTTACCTAATGTCTCTAAGCCTAAGCGTCTACCTCTGTAATATGGTATAACCAACTTCACAGAGCAGTTGTGAAGATTAAATAGTGCACATAAATAATGTCTTATGAATAAAACCTTCTGAATAACGTACATTAGTAAACAAAGCCAGTGGCACTGAGTAAATAATGAATGTGATTGAAATTTAATACATCACTTGCGTCTCATCATGTTAACAGTCAATTCCAAATGCCAGTCTCCATGTGTAGGTCAGGTGTGAAGGACAGGGAAGTATGAGAAAAGAGATGAACAGAAAAGGTGGGGGCGGGGGGGGGACAACGACGAGGACAACCTTACCTTCTTTTCAACACCTCCCTCTTCTCTATGCGATTGAACAGTTCTTGCTCTCTCTCTTTCTCTGTCATCTGTTCCAGACGGGCCCTGTCTTCCTCATCTCCCATGAGGTCTTCTCCATAGCCATCATGGAACTCTTCATCTTCTGAGGAAGAGTCTGAATCTGAACTGGAAGAGGAGCTGTTGCTGTCAGAGTCTGACACTTCACCTGCAACAAAGGCCCAAACACAAGATTACACTATGCTACAGAAGACAGGCCACAAGCGGCTCCACAATGTTGACAACATCACCCTTCTTTCAGCTACAGTAAGAAACCAGTTTGTTATTTTACTTATTTGTTTTTACTTTTTTTTTGAGATGGAGTTTTGCTCTTATTGCCTAGGCTGGAGTGCAGTGGCACAATCTCAGCTCCTCCACCTCCCGGGTTCAAGCGATTCTCCTGCCTCAGCCTCCCAAGTAGCAGGGATTACAGATGTGTGCCACCACACCCAGCTAATTTTGTATTTTTATTGGAGACGGGGTTTCACCATATTGTTCAGGCTGGTCTCGAACTCCTGACCTCAGGTGATCTGCCCACCTCGGCCTCCCAGTGCTGGGATTACAGGCGTGAGCCACTGCGCCTATTTATTTTTACTTTTTAAATAGAATTGGGGTCTCGCTTTGTTGCCAAGGCTGGTCTCGAACTCTTGGGCTCAAGCAATCCTCCTGACTTGGCCTCCCAAAGTGCTGGGATTACAGGCTTACGCCTGTGTAAGCCACCACACCTGGCCCCATCTTATTTATTATTATTATTATTGAGACGGAGTCTCACTCTGCCCCAGGCTGGAGTGCAGTGGTGTGATCTCAGCTCATTGCAACTTCCACCTCCCTGGTTCACAAGCGATTCTCCTGCCTCAGCCTCCTGCGTAGCTGGGACTACAGGTGCACGCCACCACGTCCAGCTGATTTTTGTATTTTTAGTAGAGATGGGGTTTCACCGTGTTGGCCAGGATGGTCTCGATCTCTCAACCTCGTGATCCGCCCACCTTGGCCTCTCAAAGTGCTGGGATTACAGGTGTGAGCCACCATGCTCGGCCTATTTATTTTGTTTGAGATGGAGTTTTTGCTTGTCACCCAGGCTGGAGTGCAGCAGCGCGATCTCGGCTCACTGCCATCTCCACCTCCCCGGTTCAAACAGTTCTCCTGCCTCAGACTCCCGAGTAGCTCAGGCGCTCACCACTACACTCAGCTAATTTTTATATTTTCAGCAGAGATGGGGTTTCACCATGTTGGCCAGGTTGGTCTTGAACTCCTGACCTCAAGTGATCCGCTCGCCTTGGCCTCCCAAAGTGCTGGAATTACAGGCGTGAGCCACTGCGCCTGGCCCCCAGCAGTTCTTTTTTTTTTTTTTTGAGACAGAGTCTCTCTCTGTCGCCCAGGCTGGAGTGCAGTGGCACGATCTCGACTCAGCGCAAGCTCCGCCTCTCGGGTTCATGCCATTCTCCTGCCTCAGCCTCCTGAGTAGCTGGGATTATAGATGCCCACCACCACGCCTGGCTAATTTTTTTGTATTTTTTTAATAGAGATGGGGTTTCACCATGTTAGCCAGGATGGTCTCAATCTCCTGACCTCATGATCCGCCGACCTCAGCCTCCCAAAGTGCTGGGATTACTGGCATGAGCCACTGCGCCCAGCCTTTTTTTTTTTTTTGAGATGGAGTTTCACTTTTGTTGCCTAGGCTGATCTCAGTTACTGCAACCTCTACCTCTCGGGTTCAAGCAATTCTCCTGCCTCAGCCTCCCAAGTAACAGGGACTACAGGCACATGCCACCACGCCCGGCTAATTTTTCTATTTTTAGTAAAGATGAAAATATGTTGGTCCAGCTGGTCTCGAACTCCTGACCTCAGGTGATCCCCGTCTTGGCCTCCCAAAGTGCTGGGATTACAGGTGTGAGCCGCCGCACCTGGCCTGATTACATGGATAAGTTCTTTAGTGGTGATTTCTGAGATTTTGGTGTATCTATCACCCAAGCAGTGTACACTGTACCCAATATGTACTCTTTTAACCCTCACTCCCTCCCCAAGTCCCCAATGTCCATTATATCATTCTTTTTTTTTTTTTTGGAGACAGAGTCTCACTCTATTGCCTGATCTCGGCTCACTGCAACCTCCTCTTTAAGCGATTCTTGGGGCTCAGCCTCCTGAGTAGCTGGGACCACAGGAGCGCACCACCATGCTTGGCTAATTTTTGTATTTTTAGCAGAGACAGGGTCTCACTGTGTTGGCCAGGCTGGTCTCAAACTCCTGACCTCAAGTGATCCACCTGCCTTGGCCTCCCACAGTGCTGGGACTACAGGCGTGAGCCACTACACCTGGCCCCATTATATCATTCTATGCCTTTGCATCCTGATGGCTTAAACACCACTTATACATGAGAACATACTATATTTGGTTTTCCGTTCCTTAGTTACTTCACTTAGAAAAATGGCCTCCAGCTCCACTGAAGTTGCTGCAAAGGCCATTATTTCATTCCGTTTTGTGGCTAATATCCCATGGCATACATACACATTTTCTTTTTTTTTTTTTTGGAGACAGAGTCTCACTCTGTCACCAGGCTGGAGTACAGTGGGGTGATCTCGGCTCACTGCAACCTCCAACTCCCTGGTTCAAGCGATTCTCCTGCCTCAGCCTCCAGAGTATTAGGGATTACAGGTAGGCACCACCATGCTGAGCTAATTTTTGTATTTTTAGTAGAGACGGGGTTTCACCATGTTGGCCAGGATGGTCTCAAACTCCTGACCTTGTGATCCGCCTGCCTTGGCCTCCCAAAGTGCTGGGATTACAGGTGTGAGCCACCATGCCCGGCTGGCATACATACACATTTTCTTTATCCACTTGTTGGTGCACTGAATTTTTGAAGAGTATAAGCCCCAAAAAATTGTCTAGTAGAATTCTGTGAGGTGGTGATGAAAATTTTGTCTATCTGAACAGCAGCCACCACATATGGGTATTCACAAACTCAAATGTGGCTAGTGCAACTGAAAAACTAAATTTTAAACATGACTTTTTAGTTAATTTAAGTTGAAATAGCAACAGTTATCAAATGTCCACTTCATTTGGTTTGGTTGATTTGTTAAGAAACAATTCAGGTTATGAATTTTTGGCAAGAATACTCCATAAGTGATTGTGTCCTTTTCAATGTATCACATCAGGAAGCCCTAACATCTGTTTGTCCCATTATTTTAATTTGGATTACTTGGTAAAGGTGGTGTCTCCCAGATTTTCCCTTTGTAAAGGCACCTTTTCCTCTTTGTGTAATAGTATGTATAGGCAGAAGGTTTAAGACTATATAATTTTGTTTTCCAACAAACTCTCACCCAGTGGTTTTAACAATCATTGAGGATTCTTGAGTAAATCAACTTTATCACTATGATTGAAAAGTGGTGATTCTTCTAACCCTATAATTTCTTTTTTATTTATTAGCTGGCATTAAAAAAAAAATTTTTTTATGGCCGGGTGTGGCGGCTCACACCTGTAATCCCAGCACTCTGGGAGGACAAGGCAGGTGGATCACCTGAGGTCAGGAGTTCAAGACCAGCCTGGCCAACATGGTGAAACCCCATCTCTACTAAAAATATAAAAAATTAGCTAAGTGTGCTGGTGAGCATCTGTAATCCCAGCTGCTTGAGGCAGAATAATCTCTTGAACCCCGGGACACAGAGGTTGCAGTGAGCCAAGAACGCGCCATTGCACTCCAGCCTGGGCAACAAGAGCGAAACTCTGTCTCGATAATAAATTAAAAAAATAAAAAATAAAAAAACACATTTTAATGAACAATTAAAAATTGATTAGTGAATTTATCATAATAGTAGATCTTAACAGGACAAATGTTGGCATGGAAAAAGTATGTGAGTACAATGAGTATTGAACTAAGTCAGCAATTTAACAGGAACTGCCCTTGACTCAATTTGAGCTAACATTCATAGGCATGTGCTCAAAACCGGGTTAGGCCAATTTTATAAAGTCAGCTTTTATGTAAACATTATTTTTAAAAATGTTTTTAAAATTTTTATAATTTACAGGTTATCATTCTAGTCCTGGAACAAGTTCACTTCTATTTTCTCTTCCAGTGTCCCTGCATTTTTCTTTTTTTTTTTTCCTACTTTTTTTTGTTGTTGTTGAGAAAGGGTCTTGCTCTGTCACTGGAGTGCAGTGGTGTGATCATAGCTCACAGTAACCTCGAAGTCCTGGGCTCAAGCAAGCCTCTCGCCTCAGCCTCCTAAGTAGTTGGGACCTCAGGTGCATACCATAACACCCAGCTAATTTTTAAATTTTTTTGTAGAGATGGGATCTCACTATGTTACCCAGGCTAGTCCTGAACTCCTGGGCTCAAGCGATCCTCCCACCTTGGCCTCCCAAAGTGTTGAGATTACAAATATGAGCCATTGCACCTGGCCCAAGTTCACTTTTCAAACTAGTGTTGAAAAATTCTGGAATTGGCTTCCAGAAAAGGAACATTTTCTACTGAGATTCCCTCCTCAGTCAGACTATGCATAAGCAAGAAAAAAAGGGGAGGGAAAGGCACTCAGGGTATTCAAGACTAATGCAGGAATCCTCGTGGGTTCCAGGGATAGGTTTCAGGGGTCTCACCAACCTTTGGAATTGCATGCATTTTTCTTGCTTCATTCAGATTCTCAAAGCATCCATGACCATGGAAAAAGTTAAGAACCACTGCTCTAAAGAAGAGGTCATGCTGAATGCAAGTACCCCCCTTCCTCCCCACTTCTGCCTTTGCACCTTCAAGCTGACAAGAGTGGGAGTTGACCTTCCAGGTCTAGGCTGCTCAGCTCACCTTCCTCAGGGGCTGAGCTCTCAGCTGAACTGTCTTTGTCTGAACTGCCTGAGGAGGCAGTTTTGTTGGCCTGTTTCTTCATGGTTCCTTTCTTCTCTATTTTTCTGGCTTTTCCTTTCTTCTTATTTTTATTGCTCCCAAATGTCCACTATAAGGAGAAAAGAAAAAGGAAGACTGAAATAGGAATAGGGACTTTATTGGGAAAAGCTGGAAGACTCAAGAGTTAAGAGTCTCTGGCATTCATCTTTGAATCCAAAACAAATACACTTCATATGAAAAAAAATACAGATTTTTGAAAAAAAAAATTTTTTTTTTGAAACAGGGTCTCATTCTATTGTCCAGGCTGGAGTGCAGTGGCACAGTCTTGGTTCACTGCAACCTCTGATTCCCAGGCTCAAGCCATCCTCCCACTTTAGCCTCTGGAGTAGTTGGGACTACAGGTGTGCCCCACCACGCCCAGCTAATTTTTGTATTTTTTGTAGAGACGGGGTTTCACTATGTTGCCCAGGCTGGTCTTGAACTCCTGAGCTCAGACAATCCTCCTGTATCGGCCTCCCAAAGTGCTGGGATTACAGACATGAGCCACTGCACCTGGCATAGATTTTTGTTTTTGAGACAAGGTCTCGCTCTGTCACCCAGGCTAGAGTGCAGTGGTGCGATCTCGGGCTCTTAGCAGCCTTGACCTCCCAGGATCAACTTATCCTCCTGCCTCAGCCTCCCAAGTAGTTGGGACCATAGGCGTGTACCACCACACCCGGCTAAGCTGTGTATTTTTTGTAGAGACAGGGTTTCACCACGTTTCCCAGGCTGGTCTTAAACTCCTGAGCTCAAGCAATTTGCCTGCCTTGGCGTCCCAAAATGCTGGGATTACAGGTGTGAGCCACTGTGCCTGGCCCCAGCCTAGATTTTTGAAAACTTGCTTAAAACTTTAGAACTTCTGGTCTGGAATCTCTTAGAAACAAGAGAAAAGTTGCATAATAAACATATAATTTAATTATTATTTTTTCTTTTTTTTTTCAGACAGGTTCTTGCTATGTTGCCTAGGCTGGCCTTGAACTCCTGGGCTCAAGTGATCCTCTCACCTGAGCCTCCTAAGTAGCTGGAACTACAGGTGCGCAACACAGCACCCAGCTCATGTATGTTTTATTGCCAATAGAAAACAGAAAAGATATCAACTTTATGGCAAGTCAAAAAACACTTCTGATGTTTTATGTGGCAGAGATGGCAGTAATTGTTAATGGCTGATATGTCTGGGTTTCAGTACAGAGAATGGTTTAGTTCTGGGGTGGGTCTCAGGAAGGCAGTGAATGTAGCTTGTGCCCAGGAGAAAACTGCAGAAAGCACAGTGAGAAAGGATGAAGGCCATTCTTTGGCATGAATGGCAGCACTGGCACTAACTCCAAAGAGGCAGAAAGTAAAGTACATCATTAAATATATGTGCATATACTTTTTAAAACATTGGCATATATTACACAATAACATGACACTTAAACTGGATCAGAAACAGGAAATCCCAGAAATCAAGACATAAGGAACCTGTAATTTGCACTGTCAAACAGGCAGGCAATACAGTTAACTACCCCAAGGCCAAAAAACCATCTTCATCAAGCACTTTAATTATAAGTTGAAAGGCCATACAACCACTTTACAAATTTGCAGACTATTTAGTTACATTAAACCATATCTCCTTCGATATTTTAACTTGCCAACTTAAAATGATTTTAGGTGAAAAATACTTTACTCAGAAACTTTATTCTAATTACCATAAAGAATAATCATCTTTTGATTATCACAGACTGAATATTAAGTCTGGTATTAACGTAATATTTCTACATCTAATATCCAACAAAGGCACAAAGTCTTTGTTCCTTCTATAATAGGATGAGAAATTAACCTCCTATTTCACAATAGGTAATAGAAGAAGTAAATTCTTTTGATCTTTTTTTGAGGGGGTGGGGTTGGGTAGAGGTGTAGTTCTGAAGATGTTTCCAACTTAGAAATTTTCCATATGAGCTATTCTTAAGAACAACAGTCAGCTAGTTTACCTTCACAAAACATTGTAAAAGGGTGCTATTTTTAATCTTTTTTTTTGTTTTTGAGCCAGGGTCTCGTTTGTCACCCAGGCTGGAGTGCAGGGCAGCAGGATGATAGCTCACTGCAGCCTTGACCTCCCAGGTTCAAGTGATCCTCCTACCTCAGCCTCCTGAGTAGCTGGGACTACAGGTGTGCACCATCATGCCCAGCTAATTTTTAAATTTTTTTGTAGAGACAGGGTCTTGCTATGTCACTAAGGCTGGTCTCAGACTCCTAGACTCATACAATCCTCCAGCCTTGGCCTCCCAAAGTGCTGGGATTACAGGCACAAGCCACCTTGCACAGCCCTAATGCTTCCCTTTTAAGTCTGAGTTTTCAACCATTTCACATTTTAATCATTTCAAGGAAGATAATTTTTTTTTTTTTTTTTGAGACGGAGTCTCACTCTGTCGTCCAGGCTGGAGTGCAGTGGTGCAATCTTGGCTCACTGCAAGCTCCGCCTCCCCGGTTCACGCCATTGTCCTGCCTCAGCCTCCCGAGTAGCTGGGATTACAGGCATATGCCACCACGCCCGGCTAATTTTGTATTTTTAGCAGAGACGGGGTTTCTCCATGTTGGTCAGGCTGGTCTCGAACTCCCAACCTCAGGCTGGACCTTGGACTCCCGATCTGCCTGCCCTGGCCTCCCAAAGTGCTGGGATTACAGGCATGAGCCACCGCACCTGGCCTAAAACTTCTTATATCTTACAGTACTGAGAAGTTGGAGTGCCGCTACTTGTATATTTACTTTGTGTTTTATTTCATTTTATTTTTTATTTTTGAGACTGGGTCTTGCTCTGTTGACCAGGCTGGAATGCAGTGGCATGATCATAGCTCACTGCAGCCTTGAATTACTGGGCTCAAGAGATTCTCTCATCTCAGCCTCCTGAGCAGCTGAGATTACAGGTGCATGCCACTATACCTGGCTAATTTGTTAACTTTTTGTAGAGAGGAGGTCTCACTATGTTACCAAGGCTAGTCTCAAACTCCTAAGTTCAAGCAATTCTCCTGCCTCAGTCTCCCAAATTCTGGGATTACAAGCATGAACCACTGCGCCCAGCCTGTATTTTATTTTTAATAAAACTTTAAAATATAATTTTAATAATAATAAATGTTCATTATATTAGGCCTTAAAAATATAGAAAAGTTGTTTGCTTTTTGTTTTCTTTTCGTTTTTATGATGAGGTCTCACTATGTTGCCCAGGCTGTACTCAAACTCCTGGGCTCAAGTGATATTCCCGCCTCAACCTCCTGAGTAGCTATTACTAGAGAAACACACCACAGTGCACAACCAGAAAAGTATTTGTAAAGTTGGGGAAAAAAAAAAATCACCAGGCCAAGTGTGGTGGCTCACACCTATAATCCCAGCACTTTGGGAGGCCATAGTGGGAGGATCACTTGAACACAGGAGTTGGAGACCACCCTGTGAAACATAGCAAGACCCCACCTCTATTTAAGGAAATATATTTTTTAATTTAAAAAATCACCTGCTGCCGGCTGGGCAGATCACGAGGTCAGGAGATCGACACCATCCTGGCTAACACGGTGAAACCCCGTCTCTACTAAAAATGCAAAAAAATTAGCCGGGCATGGTGGCGGGCGCCTGTAGTCCCAGCTACTTGGGAGGCTGAGGCAGGACAGTGGTGTGAACCCGGGAGGCGGAGCTTGCAGTGAGCCGAGTTCGTACCACTGCACTCCAGCCTGGGCAACAGAGCGAGACTCTGTCTCAAAAAAAAAAAAAAAAAAAAATTCACCTGCCTCCACAACAGGGACAAAAAAAATAAAATAAAATAGGCTGGGCGCAGTGGCTCACGCCTGAAATCCTAGCACTTTGGGAGGCCGAGGCAGGCTGATTGCTTGAGCTCAGGGTTCAAGACTAGCCTGGGCAACATGGTGAAACCTAGTCTTTACAAAAAATACAAAAATTAGCTGGGCGTGATGGCGAACGCTTATAGTCCCAGCTATTCAGGAGGCTAAGGTAGGAGAATGGCTTGAGCCCACGAGGTCCAGGGTGCAGTGAGCCAAGATCACGACACTGAACTCCAGCCTGGGTGACAGAGTGAGAGCTGATCTCAAATAAATAAATTAATTAATTTAATTTAATATAAAAATTAATTTTAAAAAAATAATCTCTGCTCGCTTCAGCAGCACATATCTAAAATTAGAATACAGAAAAGATTAGCATGGCCCCTGTGCAAAGATGACATGCAAATTCGTGAAATATTCCCTATTTTTTGTTTTGTTTTGTTTTGTTTTTCAAGATGGAGTCTCGCTCTGTCACCCAAGCTGGAGTGCAGTGGCGTGATCTAGGCTCACTGCAACCTCCGCCTCCTGGGTTCAAGGGATTCTCCTGCCTCAGCCTCCCGAGTAGCTGGGAACGTAGTCACCTGCCCCCACACCCAGCTAATTTTTGTATTTTTAGTAGAGACAGGGTTAGTAGAGCCACTATACCCGGGCGAAAATGAGAATTGCTGTGAGTCTGTTCTCTCACCATATTGTTCAGGCTGGTCTCAAACTCCTGACCTCAGGGGGTCTGCCTGCCTCGGCCTCCCAAAATGCTGAGATTACAGGCGTTAATCACCGTTCCCGGCCAACATTTCCCATTTTTTTAAATTTTATTTTTTTAATCACCTGTATAGCCACCACTCAATGATAAATGATCACTTAAAAAATCTGGAAGCCAGTCTCAGTATTATTCTTATTTAATTCAGGGAAAGAGACACAAATAGGTCCCAATAATCTCCCAAAGATTTTTTTTCTCAAGAATAGATCATTTACTCCCATAAACGAGAGATTCCTGAATGCTTTTTTGTCTAAGCACACACTTAAAATATTTGCTCTGTACCTCTTCTCCCAAGAACAGAGTCTAAGCAGAATTGATATGGAAATATCTTAATCCAGCTATTAGTCCAGAGATGGCTCACCCATCCCTGCAAAAATCTTATTCACCTGATTCTGAGACAGAGGGAAAATGAATGATTTCACCAGGATGTAGTAGTAAATGGGATCTAAAGAATAAAGGAAAGAATTAAAGGGATGCTCTTATACTTTCCCCATCCAGAAGGAAGTAGAGAAAATGACCTTGCACTTCTTAATCTGTTTTGAGAAGTATGGTTCTACTGAAAGGTAAGCTCTGTTATAACCTTCAAACTGCCCTCAAATGCACCAAACATAAGCCAAGAATGAGAAAATGAGCACCCACCGGTGTGCATCTGAACCAAGTACAGAGGCCAGAGGATCTCCCAATGACCACTGCTCAAAAACCATCTGGGTAAAGGAAAGGATCCATTGTCAGGACTCTTGTACACACTGACATCCTGCTTTCCTAGGTGTACATGTATGCAACCCCACAGAACACCAGAAAAGTATTTTGTAAATATGCAATGAAGAAAACTTAAAAAGAGACTGGATGGAATATGTTTTCTTCCTAATAACAGAGATCAGCAGTTTGACTCTCACTGATGTAACAGGTATTTTAATGGGCAACAATTACCTAGTGAAACAAGGAAGGTGAGTACTATATTCCCCCATGTCACGCTGAGTGTGTATAGAATGTTATAAGCAGGTCCCCATTCTGTGAAGCAGCTATCCTTCTGGGCACGCAACTGAAAGATGGGAAGAAACACAAGGCGGGGACTGGTTGCTCTGGAATAGGGTGGCATTGAGATGCTGAGTATTTTGAGCATGATGAAGGCAGGAAAGTAAAGAAACTTCAAGATTTCAGAGAGCAAATTATCTCTAATGAGCAAGGAATACCCATATTCCTAGGTCTCAGGACCCAGCATAGAAACCATTCCAACCCAGTGACTCTGAACTGAATTTACAAGTGAAATAAAATACCTTTCAGTAAGTAAGGTTCAAGAATAACAGCTGGGGCTGGGCGTGGTGGCTCATGCCTGTAATCCCAACATTCTGTGAGACTGAGGCAGGTGGATCACTTGAGGTCAGGAGTTCAAGACCAGCCTGGCCAACATGGTGAAACCCTGACTCTACTAAAAATACAAAAATTAGCCAGGCCTGGTGGTGGGCGCCTATAATCCCAGTTACTCAGGAGGCCAAGGGAGGAGAATTGCTTGAACCTGGGAGGTGGAGGTTGCAGTAAGCCAAGATCGTGCCATTGCACCCCAGCCTGGGTGACAGAGGGAGACTCCGTCTCAAAAAAAAAAAAAAAAATAACAGCTGGGCTAGTGACAAACTACACTGGGATTAGGGTCTAAAGAAATGGGATAGAGCCCAAGCCTCTAACCAGAGAGTATCTCCTTATCTGTAAAGTAGGAATAATAACACTGCCTTGACCACCTACCAGGGTAGTGTGAGACTAAAAGGAGAGAGAATAAGACAAGTTTTAGCGCACACTAGAAACCAGGAAGTTCTACATACATGTGAGGTACTATTTTATGAAAATAATTTTTTTTTTTTGAGACGGAGTCTTGCTCTGTTGCCCAGGCAGTGGCACAATCTCGGCTCACTGCAACCTCCACCTCCTGGGTTCAAGCGATTCTCCTGCCTCAGCCTCCTGAGTAGCTGGGACTACAGGCGTGCGCCACCACGCCTGGCTAATTTTTTGTATTTTTAGTAGAAAAGGGGTTTCACTGGGTTAGGATGGTCTCGATCTCCTGACCTCGTGATCCGCCCGCCTCAACCTCCCAAAGTGTTGGGATTACAGGCCTAAGACACCGCACCTGGCCAAAAATGAGAATTTCTGTGAGTCTGTTCTCTCATCTGTGGGGGAAAAAAAGTTCAGATGATCTCTAAGACCCTGTAACATTGTAGGTTTCCATATGAACTGAATGTTATTCTGAGTCAAACTAATCATAAGAAAAGTTCTATAGTCATTATTCTAGATACTGACAATGGCCACAAAAAAGATGTGTTTGAGAGGGCACGGTTCCTGATTTAGGTGTTTTTTTCTGAAAATAAAAAAAGAGTCAGAGGAAGCTGGGTGTGGTGGCTCACACCTGTGCTGGGATCAGCACTCTGGGAGGCCGAGGCAGACAGATCACTTGAGGCCAGGAGTTCGAGACCAGCCTGGCCAACATAGTGAAACCCCGTCTCTACTAAAAATACAAAAAAATTAGCTGGGCGTGGTAGCATGCGCCTGTAATCCCAGCTACTTGGAAGACTGAAGTACAAGAATTGCCTGAACCCAGGAGGCAGAGGTTACAGTGAGCAGAGATTGAGCCACCACACTCCAGCCCTCTTGATAGAGCAAGACTCTGTTTCCAAAAAAAAAAAAAAAAAATGGGGTCAGGAGTTGAAGAGTAAATGCAATTTTTTTTAATCCCAACTGACAGGAGGCAGTAAATGCAATTTAATGTCAGCCTGAAGACATGAAGAATAGCTTAGCTTTCTTAGCTTTCTTTTCCTTTCTACTGTGTAATCAGATAAAGTACAAAAGACACTATTGTATTTCATCATCAAGCAATCACATACATTTAACTGGAAAGCATAGAGAATCCTTGCACTCAATCACAAAAACTTGCAGTCTAGTTATGAAGACAAAAGCACAAACAAAACAGAAGTGATACCAAAAAATGAACAATATAATTAATACTACATTACACTGTTAGGTTGGGAGTGTCGGAATTTCTTGAAAATACATTTGAGCAATTAACTAGTCCATGAAAATCACCTTATTCCTAATTCTTGCAACGAGATCTTAATGGTGTCTAGAAAGATAAGGTGTTACTGTCTATTTGTCTACACAGTTAAGAGCCAATATGTAAAACATAAAGCTCATGAGGCCGGGCGCAGTGGCTCACGCCTGTAATCCCAGCACTTTGGGAGGCTGAGGCGGGTGGATCACGAGGTCAGGAGATCAAGACCATCCTGGCTAACACAGAGAAACCCCGTCTCTACTAAAAATACAAAAAAAAATTAGCTGGGCATTGGTGGTGGGCGCCTGTAGTCCCAGCTACTAGGGAGGCTGAGGCAGGAGAACGGCGTGAATCCGGGAGGTGGAGCTTGGAGTGAGCCAAGATCGTGCCACTGCACTCCAGCCTGGGCGACAGACCGAGACTCCGTCTCAAAAAAATAAATAAATAAATAAAATAAAATAAAAATAAAGCTCATGAGCAATCTAAACAGCTGTCACTAAGTTCAAGTACTAAAGCGCAGTATTCCAGCCTAAACTCTATGGCATTCCCTGGCTTCCTGACCCCACGACAGAAAATATGCAGTAAGTTGGAAGTGTTATAGAAGACATTACCAAGAAAAGAGCACAATGGTCACTTCTTACCAATATAACAGAGGAAAAAGGAAGCTGTATAAAGCAGTACCACACAGCTGGATATTTTGGAAGACATTTTTTCACAGTACAAGAACTGTTATTCGTAATCATGGCTTTAAATCAACAGAAAAACTACTACATATAATATCTAACGGGCCGGCCGCGATGGTCACGCCTGTAATCCTAGCACTTTGGGAGCCCGAGGCAGGCGGATCACCTGAGCTCAGGAGTTCAACACCAGCCTGGGTAACACGGTGAAACCCCATCTCTATTAAAAGTACAAAAAGTTAGCCGGGCGTGGTGGCAGGCGCCTGTAATCCCAGCTACTCGAGAGGCTGAGGCAGGAGAATCTCTTGAGCCCAGGAGGCGGAGGTTGCAGTGAGCTGAGATTGCACCACTGCACTCCAGCCTGGATGACAGAGCAAGACTCTGGCTCAAAAAAAAAAAAATCTAGCAAGTATTTTTCTTTTTTCCTTTGAGACAGAGTCTCAATCTGTTGCCCAGGTTGGAGTGCAGTGGCATGATTACAGCTCACTGCACCCTTGACCTCCTGAGGTTAGGTGATCCTCCCACCTCAGCCTCCTGAGTAGCTGGGGTAACAGATGCACACCACCACACCTGACTAATTTTTGTATTAAAAAAAATTTTTTTTTAATTTTTCTTTTTCTTTGTTTTTTTTTGAGATGGAGTCTCGCTCTGTCGCCCAGGCTGGAGTGCAGTGGTGCAATCTCGGCTCACTGCAAGCTCTGCCCCCCGGGTTCACGCCATTCTCCTGCCTCAGCCTCCAGAGTAGCTGGGACTACAGGCGCCCGCCACCACGCCCGGCTAATTTTTTTGTATTTTTAGTAGAGACAGGGTTTCACCATGTTAGCCAGGATGGTCTCGAGCTCCAGACCTTGTAATCTGCCTGTCTCGGCCTCCCAAAGTGCTGAGATTACAGGCGTGAGCCACTGCACCCGGCCCAATTTTTCTATTATTGCACCTCTAGCTACAATAATTTTTGTATTTTTAGTAGAGATGGGGTTTTGCCATATTGCCCAGGCTGGTCCCGAACTTCCCAGCTTAAGCAATCCTCCCACCTTGGCCTCCCAAATTGCTGGACTATAGGTGTGAGCCACCACACCCTGCTGGCCGTTTTTTTTTTTAACCCCAACTCATGATTGAATGGCTGCTAGCTCCCCTCCTTTTCACCTTGTTATCTTCCCTTCCAATCACTCTTGTTTGAACCTTTGATGATGCTTCTCTGATCAAATGCTTTCAAGGAGAGGAAGTGACAGCATCAAAGTGCCACACCACAGCATTCTGACCTTGACCTTGGCCAATGTAAATCTTACAAACAGCCTTGCTTCTTAGTTTTACATGTGCCTCCAGATATCGAGAATAATTCAATCACTAAAAATAATAGGACAAGTATATACTCTGTCATTAAATGTTGGTGTTTCCCCCCACCAAGCTACATTATATGTGAAACATCTACTTATTTCCTCACTAATATGACATTATACTGAATGTCCAGTGTACCCATTTTTTTCAGGATAGAAAACTTTCAGAGCTTCTCTCCATTTCCCTCTCCCTCATCAATTAGCTAAATATCTTTTTGCTCTAAAATCAGTGCATGTCTCTGATTTTATAAACAAATTACCGATTAACTTTTTAGCTCAGTTGTTCTTGACCAATTTTCTGTCCTAGCAAATCTGAGGGGACAAACGTATTTCTTTCTACCTATATTAATGGCTCACTAATGAAAAGAAACGGTATGAGAGACATATATAAGTTTGAAAAAACTGCAGGGCAGCTTCTGGTACAAGGAGGGCTTCCTCTGATGGAAAATTGCCACTTTATTTAATTTATTTATTTTTATTGAGATGCAGTCTCACTCTGGGGCCCAGCCTGGAATATAGTGGAGCGTTCTCGGCCCACTGCAACCTCTGCCTTCTGGGCTCAAGCGATTTTCATACCTTAGCCTCCCGAGTAGCTAGGACTACAGGTGCCCACTACTACGCCTGGCTAATTTTTGCATTTTTAGTAGAGACAGGGTTTCGCCATTTTGGCCAGTCTGGTCTCGAACTCCTGACCTCAAGTGATCTACCTGCCTTGGCCTCCCAAAGTGCTGGGATTACAGGTGTGAGCCACCATGCCTGGCCCGAGAATTGCCACTTTAACAACCAAATTTCTAAAAGGTTAATCTGCAGGCGTTAAAGACACAAAAGTTGAAGAAACGAGAAGACATAGCAAACTACTTCAGTATGTGTTTTTTCACCCACGAAAGACGTATTAATAATCATTATGATGGTGGCTCACACCTGTGATCCCAGCACTTTGGGAGGATGAGGCCGGCGGATCATGAGGTCAGGATATCAAGATCATCCTGGCTAGCACTGTAAAACCCCGTCTCTATTAAAAATACAAAAAATTAGCCAGGCGTGGTGGTGAGCGCCTGTAGTCCCAGCTGCTCGGGAGGCTGAGGCAGAAGAATGGCGTGAACCCGGGAGGCAGAGCTTACAGCGAGCCAAGATCACGCCACTGCACTCCAGCCTGGGCAACAGAGAGAGACTCCATCTCAAAAAAAAAAAAAAATCATTATGAAAGGGGAAAAAAAGAGCCACTGTCTCAAACTTTATAACCTAAGAATCTCTCAGAAGTCCCCTACCCAATCTAAAATGTCCACAGCAGCAATAAGTTTGAGCTCACAGTAATAACATTGAGTTACACAGTGGCTGGAAGAATTTTTTAATAAAGATTTTAATAGTTATTTTCTGAACTGTCCAAAATAATGAACTATTTGCTCTAACTCAGAGGTGCTCGTGCTAAGCTAGTATCTTGGGCCAAAGAGACATGATGGAAACAGAAAAACAGGCATCTTTCAGAATGACCATGATACAGACGCTGCTGCTCTCGTGAGAGAGGGACTGGAGTAGAGTTACAATAAGCCTGAGGGCCTGGAGTACTAGAATCTGAAGGCAGCAGCAGGAGCTAAGAATCCTGTAGGGGAAAAGTCACTCAAACGCTCATTTCTTGCTGGGCAGGGTGGAGCTTGCTGTCAGCTTTTTCTCCAATACGTGCACAAATCATTGGGTAGTGTTCTAAGATGAGCAGTTTTTTACTTCATTAAGCAGCTGCAAGTAACAAAGGGAACCCTAAACCATGAAGAATTTTATGGATGTGGATCTCCTCTAACACAAGTTGTGGGCTCCTCTAATGCTTTGGCTAAAAAAGGAGGAAGGGAATCTCAGTACTAACTGCAAAAGTTAGGACTCTGACCTAACTTTTAACAACAGACATATGGAGAATGAATGTGTTCCAAGCAGACTTACTGCTTGTATCTTAAGGAATACCAGAGACCACAAACACATTACAGGGTATTCCAGGCATAACACATATTCAAACTTAATACAATACTGAGTGGCAAGGGTGGACCACAGCAGCTGACTTCTGAAACATGAAAAATAAAAGTAGCTATAAGAATAGTGGGAGAGAGGCCAGACATGGTGGCTCACGCCTGTAATCCCAGCACTTTGGGAGGCCGAGGCGGGCGGATCACAAGGTCAGGAGATAGAGACCATCCTGGCTAACATGGTGAAACCCCGTCTCTACTAAAAATACAAAAAATTAGCCAGGAGTGGTGGCAGGCGCCTGTAGTCCCAGCTATTTGGGAGGTTGAGGCAGAAGAATGGAGTGAGCCCAGGAGGCGGAGCTTGCAGTAAGCCGAGATCACGCCACTGCACTCCAGCCTGGGTGACAGAGTGAGACTCCGTCTCAAAAAAAAAAAAAAAAAAAAAGAGGGGACTAGTGGGAGAGAAAATTATTTCAAGGTTTTTCTGTATTGTCTAGGCATTTAAAGAAAGAAAACAGAAAACAAAATGAAAAAGCAAATTATTTCATAGACCCCCCACTGATTTTTTGTTAATTTGAGAGAAATTATAGTTTATCCATTAAAAATAAACAAAAGAATAAACTTTTGGCCAGGCACAGGGCTCACGCCTCTAATCCCAGCACTTTGGGAAGCCGAGGCGGGCAGATCACGAGGTCAGGAGAATGAGACCATCTTGGCTAACGTGGTGAAACCCCGACTCTACCAAAAATACAAAAAATTAGCTGGGTGTGGTGACATGCGCCTGCAGTCCCAGCTACTTGGGAGGTTGAGACAGGAAAATTGCTTGAACCCAGGAGGCAGAGGTTGCAGTGAGCTGAGATCGCACCACTGCACTCCAGCCTGGCAACAGAGCGAGACTCTGTCTCAAAAAAAAAAAAAAAAAAGAGGCCAGGCGCGGTGGCTCACGCCTATAATCCCAGCACTTTGGGAGGCCAAGGGGGCGGGTCACCTGAGGTTAGGAGTTTGAGACCAGCCTGGCCAACATGGTGAAACCCCATCTCTACTAAAAATAAAAAATTAGCCAGGTGTGGTGGCACGCACCTGTAGTCCCAGCTACTCAGGAGGCTGAGGCAGGAGAATCTCTTAAACCCGGAAGGCAGAGGTTGCAGTGAGCCGAGATTGCGCCGCTGCACTGTAGCCTGGGTGACAGAGTGAGACGCAGTCTCAAGAAAAAAAAAAAAAAAAAGAAAGAAATTATCACTACAGTTGATCAGAAGGCAATCACTCCAATATGCACATGCAGGGCACCGGTAAATACTATTCAGCTGCTAATTAAATTTCATTATATTAAATAAACATTTTTTACTTTACTGTTAACAAATATTTTCCTAGGCTGTAGGGTAAGAAATTACACTGAAAGGTGATATCCGGCTTCTCTGCAAGTAATTACTAAGGGGAAGAAAATACTTTAAATCAAATGAAAGGCTGGGTGCAATGGCTCATGCCTGTAATCTCAGCAGTTTGGGAGGCCAAGGCAGGTGGATCATCTGAGGTCGGAAGTTTGAGACCAGCCTGGCGAACGTGGCAAAACCCTGTCTCCACTAAAAATACAAAAATCAGCCGGGCACTGTGGTGCGTGCTTGTAGTTCCAGCTACTTGGGAGGCTGAGGCAGGAGAATCGCTTGAACCCGAGAGGCAGAGGTTGCAGTGAGCCGAGATCGTGCCGTTGCACTCTGGCCTGGGCGATAAGAGTGAGACTCCATCTCAAAAAAATAAAATAAAATAAATAAATCAAATGAGAAACATGTAGAAGTGTTTCAAATATCTTTCCCCTCATCCCTGTCTTCCATTAAGGTTTTGGATCTTTTAGGGCCTGCCATTGTTGGTAGGTAATTTGGGAAAGTGACCTTGGTCTAGACAATGAACAGTTGGATTTTCCTCCTTTGAAGTTAACACCATCACTCGGAGGGATGTTGAATCAATCTTCCCAAAGTTTCTTTTCTCACTAAAGTATTTCCCATTAAACTACAGCATCCTTGATAGAATTTATTTTCTAACTTGAAAGTGAGATTAAAAAGATGACTCAAAAAGAAAAAAGAGAGTCCGGGCGCAGTGGCTCACACCTGTAATCCCAGCACTTTGGGAGGCCAAGGTGGGTGGATCACGAGGTCAGGAGATTGAGACCACCCTGGCTAACACAGTGAAACCCCGTCTCTACTAAAAATAAAAAAAAAAATTAGCCAGGCCTGGTGGCGGGTGCCTGTAGTCCCAGCTAGTCAGTAGGCTGAGGCAGGAGAATGGCGTGAACCTGGAAGGCGGAAGTTGCAGTGAGCCAAGATCACACCACTGCACTCCAGCCTGGTGACAGAGTGAGACTCTGTCTTGAAAAAAAAAAAAAGAAAATAAAAGAAAAAATAGGATTACTGACTGTACCACTTCTGCAATAAGGCTGAAAAAAAAAAAAAAAGCTACAGAATGACTACGCATGTCCTGCAGAGGGACCCACTAGGTAACTAGCAGTACAATGAACATGACATTCAATAGCTTTCATTACACCATTTTCTTTTTTTTTTTGAGACAGAGTCTTGCTTTGTCACCCAGGCTGCAGTGCAGTGGGGCGATCCCGGCTCACTGCAACCTCTGCCTCCTGAGTTCAAGCAATTCTCCTGCCTCAGCCTCCTTAGTAGCTGGGATTACAGGCGTGCACCACCACGCCTGGCTAATTTTTGTATTTTTAGTAGAGACAGGGTTTCACCATGTTGGCCAGGCTGGTCTCGAACTCCTGACCTCAGGTGATCCACCCACCTCAGCCTCCCAAAGTGCTGGGATTACAGGAGAGAGCCACAGCGCCCGGCCTTCCTTACACCATTTTCTTTCCCCAATAAATTCTTGTAGATCTTAGGCTGTAAGTCTCCATTTAAGGAAATGAGGCCAACAGGAGCCACCAAAGCGAGGAGCCTCAACTATCTAATGGTCCCAGAAGCCGAGGCCCTCCACACCCACCTCATCGTCACTGTCAGACGTCTCCGAGTCTGACGAGGCTGCAGGCTGACTCACAGGCGGCTCCTTCTCCTCAGAGTCACTGCGCTTTCGCTTTGCCAGGGACAAGAGCTCCTAATGGGACAAAAATAGGCACATCAGTTTTGTTCAACAGAGAAAGAATATCCAAGAATAATAAAATGCCCACCCTCTCTAGATCTTTTTTATATTTTTGTGTTTTCAACTAAAGGACATTGTCACAGGGACTTCTATCAGCATGAACAGACTGACTGCTAGGATTCCAAGATGCTGAAGAAATGTTTAGAAAATCTGCCCCACCTTTTCAATGGATAATATATGTCTGAAGTTGGACAGGAAATGGAACCAAACTGGAGGCTATCCCCAAACTGTTCCTGATTCTACCCTAAACAACAGAAGCACTGATTCTCTGGGACTGGTAAGAAACATGTTTACAAAGGTAACCTAGTCACTGTTTTATCCGGTTTAGTATTTTAATGGTAAAATTGGCATTTGTGGGGCAGTTTTGAATAAGCTTACAAACTGTAATTTCTGAGGTCATTTTATATTTTGAATACTTAAACCAGAAAAAAAGTGTCCAGTGTTTAATCCAGTCTGTGACAACAAGCAGTAAGTGTGCTGGCCACTACACCAGAATCCTAATTTCACAAGCCCTATTCTCCCAATTCACCACCTCTGCCTTGTCCTGGTCATTTAAGCGAAATGACAGTAAGAAGGAAGTACCAGTAAGTAAGCCATGACTACAACCAAGATTTGCTCTGTCACATGGTTCCCTTCTCACTTGAAGTCTCCTCAACTCAGTCCAGTCACTCAAAAACGCAACAAAAGGTTACTTGCTCTGCTTTCTGCTAATACCAATACCAGTCCACAATTATACTGTACTCACTAGATGCCAGATACTTTTCTTTTTTCTTTTTTTTTGAGACAGAGTCTCGCTGTGTCACCCAGGCTGGAGTACAGTGGTGCGACCTCGGCTTACTACAAGCTCTGCCTCCCGGGTTCACACCATTCTCCTGCCTCAGCCTCCCGAGTAGCTGTCAGGCGCCCACCACCACGCCCGGCTAATTTTTTTTTTTTGTATTTTTAGTAGAGAGGGGGTTTGACCACATTAGCCAGGATGCTCTCGATCTCCTGACCTCGTGATCCGCCCGCCTTGGCATCCCAAAGTGCTGGGATTACAGATGTGAGCCCCCACACCCGGCCCAATGCAAGGTACTTTTCTAAACATCTGATATTTAATCTTCACAACAACTGATATCATTACCATTTAAAGATAATGAAAGAAAAGAGATTTTTTTGTTGTTCTTGGTTTTTATTGTTTGTTTGTTTCAAGATGGAGTCTTGCTCTGTCGCCCAGGCTGGAGTGCAGTGGCGAGATCTCGGCTTACTGCAACCTCCGCCTCCCGGGTTCAAGCGATTCTCCTGAGTCAACCTCCCGAGTAGCTGGGACTACAGGGGTGTGCCACCACACCTGGGTAATTTTTTGTATTTTAGTAGAGACGGGGTTTCACCAAGTTGGCCAGGATGGTCTCGATCTCCTGACCTTGTAATCCGCCCAACTCGACCTCCCAAAGTGCTGGGATTACAGGCGTGAGCCACCATGCCTGGTCTCTTATTGTTTTTGAGACAGAGACTCACTCTGTTGCCCAGTCTAGAGTGCAGTGGCACGATCTCGGCTGACTGCAACCTCCACCTCCCAGATTCAAGCAATGGCCGTGCCTCAGCCTCCCAAGTAGATGGGACTACAGGAGAATGCCACCATGCCTGGCTAATTTTTTTTTTTTTTTTTTTTTGAGACAGAGTCTTGCTCTGTCGCCCAGGCTGGAGTGCAGTGGTGTGATCTCGGCTTACTGCAAGCTCCGCCTCCCGGGTTCATACCATTCTACTGCCTCAACCTCCCAAGTGGCTGGGACTACAGGCACCCACCACCACGCCTGGCAATTTTTTTTTTTTTTTTTTTGAGACGGAGTCTCGCTCTGTCACCCAGGCTAGAGTGCAGTGGCACAATCTTGGCTCACTGCAAGATCGGCCTCCCGGGTTCACACCATTCTCCTGCCTCAGCCTCCTGAGTAGCTGGGACTACCGGTGCCAGCCAAGCCCAGCTAATTTTTTTTTTTTTTTTTTTTTTTAGTAGAGACGGGATTTCACTGTGTTAGCCAGGATGGTCTCAATCTCCTGACCTCGTGATCCGCCTGCTTTGGCCTCCCAGAGTGCTAGGATTACAGGCGTGAGCCACTGCACCCAGCCATGCCTGGCTAATTTTTGTACTTTTAGTAGAAATGGGGTTTTGTCATGCTGCCCAGGCTGGTCTTGAACTACTGACCTCAGGTGATTCACTCGCCTTGGCCTCCCAAAGTGCTGGGATTACAGGTGTGAACCACCACACCAGGCCAAGAAACTAAGGAGTTTAAGTAACTTACCCAAGCTGTGTAACTTACCTAGTAACACAGCTGGTACATGATAGAGCCAGGATTCAAACCTCGGCAGACAGAATCCTGGCTCCTAACTGAGTCATGGCTTACTAGTCTGAAACATTTTTCCCTTCTGCCAAAAGAGAGAAGATACAGCTAATAAACACTAGTAGTAATATTCCTTAACGATGATGGTGCTATACAATTATGGATCAAGTGCCAAGACAGACTGTAAAATAATAGACTGCTACAAAGTATCTGTTTTATTCTTCCAGTCTCTATTTTAGGAGTATATCCTCCCTCCTTGGCTAAAATGAGAAATGACCTTCTCAGATTAAACAACTGACTCTCTTGTTGATAAACACTCATAAAATGTTAACTCTTGTCATTTCACTAGACAGAGTTAACATACCAACTTCCTGAAAGACTGAAATCATACTCTGCTTTTTCATACCAAAATGTTAACTCTATGGACCAAATGCAAATTATATCAACACTTGTGTGTTTACAGTCGTTTTAAAACCTGAGGTAAACTGGGCACGGTGGTCTACACCTGTAATCCCAACACTTTGGGAGGCCAAGGTAGGAGGCTTGCTTGTAGAGACCCAGTCTCTATAAAAAAAAAAACAAAACAAAAAACCCAAACTTGAGGTATAATTTATATATATTTTATCCTTTCTAATATACTTTTCTAATATACTAACACATATAGTTCTATGAGTTTGACAAATACTTTAAACCACGACCACAGTCAAGATCTTTATCTTCTCTGATACAGAGAAGATCTAATCTCATCTCTGACTCCTTCAGGTTCACAAATACACTAGTACTCCTGTTTTGATACCAATTGATTATAACAAAGATTTGGATTTGCTATTAATCAAAACACAGCAGACATCTGCTAAAAGTTACTGTAGGCAGGAGGCTACAGGCAGGAGAATCGCTTGAACCCAGGAGGCAGAGGTTGCAGTGAGCTGAGATCACGCCACTGCACTCCAGCATGGGCGACAGAGCGAGACTCCATCTCAAAAAAAAAAAAAAAAGAGTTACTGTAACTAAAGTAAGACATTAGTACTGCTGGCCAGGCGCGGTGGCTCACGCCTGTAATCCCAGAACTTTGGGAGGCCAAGGCGGGCAGATCACGAGGTCAGGAGTTCGAGACCATCCTGGCCAACATAGTGAAACTCCGTCTCTACTAAAAATACAAAAAATTAGCCGGGCATGGTGATGTGCGCCTGTAATCCCAGCTACTCGGGAGGCTGAGGCAGGAGAACTGCTTCAACCTGGCAGGCAGAGGTTGCAGTGAGCAGAGATCGCATCACTGCACTCCAGCCCGGGTGACAGTGCAAGACTCCATCTCAAAAAGAAAAAAAAAAAAAAAGACATTAGTACTGCCTTCCTGCTAAGGAGGTTCCACTCCATATCCCATCATCTACACTCTACAGTTCCATCATCCCTCAATTCTCTCATCTTTATACATCCCTTCTCCCATTCCCTGGCAACCAGAGACCTGTTTTCTGTCCCTATAGAACATCATATAGATGGAATCATATAGTATCTTAGCCTTTTGAGTTTGGCTTCTTTCATTCAGCACAGTGCATTTGAGATTCATTCACATTACAGCATGTATCATTACTATAGTTTGTCTCTATTTTTGCTAAGTAGTATTCCACTGTATGAATGTATCAGTTTGTTGAACCATTTACCAGCTGAAAAACATTTGTGCTAGGTGCAGTGGTTCACGCCTATAATCCCAGCACTTTGGGAAGCCAAGGTGGGAGGACCGCTTGAGCCCAAAAGTTTGAGACCAGCTTGGCAACATAGCATGACCTCATCTTTACTTAAAAAAAAAAAAAAAAAAGGCCAGGCGTGGTGGCTCACGCCTGTAATTCCAGCACTTTGGGGAGGCCAAGGTGGCGGATCACCTGAGGTTGGGAGTTCGAGACCAGCCTGACCAACATGGAGAAACCGCATCTCTACTAAAAATAAAAAATTAGCTGTGCGTGGTGGTGCATGCCTGTAATCCTAGCTACTCGGGAGGCTGAGGCAGAAGAATTGCTTGAACCTGGGAGGCAGAGGTTGCAGTGAACTGAAATAGCACCATTGCACTCCAGCCTGGGCAAAAAGAGCAAAACTCCATCAAAAAAAAAAAAAAAAAAAAAGTGTGGTAGCAAACAACAACAATAAAACATCTGAGTTGTTACCATTTGGGGGTAATTGTATGTTCATGTATAGTCTTCTATGTAAACATTAGTTTTTACTTCACTTTGAGTAAATACCTAGGACTGGGATTGCTGGGTTATATAGTAATACGTTTATGGTCTTTACCATTACCTTTTTTCCCATATTACTTTAATGTAAATTTATAAGCTTTAAAGACTTCTGGGCTGGGTGCAGTGGCTCACGTTTGTAATACCACTACTTTGGGAGGCTGAGGCAGGTATATCACTTGAGGTGTGCCTGGCCAACATGGTGAAACCTGATCTTTGCTAAAAATACAAAAATCAGCTGGGCATGGTGGCGCACGCCTGTAGTCCTAGCTGCTCAGGAGGCTGAGGTGGGAGAATCACTTGAGTCTGGGAGGTGGGGGTTGCGGTGAGCAAAGATCATGCCAGTGCACTCCAGCCTGGGCAACAGAGTGAGACTCTGTCTCAAAAAGGCAAAAAAGACTTCTGGTAAGTAATCTCTTCTCTGACCCCTTCAGTTTCACAAATGCATTATTATGCCAGTTTTATATTTTTATTTATTTATTTTTTTTGAGATGGACTCTCACTATGTCTCCCAGGCTGGAGTATAGTGGAGTGATCTCGGCTCACAGCAACCTCCGCCTCCCTGGTTCAAGTGATTCTCCTGCCTCAGCCTCCCAAGTAGCTGGGACTATAGGTGCACGCCACCACACCCAGCTAATAGTTTTGTATTTTTAGTAGAGACAGGTTTTCACCATGTTGGCCAGGATGGTCTCGAACTCCTGATGATCTGCCCACCTCAGCCTCCCAAAGTGTTGGGATTACAGGTGTGAGCCACCGCAGCCGACCTCAGTATGCCTGTTTGTTTTTCTTTTTTTTGTGAGACGGAGTTTCACTCTTGTTGCCCAAGCTGGAGTGCAATGGTGCGATCCCGGCTCACTACAACCTCGGCCTCCTGGTTCAAGCAATTCTCCTGCCTCAGCCTCCCAAGTAGCTGGGATTACAGGTGTGCACCACAACACCTGGCTAATTTTTTGTATTTTTAGTAGAAGTAGGGTTTCACCACATTAGCCAGGCTGGTCTTGAACTCCTGATCTCAGGTGAGCCGCCGCCTTGGCCTCCCAAAGTGCTGGGATTACAGGTGTGAGCCACCATGCCCAGCCTAGTATGCCTGTTTTAATACCAATTCGTTATAAGAGAAATTTGGATTTGCTATCAATCAAACCATAGTAGACATCTGTTAAAAGTTACTGTAACTGAAGTGTTAAGACATTAGTACTGCCTTCCTGTTAAGGAGGTTCCGCTCTACATACTGAAAACCTAGGCCGGGCGCAGTGGCTCACGCCTGTAATCCCAGCACTTTGGGAGGCTGAGGTGGGTGGATCACGAGGTCAGGAGATCAAGACCAACCTGGCTAACACAGTGAAACCCTGTCTCTACTAAAAATACAAAAAATTAGCCAGGCGTGGTGGCGAGCGCCTGTAGTCCCAGGTACTCCGGAGGCTGAGGTGGGAGAATGGCGTGAACCCGGGAGGCGGAACTTGCAGTGGGCCGAGATTGTGCCACTGCACTCCATCCAGACTGAGTGACAGAGCAAGACTCCATCTCAAAAAAAAAAAAAAAGAAAACCTAACAAACAGCTCTCCTTCATCAACAAACAACTGCATCTGATAAGTACAATCCCTCTTCTACTACATTAAATACCATATTAACAATAGTATGGCCAGGCACAGTGGCTCATGCCTGTAATCCCAGCATTTTGGAAGGCCGAGGTGGGCGGATCACAAGGTCAGGAGTTCAACACCATCCTGGCCAGCATGGTGAAACCACGTCTCTACTAAAAATACAAAAAATTAGCCAGGCATGGGGGCGTGCACCTGTAGTCTAGCTACTCGGGAGGCTGAGGCAGGAGAATCACTTCAACCTGGCAGGTGAAGGTTGCAGTGGGCCAAGATCGTGCCACTGCACTCTGGCCTGAGCAACAGAGGGAGACTGCGTCTCAAAAAAAAAAAAAAAGTATGAGCCAGGGACACTGGCTCACAACTGTAGTCCTAGCACTTTGGGAAGCCGACGAGGGCTGATCGTTTGAGCCCAGGAATTCGAGACCAGTCTGGGCAATGTGGTGAAACCCCGTCTGTACAAAAAATCCAAAAACTCAGCCAGGTGTGGTGGCACATGCCTATAGTCTCAGCTACTCAAGAGGCTGAGGCAGAATTGTTTTGAGTCTGGGTGGTTGAGAGTGCAGTGAACCACTTCACTCCAGCCTGGGAAATAGAGCAAGACACTGCCTTAAAAAGAAAAACCCAGTCGGGCGCGGTGGTTCACGCCTGTAATCCCAGCACTTTGGGAGGCCGAGGCAGGTGGATCACGAGGTCAGCAGTTCGAGACCAGTCTGACCAACATGGTGAAACCCTGTCTCCACTAAAAATACAAAAAAAGTAGCTGGGCGTGGTGGCAGGCGCCTGTAATCCCAGCTACTTGGGAGGCTGAGGCAGAAGAATTGCTTGAAACCAGAAGGCAGAGGTTGCAGTGAGCCGAGATTGCACCACTGCACTCTAGCCTGGGCAACAAGAGCAAAA
Source organism: Homo sapiens (assembly GCF_000001405.40). Lineage (NCBI taxonomy): Eukaryota > Metazoa > Chordata > Mammalia > Primates > Hominidae > Homo > Homo sapiens. The sequence goes on along the minus strand of NC_000015.10, from coordinate 41,431,240 downwards.
CTCCTTCTCAAAAAAAAAAAAAGAAAAAAGAAAAACCCGCTGGACGCAGTGGCTCACGACTGTAATCCCAGCACTTTGGGAGGCCAAGGTGGGCAGATCACGAGGTCAGGAGTTCAAGACCAGCCTGGCCAACATGATGAAACCCCGTCTCTACTAAAAATACAAAAAAATTAGCTGGGCATGGTGGCAGGCGCCTGTAATCCCAGCTACTTGGGAGTCTGAGGCAAGGAGAATCGCTTGAACCTAGGAGGTGGAGGTTGCAGTGAGCCGAGATCACACCACTGCACTCCAGCCCGGGCGACAGTGCAAGACTCTGTCTCAATACAAAAAAAAGAAAAGAAAACCCACAATAGTATGGAGACAGCAAAGACTCTCTTAACAGTGTGAAAGATACAAGATGCACTTCCCACAACTTGAGGATTGTATAGGAAGTTACTGGGAAAACTCACAGCAAGATTACTTTTTAGCTCAGTCCTTTATATTCTTTTTGTTTGTTTTTGGAGATGAAATCTTGGTCTGTCGCCTAGACAAGAGTGCAGTGGTATGATCTTGGCTCACTGCAGCCTTTGCCTCCCAGGTTCAAGCGATTCTCCCACCTCAGCCTTCCAAGTAGCTGGGACTACAGGCATGCACCACCACGCCCAGCTAATATTTTGTATTATTAGTAGAGACAGGGTTTCATCATGTTGCCCAGGCTGGTCTTGAACCTCTGAGCTCAGGCAATCTACCTGCCTCACCCTCCCAAAGTGCTAGGATTACAGGTGTGAGCCACGATGCCCAGCCAGTCCTTTACATTCTTATTGAGGGCTCATAATAGCTGAATAGACCAATATGCAACAAAAAAGTCTTCCCACCCTGTCTCTACTAAAAATACAAAAGATTAGTTGGGTGTGGTGCCACGCGCCTGTAGTCCCAGCTATTTGGGAGGCTGAGGCTGGAGAATCGCTTGAACCCGGGAGGTGGAGGTTGTAGTGAACCAGAGGTTGCAGTGAGCCGAGATCGCGCCACTGCACTCCAGCCTAGGGGGCAGCGAGACTCTGTCTCAAAAAAAAAAAAAAAAAAAAAATTAGCCAGACATGGTGGCATGCACCTGTAATCCCAGCTACTCACGAAGCTGAGGCAGGAGAACTGCGTGAACCCAGGAGGTAGGGATGGCAGTGAGCTGATATCGTGCCACTGCATTCCAGCCTGGGCAATAGAGCAAGACTCTGTCTCAAAAAAAAAAAAAAGAAAAGAAAAAATAAAATAAATTAAATTAAATTAAAAACAAAGAAAAAATAAGGAAAAGATACATGGTCCTTGACCTCATGGAATTTAAAATCAAGTATGGGAGACAAACAATGAACAAGTAAAGAAACAATGAATTCCATCTAATGGTAAGTGTTAAGAAGGAAGTGAATCAAATGAGTGCAGGGGCTATCTGCAGTAGGGTGGTTAGAGAGGCTTCTCTGAGGCACTGAGGCTGAGACTAGAAACTTCACGAGAGGAAAAGATGGTACAGTTTTCTGGACAGAGGCCTTCAGATGGAACAGCTAAGGCCCTGAAGCTGATAACAGCTTGGCTTAGTCAAAGAACTGAAAGAGAAACTGTGACTAAAGTTTAGCAGGCAAGCAGGAGAATTGAATGCGGTGGGTTAGTGGTAAGAAGAAAACATATCTTTCTGAGCTTTATAAAACAGGGTGAGGAGCATGGAAGTTAGGCAGTGGGAAGCCATCAAATGGTTTGAAGCAGGGGAGTAACCCAATCCAGCAAGGGTTTTAAAAGAGCACTCCTGGAAAGAGAGAGAGAGAGAAAAAAAAAAAAAGAGCACTACAACTGGTAGATGAACAGACTAGAGGGGCCAGGGTGGAAGTACAGAGAGGACTCAGAAGGAACCCACAGCAGTCGCATTAAACAAGTAGCCACAGGGACAGAGAGAAGTGGAAGGATCTACGAGATGACGAGGAAAAAAGAGTAATTCGCAGAGCTTTAAATCCGAGAAGTTACTTCCTAGTGTCCCTTTCATAGCAAAACTGTTGGTTGATTTAAACAGTGAATATTGGCTGGGCGTGGTGGCTCACAGGTGGCTTACAGGTGGCCTGTAATCCCAGTACTTTGGGAGGCCAAGGTAGGAGGAAGGATCCCTTGAGCCCAGGAATTTGAGACCAGCATGGGCAACACAGGGAGACCCTGTCTCTACAAAAAATTAAAAATCAATTCGCTGTGGCCAGGAGTGGTGGCTCACGCCTGTAATCCCAGCACTTTGGGAGGCCAAGATGGGCAGATTACTTGAGGTCAGGAGTTTGAGACCAGCCTGGCCAACATGACGAAACCCCGTCTCTACTAAAAATACAAAAAGTAGGCAGATGTGGTGGCATATGCTTGTAATCCCAGCTACACAGGAGGCTGTGGGAGAACTGGTTGGGCCCAGGAGGCAGAGAGGTTGCAGTGAGCTGAGATCACACCACTGCACTCCAGCCTGGGCAACAGAGCAAGACTCTGTCTCAAAATAAATAAATAAATTAGCTGGGCATGGTGGCACACACCTGTGATCCCAGCTACTCCAGAGGCAGAGGAGGGAGGATCACTTGAAGCCAGGAGGTCAAAGCTAGAGTGATCCATGACCACGTCACTGCACTTCAGCTTGGGTAACAGAGTGAGACCCTGTCTTCAAAAAAAAAAAAAGGAGTAGGGGGCCGGACACGGTAGCTCACACTTGTAATCCCAGCACTTTGGGAGGCTGAGGTGGGCGGATCACAAGGTCAGGAGATCGAGACCATCCTGGCTAACACAGTGAAACCCCGTCTCTACTAAAAATACAAAAAAATTAGCCGGGTGTAGTGGCGGGCACCTGTAGTCCCAGCTACTCGGGAGGCTGAGGCGGGAGAATGGTGTGAACCCAGGAGGCAGAGCTTGCAGTGAGCTGAGATCACGTCATTGCACTCCAGCCTGGGCAACAAAGCGAGACTCCATCTCAAAAAAAAAAAAAAAAAAAAAAAAAAAAGGGATATCAGTATTGCAGTAGAGGGGTTGGAACAAGAACCCCCAAAGTGACAGTGTCCTTTATCTCTTCAAGTAATCTCAATGTAACCAAGTTAGAAAATGTCCCACCATGTAGCTTGGGTGACACAGTGAGACCCCAGCTCTAAAAATAAAATTAAAAAAAAAAGAAGGCGGCCAGGCATGGTGGCTCATGCCTGTAATCCCAGCACTTTGGGAGGCCAAGCCAGGCAGATCACCTGAGGTCAGGAGATCAAGACCAGCCTAGCCAGCATGGTGAAACCCCGTCTCTACTAAAAATACAAAAATTAGCCAGGTGTGGTGGCGGACACTTGTAATCCCAGCTACTTGGGAAGCTAAGACAGGAGAATCACTTGAACCCGGGAGGCGGAGGTTGCAGTGAGCTGAGATTGCCCCACTGCACTCCAGCCTGGGCAACAAAGAGCAAAACTCCATTTCAAAAAAAAATAAAACTTGACACCATAGGTATGCCAAGTAGCATCTGCTTATTCAACAAAAATTTATTAAGTGCCTACTCTGTCAGGCGAGCATCGGCATAATTATTATTACTGTTATTATTATTTGAGTCAGGGTCTCACTGTCACCCAGGCTGGAGTGCAGTTGTGTGATCATGGCTCTCTGCAGCCTCAACCTCCTAAGCTCAGGTGATCCTCCTATCTCAGCCTCCTGGGTAGCTGGGACTACAGGCACACACCACTACACCCAGCTTATGTAGCTTTTATTTTGAATGAATAGCTGGGACCACAGGCGCATGCCACCACACTCAGCTAATTTTTTAAAAATTTTGTAGGGCCGGGCGCAGTGGCTCACGCCTGTAATCCCAGCACTTTGGGAGGCCAGGGTGGGTGGATCACGAGGTCAGGAGATCCAGACCATCCTGGCTAACACGGTGAAACCCCGTCTCTACTAAAAATACAAAAAATTAGCCGGGCATGGTGGCGGGTGCCTGTAGTCCCAGCTACTCAGGAGGCTGAGGCAGGAGAATGGCGTGAACCCGGGAGGCGGAGCTTGCAGTGAGCCGAGATCGCACCACTGCACTCCGGCCTGGGCAACAGAGCAAGACTCTGTCTCAAAAAAAAAAAAAAAAAAAAAAAATTTGTAGACCAGGCATGGTGGCTCATGCCTGTAGTCCCAGCACTTTGGGAGGCCAAGGTGGGTGGATCACGAGGTCAGGAGTTCAAGACCAGCCTGGCCAACATGGTGAAACCCTATCTCTACTAAAAATACAAAAATTAGCTGGGCGTGGTGGTGGGCCCCTGTAATCCCAGCTGCTTGGCAGGCTGAGGCAGGAGAATTGCTTGAACCTGGGAGGTGGAGGTTGCAGTGAGCCGAGATCACACCATTGCGCTCCAGCCTGGGCAACAGAGTGAGACTCTGCCTAAAAAACAAACAAACAAACAAACAAACAAAAATTACACACACACACACACACACACACACACACACACACACACACACATATATATGTAGCGGCTGGGCACAGTAGACTCACGCCTGTAATCCCAACACTTCAGGAGGCCGGCGGGGGGGGGGGGCGGGGGGGGGGGGGGGCGGGGTGGATCACCTGAGGTCAGGAGTTCGAGACCAGCCTGGCCAACATGGAAAAACCCCATCTCTACTAAAAATACAAAAAAATGGCCAGGCACAGTGGCTCACGCTTGTAATCCTAGCAGTTCGGGAAGCCGAGGTGGGCAGATCATGACGTCTGGAGTTCGAGATCAGCCTGGCCAATATGGTGAAACCCTGTCTCTACTAAAAATACAAAAAATTAGTCAGGCATGGTGGCGCACGCCTGTAGTCCCAGCTACTCGGGAGGCTGAGGCAGAAGAATCGCTTGAATCCAGGAGGGGGAGGTTGCAGTGAGCAGAGATCGTGCCACTGCACTCCACCCTGGGCGACAGAGCGAGACTCTATCCCAAAAAAAAAAATAAAAACAAACAATCAAAAAAATTAGCTGGGCATGGTGGCATGTGCCTGTAATCCCAGCTACTCAGGAGGCTGAGGCACGAGAATCGCTTGAACCCAGGGCGGAGGTTGCAGTGAGCCAAGATGGTGTCACTGCACTCCAGCCTAGGCAACAGAGCGAGACTCCACCTCCAAAAAAAATTTTTTTTTTTTGTAGAGATCAGGTTTCATCATCATGTTGCCTAGGCTGATCTCAAACTCCTGAGCTCAAGCAATCCTCCCACCTCAGCCTCCCAAAGTGCTGGGATTACAGGCATGAGCCATTGTGCCTGGCCCTCAAGTGTTATTTTCAACTACCTACTTGATGTCTCCACTTAGACATCTCATAGTCACTTCGAACTCCACATATCCCAGACTGAATGCAGGATCTTCACCTCTAAACCTGCTCCTCCAGCACTCCCCATCTCATGCCAGTGCCTGGCATCAATCCTAAATACTCCTCTTCTCATCCTAACATCTAATCAGTCCTCAGTCTTCAAGGCCTTTTAGTTCTACATACTGAACATCATGTCCAACCAATTCCACTATCTGTCATCTCTATAACAACCATATCAATCCAAGTCAGTCCTTCATTTAATAAATACTGACTGGGTGCCAACTGCATATAGGCACTGCTCTAGATGCCAGGGACAGCATAGTGAACACATACGGTTACCCTCCTGGCGCTTCCATTCTAATGGAACTTATGTTCTCCATCATCTCTCATCTGGACTCCTCTCTCTGCCACTTCATTAGTGTCCCCCTCCATATTACTCTCCACAATAGTCTGGGTAAGGCAAATCTGAAAATCTTCTCCAACTTAAAATCCTTCAATGGCTTCCTATTACTCTCAGAATAAACTCCAAAGTCTCTACTAAAAATACAAAAATTGGCCAGGCGCGGTGGCTCACACCTGTAATCCCAGCACACTTTGGGAGGCCGAGGCGGGCAGATCATGAGGTCAGGAGATCAAGACCATCCTGGCTAACATGGTGAAACCCGTGCCTACTAAAAATACAAAAAAAAAATTAGCCGGACACAGTGGCAGGCGCCTATAGTCCCAGCTACTCGGGAGGCTGAGGCAGGAGAATGGTATGAACCCGGGAGGCGAAGCTTGCAGTGGCAGAGACAGCGCCACTGCAGTCCGGCCTGGGCAAAAGAGCGAGACTCCGTCTCAAAAATAAAAAACAAAAATTAGCCAAGTGTGGTGGCACACACTTGCAGTCCCAGCCACCGGGGAGGCTGACGCCCTCCAGTGGCTTTAAATTTTTTTCTTTTTTTCTTTTGTTTTTTTTAGACGGAGTCTCTCTGTCACCCAGGCTAATACAGTGGTGATCTCGGCTCACTGCAACCTCCGCCTCCTAGGTTCAAGGGATTCTCATGCCTCAGCCTCACCAGTGGCTGGGACTACAGGTGTGTGCCACCGCACTTGGCTAATTTTTGTATTTTTACTAGAGATGGGGTTTCGCCATGTTGGCCCGCCTGGTCGAACTCCTGGCCTCATATGATCCACCCACCTCGGCCTCCCAAAGTGCTGGGATTAAAGGCGTGAGCCACTGCGCCTGGCCAAAAAACTTTTCTCTTTTTAACGCAGCCCACAGGAAGATAAATTATACCTCACAACCCAGTATACATCTACATGTACATATGAGACACACAAATTTCATCACTTATATTTACTATGTATGACACATTTGATGTTTTCTATCAATTCAATTTTATTTTTACTGCTGAGTGTAGTCCGTAAACTGACTTCTCCATCCTCAAAGGGTCAAAACAGAATCTACCTCTACAGTTTCATTTGTACTATTCTCTCTCCAACTATGCAACTAGTTTATGTTACTCACTCTGTGCTTCTTTCAGTTTCATAAGGGTTCGAGGTCCTTCCTGTCTCATTTCTTTTATATATGCTGGTGCCTCAACCATGAACATTCAACACTCTTCCCTTTACTCTTCAGTCTTCTAATCTGCTTCTCCTTAACACATATTCCAGGTCTGTTTCAATGTCACTCTCATCAGGCTAGAATAGGGTCCCTGGTTAATATTTCCACAGTATTCTTGTCCTTGCTTCATGGCCTGTAGTGCAATTGTAAGGAAATTACTCTCTCTGAGCAATCTCCCCACCTCATCTCTCTCTCATTCCACTTTACACTCCTTGAAGGTGGAAACTGCTTCCATTTTGTTCACCCAATAGCTCTAGTGTCTAACGCTGTCTAATACATCTGTTGAACGATGAACAATCAGGCCGGATGCGGTGGCTCATGCCTGAAATCCCAGCACCCTGGGGAAGCCAAGGAGGGCGGATCACTTGAGGTCAGGAGTTTGAGACCAGCCTGGCCAACATGGTGAAACCCCATCTCTACTAAAAATACAAAAATTAGTCGGGCATGGTGGTGCATACCTGTAATCCCAGCTACTTGGGAGGCTGAGGCAGGATAATTGCTTGAACCCGGGAAGCGGAGGTGGCAGTGAGCTGAGATCGTCCCACTGCACTCCAGCCTGGGCAACAAAGTGAGACTCCATCTCAAAATAAATAAATAAATAAATAAAAATAAATACACCAATATGACCTGTGTCTGAAGATCAGTTTTGTATTTTTCCTAAAAGCCTCACTGTTAAAGCTCCCAGGGCTGGGCGTGGTGGCTCACCCCTGTAATCCCAGCACTTTGGGAGGCCGAGGTGGGTGGATCATCTGAGGTCGGGAGTTTGAGACCAGACTGACCAACATGGAGAAACCCCATCTCTAATAAAAATGTAAAATTAGCCGGGAGTGGTGGCGCGTGCCTGTCATCCCAGCTACTCGGGAGGCTAAGGCAGGAGAATCACTTGAACCTAGAGGCGGAGGCTACAGTGAGCCCAGCGTGCCATTGCTCTCCAGCCTGGGTGACAGAGCAAGACTCCATCTTGGGTGGGGGCTGGGTGGGGAGGGAGCTCCCATGGGACTCACTCTTTGAAAAGAGTGAAATTAACAAGCGAATTACATCAAGCTAGATGCAACATGACACAAATTAAAGTTTTCACAAATTAACACTGACACTTCTCACAAACTCTTCCTACACTTCAAAATTTGCCTCTGATTAATGCGGAAAACACTACATTAACAAGAAGCACAACTTTTAAATTTCTCAAGATTTATGGGGAAGGTTTATAGAAGTATACTTTATAATAATAATATTCTTTACATGTAGTATCTAAAAACAGCTCCTAGAAAATACTTACAGGGCTGGCCGGGCACGGTGGTTCACGCCTGTAATCCCAACACTTTGGGAGGCCGAGGAGGGTGGATCACGAGGTCAGGAGTTCAAGACCAGCCTGGCCAAGATGGTGAAACCCCGTCTCTACTAAAAATACAAAAATTAGCTGGACGTGGTGGCGTGCGCCTGTAATCCAAGCTACTCGGAAGGCTGAGGCAGAGAATTGTTTGAACCCGGGAGGCGGAGGCTGCAGGAGCCAAGATCGCGCCACTGCACTCCAGCCTGGGTGACAGAGCGAGACTCCGTCTCAAAAAAAAGAAAAAAGAAAATACTTAGGGGGGCCTATTCTCTCAAAGACAAATTTAATTATTGCTACTTCAAGTTAGATAAACAGAGAAAAACAGGACATGACAATATAATCTCCATTTTAAATAAGAAACCTATAAAATAAAGCATCCCAGTGTGCACATAGCTCAATTTTTAGTTTTTTAGAAAGGTAGAGTAAAATTTTTATAAATACGGAGTTGTACTGATTTGAATTGAGAACTCTGGTTCCTTTATTATCTTGAATGCTTTTCATTTTATAGGACTTACTGCATAAATATTATTCCATAAAGGGAGATGACATAGAGCCCAGAGGTTTGCCTCAAATTATTATTTCCCAATAGGCACCAACAGCAAGTATCTTGAAATTTAAAAATGTTGAAGAAAGGGTGTGGTCAAAATAAGGACAGAGTCACTATCAGGTCAAATGCTAAAAGAAAAGCTTTCAAACTCTCAAACTAGGTCTTAGTTTTAAAAACTTTCAAAGGTTAAAATAAGGCCAGGTGCTGGATCACCTGAGGCCAGGAGTTAGAGACCAGTCTGGCCAACATAGCGTCTCTACTGAAAATACAAAAAATTAGCCAGGTGTGGTGGCAGGCGCCTGTAATCTCAGCTACCCAGGAGGCTGAGGCAGGAGAATTGCTTGAACCCAGGAGGTGGAAGGTGCAGTGAGTCGAGATCGTGCTATTGTACTCCAGTCTGGGCGATAGAGTGAGACTCCATCTCAAAAATAAATAAATAAACAAACAAACAAATAAATAAATAAGGCCTGGTGTGGCAGCTCACACCTGTAATTCCAGCACTTTGGGAGGCCAAAGCCTGAGAATCACCCAAGCCCAGGAGTTTCAGACTAGCCTAGGCAATGTAGTGGGACCCCCATCTCTACAAATGATTTTAAAAATTAGCTGGGTGTGGTGGTGCACACCTGTAGTCCCAGCTACTTGAGAGGCTGAGGGGGAAGGATCACTGAGCTAGGGAGGTCAACGCTACAGCCGTGAGCTGTAATTGTGCCACTGCACTCCAGCCTGGGTGACAGGAGTGAAACCCTGCCTAAAAAAAAAAAAAAAAAGAACCAGTAGTTTTGCCATCTTAAAACCTCCCTGTCAAGTTCTTTTAGTTATACAAGTGCCTTTTTTTTTTTTTTCTTTGGGACAGGGTCTCACTCTGTTACCTGGGCTGAAGAGAAACGGTGGGACCACAAGTAACTGCAACTTCAACCTCCCAGGCTCAAGCAATCCTCCCACCCCAGACTCCCAAGTAGCTGAGACTAGAGGCACGCCACCATGCCCAGCTAATTTTTAAATTCTTTTTTTTTTTTTTTTAATACAGAGTTTCACTCTTGTTTCCCAGGCTGGAGTGCAATGGCACGATCTCGGCTCACCACAGCCTCCACCTCCTGGGTTCAAGTGATTCTCCTGCCTCAGCCTTCTGAGTAACTGGGATTACAGGCAAGCACCACCATGCCTGGCTAATTTTGTATTTTTAGTAGAGACGAGGTTTCTCCATGTTGGTCAGGCTGGTCTCAAACTCCCAACCTCAGGTGATCCGCCCACCTCGGCCTCCCAAAGTGCTGGGATTACAGGTATGAGCCACTGCACCTGGCCAATTTTTAAAGTCTTTGTACAGATGAGGTCTCACTTTGTTGCCTACGCTGATCTCAAACACCTGGGCTCAAGTGTTCCTCCCACTTTGGCCTCCCAAAGTGCTGAGATTACAGGGCATGAGCCACCATGCCCAGCCTATACATGTACGCTTAATTTGGAAGTACTATGGCAGACACAGGAAGCTATTTCTCTTCTAAATACTTATAGTGTGTTACTAAAAAGATTAACCTGCATATAGGCAGTGATCTTAATCACTAACATAAATCATAATTACTTGAGCTATACCTGTTACAAATGCAGAGTCCAGACCTCTATCCCCTGAGAGTCTGATTCAGTAGGTCTAGGATGGGAACTGCTGCACCCTCTAAGTCCCAACCTACATTTTAAATAAGCAACCCAGGTGGCTTCTGACACAGAGGTCTGCCCCTACCACCAGGAAAAACCAGCCTAGAAGGCCCATATATCTCACCTTCAGTAAGGAATAAATTGGAGGTAAAATTTTTGACATAATGGCTCAGATTCCCATCTGAAAAACCCAGGGACAAAAGGCCTCCTTACGAACTGCATTCCAATCCACACTAGATACTCAGTGATCTGTCATGGTTTGTTCCTTCCACAAGTACCATACGCTAGACAGCAAGTCTAATGTTATACCCCCAGTGAAGACTCAGAACCAGATGGAGCAGCACAAGGTATTTGGGGCAGGAAAGATCCAGAATGCATTAGGATTCCTAAAGACCCCCAAGCAGCACTGACAGTGAACTTGTGCTAAAGGTCTTTCGTGAAAATGTCTAGAGGGCAGAGATCTTCCTCTTTGATTATTCTGAGAGTCTGGCATAGTGCTGAACAGACAAACTGAAGGCATCAATACCCCTGTTAGGATGTGCAGGGAAAGGGAATTTTGATCTAGTTCCCATCTGATAACAAGAATGCAAATAAGAAGCTGAAGGGGAGGAAGTTAAATTTGTTGTTAAAATGTATTAGGTATTACACATTTTATGTTAATTTCCTTTTACAAATAGATATTTAGAATTGGATTTAAAATTGCAATTCCGGCCAAGCACGGTGGCTCATGCCTGTAATCCCAGCACTTTGGGAGGCCGAGGTGGGCATATCACTTGAGGTCAGGAGTTCGAAACCAGCCTGGCCAACATGGAGAAACCCTGTCTCCACTAAAAATACAAAAAATTAGCCAGGTGTGGTGACAGGCACCTGTAGTCCCAGCTACACGGGAGGCTGAAGCAGGAGAATCGCTTGAACCCAGTGGGCGGAGGTTGCAGTGAGTTGAGATTGTGCCACTGAACTCCAGCCCAGGCAACAGAACAAGACTCCGTCTCAAAAATAAATAAATAAATAAAGTGGCAATTCTCTGCAGTTCCCACTTTGAAAAAGCTTTTTGTGGATCAGGTGAAATATCTCTACCACGAAAAGAAGCACTCAACTTATTTTATTCATCAGAATTCTGTGGGAAACTACTAAGGACAATAATTTGCAGTTCAGTTCATTCATCACTTGAACAGATGTCTTGAGAGTGCTTTACCAAGAAATCCCCCCAAATAATCCTTTTAATGTATGTACCAATTTCCTCTAAACTATCCAGTGTACTTTATAAACACGAACTCTAGCACCATGAAAAATGACTGTGAAACATTATCATTTTGCAGTATGAAAAAAATTTAAAACTAACAGATTGAGTTGGTATAGTGGAAACAGTATAGGCTTTGTACTCATGCAGATCTGGGTTCAAATCCCAATGCTACCACTTACTAGTTGTGAGTTATTTAACTTTTTCAACCTCCATTTTCTTTATGTAAAGTAGAGGAAATAATTCCAAATTTACCATAATGTGAAAACTTGAAAATCTAAACAAAACAATTAAAGTGCCTACTCTAGGCACTATATAAATGGTAGCCAATGTTGTTATTGTCTGAAACATTCACATTTGTAGATGAAAAGACAGAAAAAAATAGATTCTACTCCTTCTAATTGCCAGTCTAAAATTATCTACCAATCAAACTTTTACAGTCGAAATTATACTTTTGATATTTTTGTAAACTTCAGGAGCCTTTCAATGAGAACATTTTCAATTCCTACCCCAAAACAAAGTTTCTATTCCTTAGATAGTCTTACACAGGCCCCATTACTTCTCCATCTCCCTACCACCATTTTCAAAGCAGTCTTCTTTCTACAGCACCTCCTCAATCCTTTTCTTCTTAAAAGTCCTCCCCTTGGCGGAGCTTGCAGTGAAGCCAAGATCGCACCACTGCACTCCAGCCTGGGCGACAGTGCGAGACTCCGTCTCAAAAAAAAATAAATAAATAAATAAAAAGTCCTCCCCTTTTATGCCTTAATACTTTCTTTTTCTTTCTTTTCTTTTTTTTTTTTTTTTTGTGATGGAGTTTCGCTCTTGTTGCCCAGGCTCACTGCAACCTCCGCCTCCCGGGTTCAAGAATTCTCCTGCCTCAGCCTCCCGAGTAGCTGGGATTACAGGCATGTGCCACCACGCCCCGCTAATTTTGTATTTTTAGTAGAGATGGGGTTTCTCCATGTTGGTCAGGCTGGTCTCGAACTCCCGACCTCAGATGAGCCTTGGCCTCCCAAAGTGCTGGGACTACAGGCGTGAGCCACCGCGCCCAGCCCCTAATACTTTCAAACTGAGACCTCTGGCTTCATATAAAAGACCCCCAAGAAGCCATTCATAGAAAAACTTTACAATTAGCAAATGCTTGCACTGCCATCAATTTTTACAAACACTTGATCTTTACAATAAACCAATTAGATACACAAGGCTGATGTTACATTTTCATTTTACATTTAAGACCAAAGATATATAGCTAGAAAATAGCATAAGCCCAGCCTAGAATTCAAATTTTCAGACTCCAAGTTCAATACTCTTTCTACTCAAAAGCTACTATCTCTTGCATATTCTTTCTTTACATCATTTGCTCATTAAACAGAAAGGAGACCATCTTTGTATCGCCTGGTATCACTAGAGCACTGCTACAAAGAGCAGATTCCTCCCTACAATGTTTTCTAGAGTATATAAACAGTTCAACCCCAAGACACTGAGGCCAAAAGTTACTTTCAGTGCTTCCTGCAGTCTTCAAGTAAGAAAGAATTCTGGGATGCTGCGTGAAAGGGCCAAGAGGAGGCCTGGGCTATGCACAGTCCCTCCATGTCGCCCTACATAGTTCTCTATTTCTTCCAGTATCTGCCCTCTTTCCTCCACCCAAGAGTGTTTTTTTGGGTCTGACACCTCAACAAGGGCCCTTCTCAAACACAAACGACCCTAGTCGCCAAATAAACTCGTGCCCACAGCTAAGTCATCCTTGGCAAGCATGGCAGAGGCTCCTAGGAACATTTACGAGTGTCCTTCCTCTGTCCACATCCCTTGTCCGAAAAACTTCCATCTTCCAGAGTCCGGATCTTCTTGGCCCTCGCCCCCAACTGCTCGACGCGCACCCTTGCACCTCCTCCAAAACCTCCCAGCCTCCCAGGTTGGCGGGCGATACTTCCTATCTCTCCCAGCCCGGATCTCCTGGACTACAGCCCGCCGCCCCGATCTGGCCCCGGAAGATCGCGGCCCCTTTCGCTACCCCCGAGCCCGAGGCCCAACGGCCCGGTCCCTGCCCCGCCTCCCCGCCCAAGGCGCCAAGTCCTCGGGGCTCCGTCTCCAGGCCCGGGCCGGTCTCCAAGGCCCCGCACACTCCAGGAAGACGGGAAAGGGGCTGTAGTGGTGCCCAGGGCACGGGGCGAGCTGGGCGCTCTGGTAGGAAGGCTCCAGGCCCGGCCGTCTCCGGCTCCCGCGGCCCCGACAGCCCTCTGGCTCCGCCGGCCCGCGCCTCCGCGGCCTGCCCTCACCTGATCCAGGTTCTCGTCGCTGCCGCTGTCCTCTGTGTCCGAGTCGATCACGACGCGGCCTTTCCGCTTCTTTACCATGGTGGTCCCCCGGCTCCCACGCCGGCCGCCGCCCGGACTCCCCTCTTGCCCGCCTGCCAGTGGGACCGCCACTGCCGCCGCCGCCGCCGCTGCTCGACCCACACAAAGGCGACCGCGCATGCGCGCTCCGCTCCGCCCCCCTGGCCCCGCCCCCTGCTCGCCGCACGCCGTTCGCAGGTCGCCGGGTGCCCCGCCCTGCCCCGCCCCCGACGCAGCGTGAGAGGCGGGGCCTTCCCCCGTCGCTGGTTCCCGGCAGAGAGTGGTGGTGGCTTTACCCGCGACTGCCCTGGAGTCCTTGGCTGTATCTCTGCTGCGGAGCCGAAGTTTGGTGGGCTCTCTTCCTATCGGGGGCTGGAGCCGCAAGGATCCAGGTTCTCTCTGAGGGGGCTCACGTGTCTACCTACTTTCAAGCTGTCCAACACTGATGGCGTGTACTTAAGGGGCCGACGGCCTGGAAGACATAAGTCGCCTGGACCACGCGGTGGACACCGGTTGGGGGCTGGAGACTGCCGACCCGGGCTGTGCGAATGACAGCTGAGCTGGGACCTGGAGAATGCATCTGAATTACCCAAAAGGAGAGTAGAGTGTTGCATGCAGAGAACAGCGTAGGCAAAATGGCCCGGCGATAATAAAGTTAGGTTCGGAGAACTGAAGTTAGTTATGGCCAGAGCAGAGATTGTGGGTGGGGATAGGCGACAGACCAGGCTGGAGAAGGACACGGCGACTGCCTCACTCAGATCCTAATAAGTAAGCTGAATTAGGGAGTTTGAACTTGAGTATTGAAAGATTTTAAACTGAAGAACCACATGATTTGATTTGTGTGTGGTTTTGTGTTTTAGTAGAGACGGGGCCTCCCTATATTGCCCAGGCTGGTCTCGAACCCCTGGGCCCAAGGGATCCTCCTGCCTTGGCCTCCCAAAGTGCTGGGATTACAGGCGTGAGCTACCGTGCCCAGCCTGATTTGTGGTGGTGTTTTTTTGTTTGTTTGTTTGTTTGTTCGTTTGTTTTGGAGACGGAGTCGCTCTTGTTGCCCGGCCTGGAGTGCAGTGGCAGCTCACTGCAACTCCGCTTCCCAGGTTCAAGCGATTCTCCTGCCTCAGCCTCCTGAGTAGCTGGGATTACAGGCTCCTGCCACCACGCCCGGCTAATTTTTTTTTTTTTTTTTTTTTTGAGACGGAGTTTCGTTCTTGTCGCCCAGGCTGGAGTGCAATGGCGCGATCTTGGCTCACTGCAACTTCTGCCGCCTGGGTTCAAGCGATTCTCCAGCCTCAACCTCCGGAATAGATGGCATTACAGACGCCCTTCACCACGCCCTGCTAATTTTTGTATTTTCAGTAGAGATGGGGTTTCAGCATGTTGGCCAGGCTGGTCTCAAACTCCTGGCCTCCGGTGATCCGCCCGCCTCAGCCTCCCAAAGTGCTGGGATTATAGGCATGAGCCACTGCACCCAGGCCTGATTTGTGTTTTTCAAAGATTACTCTGACCGCAGTATGGCGAATGGACTAAGGGCAGGGAGATCGCTTGGATTGTTGTTGTCTTCTTGGCAAGAGATGATGGTGTCCTGACCTAAGGACGAAGCTGTGGGAATGGAAAGAAGTGGATGGACTCTGGATAATTTGGAACGTAGAATCCCCAGGATTTGGGATAGGGGTAAGGGAAGGAGTGCTCCCAGATACCTATTGATGTTCAGATTCTAGCTTAGGAAGCTAGTGGCAGGTGAGCCCTTCATCAAAAAAATGAAATACAAGAGGAGAGAAGAAGGTTTTGGGAACTGGTGTGTATAGGAAATAAGTTTTTATACTTAAGTTTGAGGTCAGCTGATAAAAAGGTCAGCTCCAGAAGTTATTTCCTTTAGTGATTAGGAATATAAAGTAGGGGCCGGGCGTGGTGGCTCACACATGTAATCCCAGCACTTTGGGAAGCTGAAGAGGGCCGATCACCTGAGGGCAGGAGTTCAAGACCTGCCTGGCCAACATGGCAAAACCCCATCTCTACTAAAAATACAAAAATTAGGCCGGGCACAGTGGCTCACGCCTGTAATCCCAACTTTGGGAGGCTGAGGCAGGGGGATCACAAGGTCAGGAAATCGAGACCAGCCTGACCAACATGGTAAAACCCTGTCTCTACTAAAAATACAAAAATTAGCCGGGCATAGTGGCGTGTTCCTGTAATCCCAGCTACTTGGGAGGCTGAGGCAGGAGAATCACTTGAACCTGAAGGCGGAGGCTGCAGTGAGACGAAATCGTACCACTGCACTCCAGCCTGGCAACAGACGTGACTCTTTCTCAAAAATAATAATAATAATAATAATAATAATCTGGACCGGGTGCAGTGGCTCTTTCCTGTAACCCCAGCACTTTGGGAGGCTGAGGCAGGTGGATCACGAGGTCAGGAGCTCAAGACCAACTTGGCCAAGACAGTGAAACCCCGTTTCTACTAAAAATACAAAAATTAGTCAGACGTGGTGGTGGGCGCATGTATTCCCAGCTACTTGGGAGGCTGAGGCAGAGAATTGCTTGAACCTGGGAGGTGGAGGTTGCAGTGAGCTGAGATCGCGCCACTGCACTCCAGCCTGGGCAACAATAGCGAGCCTGTTCTCAAAAAAAAAAAAAGGAAAAAAGAAAATAATCGCACCACTGCACTTCAGCCTGGGTGACAAAGTGAGACCCTGTCTCAAAAAAATAAATAAATAAAACAACCTAAATAAAGTCCAACTACCTCTTTACCCTAGAAGAGTTTTCCTAAGATACAGCTCATAGACTTTTCTCCCCCGACATATCCTTGGAACCATGGCCAAGGTGACCCCGAATCACCAGCCCAGCTTCCGTATGTCTAGCCACCCTGAAGCCTGTGGTGCCCTTCTGGAGGACCCTCTTTAAATGTGTTAATACACAGTACTGCTAAAAAGGAAGCCATGACATGGTCAGTGGCCCTTGACTGGAATTAATAAAAGTATGTTCTTTGAGTGAAATCTGTAGATTTTGATCTTTCTGCAAGGGGTCTTCTAATGATTCACGTACTGAAGTTAGTCCGTATTGAGTCTAATCAATGTCTAAATTTAGTGAATAAACGTTGCTTTAAACTCCCTCTTGAGTCAGCTTCCCAGAGAACCCAACCAGTCAAAGTTTCCAATTAGTAAAATGAGGATAATGATAGTGTCTGTCTCTTTGGGTTCTTATAAGGTTTAAGTTTACAAAGCAGGCATGGAGGCACAGGTCTATGGTCCCAGTTACTTGGGAGGCTAAGGTAGGAGGATCGGTTGAGCCCAGGAGGTGGAATCCATCCTTGGCAACTTAGAGAAACCACGTCTCAAAAAAAATAGTAAGTTAGGCCAAGCCGAGTGTGGTGGCTCACGCCTGTAATCCCAGCACTTTGGGAGGCCGAGGCAGGCGGATTACCTGAGGTCAGGAGTTCAAGACCAGCCTGGCCGACATGGTGAAATCCCATCTCTACTAAAAATACAAAAAAAAAAAAATTAGCTGTGCATTGTGGCAGGCGCATGTAATCCCAGCTACCTGGGAGGCTGAGGCAGGAGAATCACTTGAACCCAGGAGGCGGAGTTGGAGTGAGCTGAGATCGCGCCATTGCACTCCAGCCTGGGCAACAAGAGTGAAATTCCATCTCAAAATTTAAAAAAATAATGATAATAATAAGTTAGGCCAGGCGGGGTGGCTCATGCCTGTAATCCTAGCACTTTGGGAGACCAAGGAGGGTGGATCACTTGAGGTCAGGAGTTCGAGACCAGCCTGGCTGATATGGTGAAACCCCGTCTCTACTAAAAATACAAAAATTCGCTGGGCGTGGTGGCACCCACCTGTAGTCCCAGCTACTCGGGAGGCTGAGGCAGGAGAATTGCTTGCACCTGGAAGGCGGAGGTTGCAGTGAGCTGAGATCACATCACTGCACTCCAGCCTGGGCAACAGAGCGAGACCTCATCTCAAAAAAAAAAAAAAAAAAATACTGTCCATTATCTAATCTTGGAATTTTTTTTTTTTTTTTGAAACAGAGTCTTGCACTGTCACCCAGGCTGGAGTGCAGTGGTATGATCATGGCTCACTGCAGCCTTAGACTCCTGGGCTCAAGCAATCCTCCCACCTCAGCCTGCCAAGTAGCTGGGACTAGAGGCATGTGCCAACACACCCTGCTAATTTTTTTATTTTTATTTTTTGTAGGGACAAGATCTCACTATGTTGCCCAAGCTGGTCTCCAATTCCTATCCTCAAGTGATCCTCCTGCCTCAGTTTCTTAAAAGTGTTGAGATTATAGCATGAGCCACCATATCCGGCCCAATCTTACAACTTGGTCCTCTTGATCAGGCACCCTCAGAATCCAGTCGTTTGCTACTCTCCCAGCTCCTGCCACCACCTGCTTGGCTAGTTCTTGCAGCTCTTTTGGCGTATAGTCCTTTTCCTCCTTTATTAGGCCCAATATGTCCCCCACTGGGTTATGTGGTGACTTAACCCTATATAAGTCTAGTGGCCAGGAGAGGGGTAAGAGCAGATTCTGAGGGGAAGGAGAAATCCTTCAGTCCTGCCAGGGACAAGCCTCTGCAGTGTCTAAAAGGAGGAGAGGAGGCTGGATGGAAGATCATTTCTGCAGGTTCAGAGGGTTCGGGAGTACCTGGGATTTCAAATTCTTTAGGGGTATTAACCAGATATCCCCATCCCATTTGTCATGGTCCCATTATTTCTCAACTAGGGCCTGGCCTTTGGCTTAGGCACACTGCCTTGCTTGGGAGTTTAAGCTTATTGGAGCTCCGGCTACTCTGATGATTATCCTCAGGCTCAGCTTTCCTTGACCTCTTACTGTAGGTATTGAAAGTCTCTTTATTTATTGTATTTATTTTTATTTATTTATTTATTTTTTATTTTTTATTTTTTGAGGCAGTTTTGCTCTTGTTGCCCAGGCTGGAGTGCAATGGCACGATCTCGGCTCACCACAACCTCTGCCTCCCAGGTTCAAGAAATTCTCCTGCCTCGGCCTCCCGAGTAGCTGGGATGACAGGCATGTGCCACTACACCCCGCTAATTTTGTATTTTTAGTAGAGATGGGATTTCTCCATGTTGGTCAGGCTGGTCTTAAACTCCTGACCTCAGGTGATCCACCCGCCTCAGCCTCCCAAAGTGCTGGGATTACAGGCGTGAGCCACCATGCCTGGCCAATTGTATTTATTTTTATTTTTTAAAGACAGGGTCTTGCTCTGTCCCCCAGACTGGAGTACAATGGCACCGTCATGGCTCACTGCAGCCTCAACCTCCTAGGCTCAAGCAGTCCTCCCACCTCAGCCTCCCGAGTAGCTGAGACTACAGCGCACCACCACACTCAGCTAATTTTTGTATTTTTTTTGCAGAGACAGGGTCTCCCTGTGTTGCCCAGGCTGGTCTCGAACTCGTGGCTCAAGCAGTCCTCCCACCTCAACATCCCAAAGTGTTTGGATTACAGACGTGAGCCCCTGTGCCTGGATTTAAATAATGTACTTTTTTTTTTTTTTAAATAATGTACTATTATGGTTTTTGTTTTGTTTTGTTTGAAACAGAGTCTTGTTCCATTGCCCGGGCTGGAATACAGTGACAGGATCATGGCTCACAGAGCAGCTGGGACAACAGGCACTCCACCATGCCCGGCTAATTTTTAAATATTTCTGTAGAGACAAGGTCTCACCATGGTGCCTACATTGGTCTTGAGCTCCTGGGCTTAAGTGATCCTCTTGCCTTGGAATTCCAAAGTGCTGGGATTAAAGACATGAGCCAACATGCCCAGCCAAATTTATTTTTTAGAATACAAAATAAGAAATCCAAATCCAGAAGTATATAAAATAAAAAGGAGGTCCTCACCCTCATCCCTCTTCTCTCCCAATCTCATTCTCCAGGAAAAACTCCTATGACTAGTTTAGTATGTATTGTTCCAGACCTCTTAGGGAATACATGTAAACACACCCCAAAACAGGATCATGCAACATGTGTTATCCTATAATGTGGTTTCTCCCTGCAGCGTTAGACTGGTTTGAGTGCCACGCCAAGGTGGCACCAGGGAGTGTCAGAAAATGCTTTGTATATCCATGAGGTAATGTCTACCACCAGAGGCCTGAGTTCCATGACTAAAATACACATGGTGAGTATATATTAAATGGGAATCCTTGGCTTCTTTGTATTTAATTGTTTCCTCCTGGTAAGTGAGAACTAATTTTTTTTTCCTATGCAAGTGTCCATCATCTCAAAGTTTTGTTTTGTTTTGAGACTGAGTCTCACTCTGTCACTCAGGCTGCAATGCAGTGGCACAATCACAGCTCACTGCAGCCTCAACCTCCCAGGCCCCAGCGATCTCCCAACTCAGCCTCCCAAGTAGCTGGGACCAGAGAAATGCACCACCACACCTGGCTAATTTTTCTTTATTTTTGTAGAGATGAGGTCTCCATATGTTGCCCAGGCTGATCCCAAACTCCTGAGCTTAAGTGATCCTCCCACCTTGGCCTCCCAAAGTGTTGGGCAGGCATGAACCACTGTGCTGAGCTGGGAACTAATTTTAAGATGCTGTAAGGTCAGCCCTCTCTCTGGCCTCTCTCAGGATAGCTCTGTAGTTCATAACCTTTTGTTCCTACCTCAGCACATGTAACAGAGGCTGTCTTTTATTGGATATACACATATCCTGAAGTGTACACTGTACTCAAAAACAGCTTTCAGAAAAGCATATCACAATACCAAGGAGTGAAAGGGATGTTACCATAGGAACAATCTTATATCTTTAAAGTTATTTGTATTTTTGTGTTAATTAATTTGTATTATTATTATATTTTTAGAAATGGGGTTCTGCTCTGTCACCCAGGCTAGATTTGAACTCCTGGGCTCAAGCTATCCTCCTACCTCAGCTAAAATTATTATTATTATTATTTATTTATTTATTTTTGAGAAGGAGTCTTGCTCTGTCGCCCAGGCTGGAATGCAGTGGCGCAATCTCCGCTCACTGCAAGCTCTGCCCCGCTGGGTTCACGCCACTCTCCTGCCTCAGCCTCCCGAGTAGCTGGGACTACAGGCACCCACCACCATGCCCGGCTAATTTTTTTGTATTTTTAGTAGAGACAGGGTTTCACCGTGTTGGCCAGGATGGTCTCAATCTCTTGACCTCGTGAACCACCTGCCTTGGTCTCCCAAAGTGCTGGGATTACAGGGGTGAGCCACCGCGCCCGGCCAGAATCTGCATTTTTAACAGATGCCTAGAGTGATTTCCTTGTAAGTTATGAGAGGGACTCATTTTGAAAAACACTGGACACAGAGAGAGAAGCCTAAAAATCATGTAAAGAGTTCAGGATCAGAGATTCTTTTCTGTCTCTACATTTCCTGAAAAAGTCTGCATGCATGTGATAACAAGGTATTTCAAAAGCCTAAGCTAGGGTGACCTCAGAGAATGACTTGGCAAGATGCAAAATGCAGAAGAAAGTAGCCTTCTATAAATCAGTGATAAATTCCTCTATCAATATAGAGGAGTTTTCAGAAGGTCCCAAATCATTGATCTACTCAATTTACAAATATTTATTAAGCGCCTACTTTGTTGCAGGCATGGATGAGCATTCCCTTCTGTCTAAAGCTCCTTCTATGTCCTATGTTTTGTTACTTCTGTTTCTCAGAAGCATCACTCTATTGATTATTGTTATTGCTCTTATTTTCTGTGCCTTCAGTCTCTCTCAGCTGGCTCCTTTTTTTTTTTTTTTTTTTTTTTTTGAGACAGAGTCTCACTCTGTTGCCCAGGCTGGAGTGCAGTGGCAGGATCCCAGCTCACTGCAACCTTCGCCTCCCAGGTTCAAGCGATTCTCCTGCCTCAGCCTCCTGAGTAGCTGGGATTACAGGTGCCCTGGCTCCTTTTTAACATATCTCTTTCATATAAAAAGAAAAAATGTGGGCCGGGCAAGGTGGTTTATGCCTGTAATCCCAGCACTTTGGGAGGCCAAGGCAGGCGGATCACCTGAGGTCGGGAGTTCGAGACCAGCCTGACCAACATGGAGAAACCCCGTCTCTAATAAAAATACAAAATTAACCGGGCGTGGTGGTGCATGCCTGTAATCCCAGCTACTCAGAGGCTGAGGCAGGAGAATCGTTTGAACCCGGGAGGCAGAGGTTGCGGTGAGCTGAGATTGTGCCATTGCACTCCAGCCTGGGCGACAAAAGCGAAACTCCATCTCAAAAAAAAATAAAATAAAATAAAAATAAAAAAAAGTAAAAATGTCAGTCGGGCGCGGTGGCTCACACCTGTAATCCCAGCACTTTGGGAGACCGGGCGGGTGGATCACAAGGTCAAGAGATCGAGACCATCCTGACCAACATGGTGCAACCCCGTCTCTACTAAAACTACAAAAATTAGCCAGGCATGGTGGCACGTGCCTGTAATCCCAGCTGCTCAAGAGGCTGAGGCAGGAGAATCACTTGAACCTGGGAGGCGGCGGTTGCAGTGAGCGGAAATCACACCACTGCACTCCAGCCTGGGTGACAGCGAGACTCCGTCTCAAGAAAAATAAAATATATATTTAAAAAAAAATAAGCCTCTTGCATGCTGACTTCATGTTCTGTTTTCTTCCTCCACAGCCGTATCAGTTAGGATGCCTTTGGCTACAAGTAACAGAAAACTCAACACAAGCTAGTTTAAACAACATAATCTTGGCTCACGTGACTGAAAAGTCCAGAAGCAGGTCTGGCCTCAGGGAATGCCTGATTCAGCAGCACAGATGGTGTCAGAAGTCTGGCTTCTTTCTGTTCTTGGCTCTGCCTTAATCCTTGGTGTCCCAACTCACCCACAGGCAGGCAGCTCTAGGTTCTGTCCACATGGTTACAAAATAGCTCTCACTACATTACCCAGAGGAAGACAGAGGTCTCTTCCAGTAGCCTCCAAGGAAGAAGGAAGAAGCTGCTTGTTCCCAGAGGTCACTGGCCCTCCCTGGCACTACCTGAGTTAATTGTCAACTTCTGAGCCAATCCCTGGGGCCGGAGAGGTGAGATATGCTGATTGGATAAAACCAGTTAGTACAACCCTTAAGGATGGATTTAGAGTCAATCCCACCCAAATCAAGCGATTCTCCTGCCTCAGCCTCCCAAGTAGCTGGGATTACACACATGCGCCCCCATGCCCGGCTAATTTTTGTATTAGTAGAAATGGGGTTTCTCCATGTTGGTCAGGCTGGTGTCGGACTCCTGACCTCCGGTGATTCATCTGCCTTGGCCTCCCAAAGTGCTGGGATTACAGGCATGATCCACTGCGTCAGGCCCATGGTAAGTCTTAAGAGACATGGTATGGTAAGTGCATGGCCCTGGGCTTGACTCTATGTTGCTTTTAGACAGTAGAAATCGGGCTGGGTGCAATGGCTCATGCCTGTAATCCCAGCATTTTGGGAGGCCGAGGTGGGCGGATCATGAGGTCAAGAGATGGAGACCATCCTGGCCGACATGGTGAAACCCCGTCTCTACTAAAAATACAAAAATTAGCTGGGCGTGGTGGCATGCCCCTGTACTCCCAGTTAATCGGGAGGCAGGAGAATCACTTGAACCCGGGAGGCAGAGGTTGCAGTGAGCTGAGATTGCACCACTGCACTCCAGCCTGGCAACAAAGTGAGACTCTGTCTGGAAAAAAAAAAAAAAAGACAGTAGAAATCATCACTATTCTGACAAGCGGAAGTCTTCCATTTCTGTGGGCACATGGTCTGTTTCATAACTCCCTGCCTTTGCATATACATGTTCCCTCACCTGGAGTGCCCGTCTCCCTCTCATCTGTCTGTTAAATGCCTTATCCTTCAATGCTCAGTTCATGTTCTTCCTCTAGGAACTACTCCCTAACTTGGATGAGCAGACATGATACAATGTAGTGAATAATGAGCATGTATCCTGGATTTAGCAGACAGACGTGGTTTGAATCCCAGCTCTGCTACTTCAACAGCTGTGATAAGCATGTGACTAGCATGTTACTTAACATCTGTTTTCTTACCTGGGAAATAGGTGTAATATGAGTACCTACTTCACAGAATTGTTCTGACAATGAAAAGAGAAAATGCCTGAGAAGTGTTAAACTCAATGTCTAGCCTAGAAGCACTCATTACACCCTTCTTTGGGCCAGTCTTGTACCTAATACCTCCCTCTGCTATAGTTTCTAACTGTGCTGCAGTTATTTGTTTGATGACATGCCCTCTATTGGACTGTGTACCTGTTGAACACTGTCCTATAGTTCAGCAATAATAGCTAGCTTTTTTGTACATTTACCAAATAATTCCAATAATTATGCAAATATTTTACATATATTATTTGATTTAATACTGATTGGAAATGACATTAGGATCCTGCTTAACACAAACTCAGCAGCTTAAAAAAAAATTAAAGAAAAAGCTCTCCTGGCTGGGCACGGTGGCTCACGCCTGTAATCCCAGCACTTTGGGAGGCCGGGGCGGGTGGATCACGAGGACAGGAGATCGAGACCATCCTGGCTAACATGGTGAAACCCTGTCTCTACCAAAAAAAAAAAATCAGCTGGGTGTGGTGGCATGCACCTGTAGTCTCAGCTACTTAGGAGGGCAAGACAGGAGAATCGCTTGAACCCGGGAGGTGGAGGTTGCAGTGAGCTGAGATCACGCCACTGCACTCCAGCTTGGGCATCAGAGTGAGATTCGGTCTCAAACAAACAAACAAAAAAATACCCTCCTGGCCAGGCGCAGTGACTCATGCCTGTAATACCAGCACTTTGGGAGGCCAAGGTGGGTGGATCACTTGAAGTCAGGTGTTGGAGACCAGCCTGGCCAACATGGCGAAACCCTGTCTCTACTAAAACAACAAAACTTAGCTGGGCGTGGTGGCGCACCCCTGTAGTCCCAGCTACTCAGGAGGCTGAGGCAGGAGAATCGCTTGAACCTGGGAGGCAGAGGTTGCAGTGAGCCAAGATTGGGCTGCTGCACCTTGGCCTGGGTGACAGAGCAAGACTCCGTCTCCAAACAACAAAAACAGGCCGGGCGCGGTGGCTCACGCTTGTGATCCCAGCACTTTGGGAGGCTGAGGCGGGTGGATCACCTGAGGTCAGGAGTTGCAGACTAGCCTGACCAATATTATGAAACCTCGTCTCTACTAAAAATACAAAAATTAGGCAGGCATGGTGGCATGCACCTATAATCCCAGCTACTCGGGAGGCTCAGACAGGAGATTCGCTTGAACCCGAGAGGTGGAGGTTGCAGTGAACTGAGATTGCGCCATTGCACTCCAGCCTAGACAACACGAGGAAAACTCCATCTCAAAACAAGCAAACACACAAACAAAAAATGATCCTGCTACCTTCTAAGGTTGGCCAGGGCTGAACAACACTTCTGCCTCTTTTGTCACTGCCTGCAATATAGGGGACTACAGGGCTTCACCCATTCATATTCGGATTCAGAACAGCTTCAATGTCCTCTGGTCCCAGGCTTCTGAATGATGCTCTTACTGTTCATTTCCTTTTAGGCAGGGGCTTCTCTTTGTAGTTGCCTGCTCTTAGTTTCCCTCACTTTGTTCCCTTTGTCATATTATCATTTATGGCATTTGTCAGCCTTATGTCCACAAATAGATAGATGGTCCCCTGTTGTCTCCATGTCTAATTTGGATGGGTTTCAGTTGTTGTTGTTGTTGTTGTTTTCTTTTTTGAGGCAGAGTTTCACTCTTGTCGCCCAGGCTGGAGTGCAATGGCAAGATCTCAGCTTACTGCAACCTCTGCCTCCCAGGTTCAAGCCATTCTCCTGCCTCAGCCTCCCGAGTAGCTGGGATTACGGGTGCTCGCCACCACCCCTGGCTAATTTTTGTATTTTTAGTAGAGACAGGGTTTTACCATGTTGGCCAGGCTGGTCTCGAACTCCTGATCTCAGGTGATTCACCCGACTAGGCCTCCCAAAGTGCTGGCATTACAGGTGTGAGCTACCCTGCCTGGCTGGGTTTCAGTTTTGTTGTGAACAAAGGTATAGTTAAGATTTGGTG
This sequence comes from Homo sapiens, assembly GCF_000001405.40. NCBI lineage: Eukaryota > Metazoa > Chordata > Mammalia > Primates > Hominidae > Homo > Homo sapiens. The sequence goes on along the minus strand of NC_000015.10, from coordinate 41,405,272 downwards.
GAGCCCACTACCACTGTCTGGGAGGCCAAGGAAGAAGGTGCTACAGACATGGTTGGGTTAACCTACATAATCATTTCCCCTCAGCTCTTTGCCTTTATTTCCTTCCTTTATTTCCTATATTTCCTTCCCCTAGTGACTCTACCTTTTCTTCTGCCTGGCATTGTCATGTCCTTCCTTTCTATTTGAATATTTTTTTCTTTCTTCCAGCCTTCCTTTCTCCACTGGTAATAAATACATATGGGGCTTCCTATACTTAAGCAAACAGCCTGGCACAGTGGCTCACGCCTGTAATCCCAGCACCTTGGATGGCCGAGGTGGGTGGATCAACTGAGGTCAGGAGTTGGAGACCAGCCTGGCCAACATGACGAAACCCTGACTCTGCTAAAAATACAATAATCAGCTGGGTGTGGTGGCATGCACCTCTAATCCCAGCTACTCAGGAGGCTGAGGCAGGAGAATCACTTGAACCCGGGAGGCGGGGGTTGCAGTGAGCCGAGATCACGCCACTGCACTCCAGCCTGGGTGAGGAAGACTGTGGTTCAAAAAAAAAAAAGCAGCAAACAACTAATGATTAGAGACATGCAAATCAAAACCAAAATGAGATACCACTTCACACTCATTAGGATGGCTACTATATTTTAAAAACCAAAAAAACAAGAAACGTGTCAGTGGGCTTGGAAAGAAGGTGTGAAAAGATCAAAGATCAAAAACAGCAAGAGAATGCAACAGGATTTAAAATCAGTAAGAGAAGATTTTAAGGAGAGGAGCCAAGGACAGTCAAGCATTTCCATCCTAGAAGGATGTGGCCATTTACAGAAATAGGGAGACAGGAGGAATTAGTAGGAGGAAAAATGACACATTTAGTTTTAGACATTTAGTTTTCTTTATTGCTCAAGGATATTTCCTAAAAAACAACAACAAAAAGACATTTCGATTTTTTCTTTTTCTGAGACGGAGTCTGGCTCTGTGGCCCAGGCTGGAGTGCAGTGGTGCGATCTCGGCTCACTGCAAGCTCCGTCTCCCGGGTTCACGCCATTCTCCTGCCTCAGTCTCCTGAGTAGCTGGGACTACAGGCGCCCGCCAGCACGCCCGGCCAATTTTTTTGTATTTTTAGTAGAGACGGGGTTTCACCGTGTTAGCCAGGATGGTCTCGATCTCCTGACCTTGTGATCCGCCCGCCTCGGCCTCCCAAAGTGCTGGGATTACAGGCGTGAACCACCGCGCCCGGCCGATAACTTATATTTGAAACTAGAAAAGAGGTAGAGGCAGGATGGGCCATGGAGAGACAGCCCGCATTAAAGGTTGTGGGAAGAGAATAGAAGAGTCAGTGATGGGGGCAGAAAGGTAAGGTTTGAGGGGGCAAGTGTAGAGTCTAGAGAAGCCAAGCCGAATTTGAGGAAGAGGAGGCGGCGCGGAAACTAGTGAAGGAGAAAACATGGAAAGGGCTAGTGTATTTAGTGAGCTCCTTCGGAACCTTAGAGAACAAAGGTGTTACGGAACTATATGCTCTCAAATTCACACTAAGCACTAAATTCCCGCCGCTATGGTACATTCTGGGGAAAGGAAAAACAGCGCAGTCTGGACCCAAGAAAGCTCACAGCGTGGCAAAGGAAGTGAGAAGTGAGTGAAAGATACAATGTTGATTCTGTCTTCCCTGGCAGTAAGAAAAAAAAACAAAAACAAACAATGTTTAAGTGCTTTGGCCGGGCATGGTGGCTCACGCCTGTAATACCAGCACTTTGGGAGGCCGAGGTGGGTGGATCATGAGGTCAGGATTTCGAGACCAGCCTGGCCAACATGGCGAAACCCCATCTCTACTAAAAATACAAAAATTATCCGGGTGTGGTGGCACACACCTGTAATCCCAGCTACTTGGGAGGCTGAGGCAGGAGAATTGCTCCAACCCAGGAGTCGGAGGTTGCAGATCGCGCCACTGCACTACAGCCTGGGCAACAGAGTGAGACTCCGTCTCAAAAAAAAAAAGTGCTTTAAGAGAGGTGTGCACAAGGTACAAACAGATGCCCTGAGCAACTGGCGACCGTGTGGGGCGAGACTCGGGAAGGGCTGGTAGGAGGGGCTGCTGTCCAGGTGCGTGGTGGTCCTCAAGAATTCATGGGGGCAATTCCAGCAGAATCGGCCTTTTGAGGCCTCAGGCAGTTCTTGTGGGGACCGAGGCGACAGATAAGGAAGGAAGGGATACAGGCGCGTTAGCAATAACTGGGTTCTATTTGAAAGACGCAGGGGGCCGGGCTTGGTGGCTCGCGCCTGTAATCTCAGCACTTTGGGAGGCCGAGGCGGGTGGATCACGAGGTCAGGAGATCGAGATCATCCCGGCTAACATGGTGAAACCCCGTCTCTACTAAAAATACAAAAATTAGTCGGGCATGATGGCGCGCACCTGTAATCCCAGCTACTCGGGAGGCTGAGGCAGGAGAATCGCTTGAATCTGGGAGGCAGAGGTTGTAGTGAGCCGAGATCGCGCCACTGCACTCCAGCCTGGGCGACAGAGCGAGAATCCGTCTCAAAAAAAAAAAAAAAAAAAAAGACGCAGGGATGGAGTTTGCCGCCTGAAAGGATACAGGAAGGAGAGGCGAAAAACTTATCTGAATTCTCACTGCTTCCTTACAACTGGCGACCAAGTGGACCAAAAACCTCCAAAAACCTCAGTTGGCTGGGCTACGGGGTCCTTGCTGTCCTTCCTGGGCTTCTGTACTCGGCCGGAACTTTGGTGTTCTGACGCCTTGTTTGGCATCGGAAGGGAAAAGCAGATGGACCTATACGGGTAAAGTGGCTTCTGGGCGGAAGGTACACTATAGGCTCGGGGAGGTAAGCGGCGGCAGGCCGGCGGTTGGTGTGTCCCGGGTGTGGGGAGGCGACAGAGCCCTGGCACTTGAGGGTTGAGGGGGCCTCCCCAGCGCGGCGAACCGTCTAGCCTCCGGAGGCCAGGCCGTGAGTGCGGGAGGTATACGCCAAGGCGGAAGAATTTTGCCACTCACTACCTGTGTGACCTCGGGTAAATTAGCCTTGGAACGTCAGTTTCTTCGTCTCTATAATTGAAATAATAATAGTACCTCTCTCAGGATTGTTGTGAGCCGTCAGTGAAACACTTAGAGCAGTTTCTGGCACATGGTAAGGCATGGATAGCTTTACTAATTCTACTCACTTCTAGCTGCGTGGATTGTGTTGTCAAAACCCACCGTCAACCTCAGGGCGGTATTGTCCAGTTAATAGTTTAGATTTTCTGTTTACTGGTAGAAAAAAAAAAATGAAACAAAGCATTTATAATTAAAGTTATATTATTAGAGAAGTAACACTACGGAGGGTTTGGAAAACATTTTATGAGCTATCATTTGTTTCTCAAATTTCGGTATGTGTAGAGGTAAAATCATTTAAGTGCAACCGGCGCGGGGGAATTTAAATATTATCCATAATTCCGGGACCTCAGATCAACTGTTAATTTTTCCTGGTTCCCTTAACGTTTATAATACATGTGAAAACATACTGTTTACATGGTTTTGATTTATCAACAAACCTTATTGATAATGTCGGCTGGGCGCGGTGGCTCACGCCTGTAATCCCAGCACTTTGGGAGGCCGAGGCGGGCGGATCACTTGAGGTCAGGAGTTCGAGACCAGCCTGGCCAACATGGTGAAACCCTGTCTCTACTAAAAATACAAAAATTAGCTGGGCGTGGTGGCGCACGCCTGTAATCCCAGTGACTGAGGCAAGAGAATTGCTTGAAACCAGGAGGTGGAGGTTACAATGAGCCGAGATCGCACAACTGCACTCCAACTTGGGGGACAGAGCTGGACTCTGTCTTAAAAAAAAAAAAAAAAAAGTTGGGCATGGTGGCGGGCACCTGTAATTTCAGCCACTCGGGAGGCAGAGGCAGGAGAAGCACTTGAACCCGGGAGGCGGAGGTTGCAGTGAGCCAGGGTCGTGCCATTGCACTCCAGCCTGGGTGACAGAGCGAGACTCCATCTCAAAAAAAAAAAAAAAAAAAAAGGTTGGGCGCCGTGGCTGACGCCTGTAATCCCAGTACTTTAGGAGGCCCATGTAGGCGGATCACCTGAGGTCAGGAGTTCGAGACCACTCTGGCCAACATAGTGGAACCTCATCTCTACTGAAAAAACAAAAACAAAAACAAAAATTAGCCGGGCATGGTGGCGCCCGCCTGTAATCCCAGCTATTCAGGAGGCTGAGACAAGAGAATCGCTTGAACCCAGGAGGCGGAGATTGCAGTGAGCGGAGATCTCTAGCCTGGTGACAGAGCAAGACTCCGTCTCAAAAAAAAAAAAAAGTATTGATAATGTCATTTTACCTATTGGTGTCTGTATCCTACAGAAAGGAAATACGTATCTGACTTGTTTCATAGGATTTGTGTGTGGATGGCATGAGATAATATATATCAGGGTGATATGAAAGTGTTAGGAGTAGGCTGGGCATGGTGGCTCACACCTGTAATCACAGTACTTTGGGAGAACAAGGCAGGTGGATCACGTGGTCAGGAGATCGAGACCATCCTGGCTAACACGGTGAAACCCTGTCTCTATTAAAAATCCAAAAAAAAAAAAAAAAAAAAAATAGCTGGGCATGGTGGCGGGCGCCTGTAGTCCCAGCTACTCGCGAGGCTGAGGCAGGAGAATGGCGTGAACCCGGGAGGCGGAGCTTGCAGTGAGCCGAGATCGTGCCACTGCACTCCAGCCTGGGTGACAGAGTGAGACTCTGTCTCAAAAAAGAAAAAAAAAAGTATTAGGAGTGGTATTCATCAGGTGCAGTGGCTCACGCCTGTAATCCCAGGTACTCCAGAGGCTGAGGCAGGAGGATCACTTGAACCCAGGAGTTAGAGACTCGTCTGAGCAACATAACAAGACCTCATCTCTATTTTTTTTTTTTTTTTTTTGAGATGGAATTTTGCTCTTGTTGCCCAGGCTGGAGTGCAATGGCGTGATCTTGGCTCACCACAACCTCCACCTCCTGTTCAAGCTATTCTCCTGCCTTAGCCTCCCAAGTAGCTGGGACTACAGTTGTGCGCCACCACACCGGGCTAATTTTGTATTTTTAGTAGAGATGGGGTTTCTTCATGTTGGTCAGGCTGGCCTCAAACTCCTGACCTTGTCATCCACCCACCTTGGCCTCCCAAAGTGCTGGGATTACAGGCGTGAGCCACTGCGCCTGGCCTTACAATTTTTTATTTTTATTTATTTATTTTTTAGACAGAGTCCTGCTCTGTTGCCCAAGCTGGAGTGCAGTGGCTTGATCTTGGCTCACTGCAGCGTCCCACTCCTGGGTTCAAGCGATTTTCCTGCTTCAGCCTCCCGAGTAGCTGGGATTATAGGTGCTTGCCACCACCCTATAGGTGCCCGTCACCACACCCAGCTAATTTTTGTATTTTTTTTTTTTTTTTTTTTTTTTTTGAGAAGGAGTCTCGCTCTGTCGCCCAGGCTGGAGTGCAGTGGCGGGATCTCGGCTCACTGCAAGCTCCGCCTCCCGGGTTCACGCCATTCTCCTGCCTCAGCCTCCCGAGTAGCTGGGACTACAGGCGCCCGCCACTACGCCCGGCTAATTTTTTGTATTTTTTTAGTAGAGACGGGGTTTCACCGTTTTAGCCGGGATGGTCTCGATCTCCTGACCTCGTGATCCGCCCGCCTCCGCCTCCCAAAGTGCTGGGATTACAGGCGTGAGCCACCGCGCCCGGCCTGTATTTTTTTTTTTGAGACAGAGTTTCACTTTTGTTGCCCAGGCTGGAGTGCGATGGTGCAGTCTTGGCTCATTGCAGCCTCTGCCTCCCAGGTTCAAGCGATTCTCCTGCCTCAGCCTCCCGAGTAGCTGGGATTACAGGTGCCCACCACCATGCCCAGCTAATTTTTTTTTTTTTTTAGTTGGAGTCACTCTGTCGCCCAGGCTGGAGTGCAATGGCACGATCTCGGCTCACTGCAACGTCTGCCTCCTGGGTTCAAGCGATTCTTATGCCTAGGCCTCCCAAGTAGCTGGGATTACAGGCATGGGCCACCACACCTGGCTAATTGTTTGTATTTTCTGTAGGGGTTTCACCATGTTGGTTAGGCTGGTCTTGAACTCCTGTCCTAGGTGATCCGCCTGCCCTGGCCTCCCGAAGTGTTGGGATTACAGGCATGAGCCACCGTGCCAGGCCAATTTTTGTATTTTTAATGGAGACGGGGTTTTACCATGTTGGGCAGGCTGGTCTCCAACTCCTGACGACAAGTCATTTGCCTGCCTAAGACTCCCAGAGTGCTGGGATTACAGGTGTGAGCCACTGTGGCGGGCTACAATTTTTGGTTTTTTTATTTTTTTTGAGATGGAATTTCACTTTTGTCACCCAGGCTGGAGTGCAGTGGTGCAATCTCGGCTCACTTGCAACCTCCGCCTCCTGGGTTCAAGTGATTCTCCTGCCTCAGCCTCCCCAGTAGCTGGGATTACAGGCGCTCTCCAACATGACCAACTAATTTCTGTATTTTTAGTAGAGATGGGGTTTTACCATTTTGGCCAGGCTGGTCTTGAACTCCTGACCTCAAGTGATCCGTCCACCTTGGACTCCCAAAGTGCTGGGATTACAGGTGTGATGCACGGCACCCGGCCAACATTTTTTAAAAAAATTAGCTGGGCATGGTGGTGTGCACCTGTAGTCTCAGCTACCTTGGAGGCTGAGGTGGGAGAATCATTTCAGTCCAGGGCCCAGGAGTTCAAGGCTACAATGAGTTATCGATCTTGCCACGGCGCTGCAGCCTGGGTGACAGAGCAAGAGACCCTGTCTCTTTTTTTTTTTTTTTCACATGGAATTTTGCTCTTGTCCAGGCTGGAGTGCAGTGGCGTGATCTCGGCTCACTGCAATCCCTGCCTCCTGGGTTCAAGTGATTCTCCTGCTTAAGGCTCCCTAGTAGCTGGGATTACAGGCGTCTGCCACCACGCCTGGATTATTTTTAGTAGAGATGGGGTTTCACCATGTTGTCAAGGCTGGTCTCGAACTCCTTACCTCAGGTGATCCATCCGCCTCGGCCTCCCAAAGTGTTGAGATTACAGGCGTGAGCTACCACACCTGGCCTGACCCAGTCTCTTATAAAAAGAAAAGAAAAAAAAAAGGCCGGGGACAGTGCATCATTCCTACAGCCCAGCACTTTGGGAAGCCGAGGGGAGAATCACTGGATCCTAGGAGTTCAAAACCATCATGGGCAACACAGGGAGATCTATTTCTTTTTCTTTCTTTCTGTTTTTTTTTTTTTTTTTTTTTGAGACAGAGTCTCGCTCTGTTGCCAGGCTGGAGTGCAGTGGCACGATCTTGGCTCACTGCAGCCTCCTCCTCCCAGGTTCAAGGAATTCTTTTGCCTCAGCCTCCTTAGTAGCTGGGACCACAAGTGCGCACCACCACACCCAGCTAAGTTTTGTATTTTTAGTAGAGACGGGGTTTCACCATGTTGGCCAGGATGGTCTCAATTTTTTTTTTTTTTTTTTTCCCGAGACAGAGTCTCGCTCTGTCGCCCAGGCTGGAGTGTAGTGGCGGGATCTCCGCTCACTGCAAGCTCTGCCTCCTGGGTTGACGCTATTCTCCTGCTTCAGCCTCCCCAGTAGCTGGGACTACAGGCGCCCGCCACCACACCCGGCTAATTTTTTGTATTTTTAGTAGAGACGGGGTTTCACCGTGTTAGCCAGGATGGTCTCGATTTCCTGACCTCGTGATCCACCCGCCTCGGCCTCCCCAAGTGCTGGGATTACAGGCGTCAGCCACCGCGCCCGGCCCAGTCTCTATCTCTTGACCTCGTGATCCACCCACCTCAGCCTCCCAAAGTGCTGGGACCGTGCCTGGCCAGGGAGATCCATTTCTACAAAAAATTTAAAAATTAGCTGGGCATGGTGGTGTGTGCTTGTAATCCCAGCTACTTGGGTGGCTGAGATGGGAGGATCATTTGAGCCCAGAAAGTAGAGGCTACAGTGAGCTGTGATTGTGCCACTGTACCCAGCCTGGGCCACAGAGCAAGACCTTGTCTCAAATAATAATAATAATAATAGTAAACAAATAAGTTAACAAACTTCAAAATACCTGATTTCTGTTGAATTTGAAATTGTGATGCATTCATTGCTATGCTGATAATTCTTCAATGTCTCTTCTGTTATAGGTAGAATTGGGCTATTTGCTGAAGCTTCTTGGTGGCCCTTGCTAGCCCAGGAAGAAACTTACATTTTGATTTTTTTGTACCATGGCTTTGGTTCACAAATTGCTGCGTGGTACTTATTTTCTCAGAAAATTCTCTAAGCCAACTTCTGCCTTGTATCCATTTTTGGGTATTCGCTTTGCAGAGTATTCCAGTAGTCTTCAGAAACCAGTGGCTTCTCCTGGCAAAGCCTCCTCACAGAGGAAGACTGAAGGGGATTTGCAAGGAGATCACCAGAAAGAAGTTGCTTTGGATATAACTTCTTCTGAGGAGAAGCCTGATGTTAGTTTCGATAAAGCAATTAGAGATGAAGCAATATACCATTTTAGGCTTTTGAAGGATGAAATTGTGGATCATTGGAGAGGACCGGAAGGCCACCCTCTGCATGAGGTCTTGCTGGAACAAGCCAAGGTTGTCTGGCAATTCCGGGGGAAAGAAGATTTGGATAAGTGGACAGTGACTTCTGATAAGACGATTGGAGGCAGAAGTGAAGTGTTTTTGAAAATGGGCAAGAATAACCAAAGTGCACTGCTATATGGAACTCTGAGCTCTGAGGCGCCTCAGGACGGGGAGTCTACCCGAAGTGGGTACTGTGCAATGATATCCAGGATTCCAAGGGTAGGTGAGGCCCAGGAGCCATCGTTTTCTAGTAAACAGGGGTGAACTTCATTGTAGCATAAACTATAGAAGATAGCTTTTGTTTCTGTAAATGAAAACACCTGGCATGTTATATTTGGCACCTCACCTGTGTCTGGGGATAAGTAACTATTGGCACAAGTGTGAAGTGGAAGCACAAGGGGGAAGTGGTTTCTGAGGAGGAGGAGTTAACTTGTTTCTGCGCATTGCTTTGGGCCAGGAACGAGCATTGTTATGTTTCAGGAATCCTGAGAGGTTAGACATTTGAAAGATTTTTGGAGAGATTTTCATCTCCTCTAAAAAAGACCACAACCTCTGTAATGACCAGGGGTTTTGTAGAGTGGATGTAGGGTTAGCCTGTGGCTTTCTTTTTTTTTTTTTGAAACGGAGTCTTGCTCTGTCGCCCAGGCTAGAGTGCAGTGGCGTGATCTCGGCTCACTGCAACTTCCGCCCTCCAGGTTCAAGCGATTCTCCTGCCTCAGCCTCCTGAGTAGCTGGGACTACTGGTGCACACCACCACGCCCAGCTAATTTTTGTATTTTTAGTAGAGACAGGGTTTCACCATGTTGGCCAGGCTGGTCTTGAACTCCTGACCTCAGGTGATCCACCCCACCCTTGGCCTCCCAGAGTGCTGGACATGGTGGTGCATGCCTGTAATTCCAGGTACTTGGGAGGCTGAGGCAGGAGAATTGCTTGAACTCTGGAGGCAGAGGTTGCAGTGAGCTGAGATCGTGCCATTGCACTCCAGTCTGGGCAACAAGAGCGAAACTTTGTCTCAAAAAAAAAAAAAAAAAAAAAAGGCCGGGCGCAGTGGCTCATGCCTGTAATCCCCACACTTTGGGTGGCCAAGGTGGGCGGATCACCAGGTCAGGAGATCGAGACCATCCTGGCTAACACGGTGAAACCCCGTCTCTACTAAAAATACAAAAAAATTAGCCGGGTGTGGTTTTGGGCGCCTATAGTACCAGCTATTCGGGAGGCTGAGGCAGGAGAATGGTGTGAACCCAGGAGGCAGAGCTTGCAGTGAGCTGAGATTGCACCACTGCACTCCAGCCTGGGTGACAGAGCAAGACTCCGTCTCAAAAAAAAAAAAAGAAAAGAAAAGAAAAGAAAAGAAAAAGTCATTGCTCCATACGACCAGGTAAAGGAAATACATTCATTTCCATTCATTGAACACAGGTGAGTGCCTACCCCATGTAAACACTGTCCTGGGCCAGTTGTGTGTTGAACATTACCTTAGAAACATATAACTATGTCAGTATTTTGTGCTAAAATAATAATCACTGGGTTTATGTGCCTTCTTATGGGGCAGAAAGTCAGAAAAATGGTTAGTGCATCCTGTTGATGATGCTGACTTGGTGATGACTCACATTTTGCTAATAATGGAGAATGAGGTACAATGAACTTTACTTTCAATATCTTAGGGTGCTTTTGAGAGGAAGATGTCTTACGATTGGTCCCAGTTCAATACTCTGTATCTCCGTGTACGTGGGGATGGTCGGCCTTGGATGGTGAATATCAAGGAGGACACAGATTTCTTCCAGAGGACGAATCAGATGTATAGTTACTTCATGTTCACCCGCGGGGGACCCTACTGGCAGGAGGTCAAGGTAACAGCATAAATCTTCATTGTTTATAAAAATGAGGTCTTGGCTGGGTGAGGTGGCTCACGCCTATAATCCCAGCAATTTGGGAGGCCGAGGTGGGTGGATCACCTGAGGTCAGGAGTTCGAGACCAGGTTGGCCAACATGGTGAAACCTAGTCTCTGATCGTGCCATTGTACTCCAGCCTGGGCAACAGAGTGAGATGAGACTCTGTCTCAAAAAAAAAAAAAAAAAAAAAAAAAAGTCTTGGAGATGATTGTTACATTGTAGTTTCTTTTTTGTTACTAATCTTTCTTGGAAGGTGGGGGTGGGTGGGTAGAAGAAAGGTTAAGAGACATAAATGAATTTTGTTTCATTAATATAAATGTTAACATACTAACTAGTGAATATTTTTGATATGGATGTGGCCAGGTCCATGCTAAGTCACAGGCACATCTCTGCTCTGTGTCCAAATAGATGGGGTTTGTTTGTTTTTTAGAAGTTTCTGCCATTTCATGTCTTCCAGGCAACTCTGCTAAAGTTGGTGTCCTAGGCCTGCGTGGTGGCTCACACCTGTAATCCCAGCACTTTGGGAGGCCAAGGCGGACGGATCACTTGAGGTTGGGAGTTCGACACCAGCCTGACCAACATGGAGAAACCCTGTTGTCTCTACTAAAAAAAATACAAAATTAGCTGGGCGTGGTGGCGCATGCCTGTAATCCCAGCTACTCGGGAGGCTAAGGCAGGATAATTGCTTGAACCCAGGAGGCGGAGGTTTCGGTGAGCCGAGATCGTGTCATTGCACTCCAGCCTGGGCAACAAGAGCCAAACTTTGTCTCAAAAAAAAAAAAAAAAAAAAAAAAAAGTAGTGTCCTAGGCCAGGCGTGGTGGCTCATGTCTGTAATCCCAGCACTTTGGGAGGCCAAGGTGGGTAAATCACCTGAGATCAGGAGTTTGAGACCAGCCTGGCTAACATGGCAAAACCCCATCTCTACTAAAAATACAAGAATTAGAGGCCAGGCGCGGTGGCTCATGCCTGTAATCCCAGCACTTTGGGAGGCCGAGGTGGGCAGATCACGAGGTCAAGAGATCGAGACCATCCTGGCCAACATGGTGAAACTCTGTCTCTACTAAAAATAAAAAAATTAGTTGGGTGTGGTGGCGTCGTCCCAGCTACTCAGAAGGCTGAGGCAGGAGAATCGCTTGAACCTGGGAGGCAGAGGTGGCAGTGAGCCGAGATGGGCCACTGCTCTCCAGCCTGGCGACAGAGTGAGACTCCATCTCAAAAAAAAAAAGGCCGGCCGCGGTGGCTTACGCCTGTAATCCCAGCACTTTGGGAGGCTGAGGCGGGTGGATCACGAGGTCAGGAGATGATGGAGACCATTCTGGCTAACACAGTGAAACCCCGTCTCTACTAAAAAAATACAAAAAAAATTAGCCGGGCTTGGTGGCAGGTGCCTGTAGTCCCAGCTACTCAGGAGGCTGAGGCAGGAGAATGGCGTGAACCCGGGAGGCAGAGCTTGCAGATCGTGCCACTGCACTCCAGGCTGGGCGGGAGACTTCGTCTCAAAAAAAAAAAAAAAAAAAAAAAAATTAGCCGGGCATGGTGGTGTGTGCCTGTAATCCCAGCTACTAGGGGGGCTGAGGCAGGAGGATTGCTTGAACTTGGGAGGTGGAGGTTGCAGTAAGCTGAGACCGTGCCACTGCACTCCAGCCTGGGCAACAGAGCAAGACTCCGTCTCAAAAAAAAAAAAAAAAAAAAACTCAACAAGAAAGTCCCCATTTTGCTCATGTCATATACTTGAGGGTCATCCTGAATTCTTCTCCTTTGCCCCACATCCAGTCTATTAGCGAGTCCTGTCACCTCTGCTTCCAAAATACACTCAGCAGCTGACCATTTCTAGCCATCTCTTCTACTCCCACCCTGGTCCAGGTGTTTGGATTATTGCAGCAGCTTCATTATTGATTTCCCTGTTTGTCTTCTTGCCCCACTAAAATCCTGGCTCCACAGCAGCCAGAGTTATCTTTCTGAAGCATAGTTCAGATGACATCATTTACATGCTTGTAAGCATGTAAATGTACCTCCTAAGCATGTAAGCTGTATTAGTCTGTTCTCGTGCTGCTGCTATGAAGAAATACCTGAGACTAGGTAATTAATAAAGGAAAGAGGTTTAATTGACTCACAGTTCTGCAGGGCTGGGGAGGCCTTAGGTAACTTATAAAATCATGGCAGAAGGGGAAGTAAACACATCCTCCTTCACATGGTGGCAGGAAAGAGAATGAGAGCCGAATGAAGGGGTAATCTCCTTATAAAACCATCAGATCTTGTGAGAACTCACTGTCACTAGAACAGTATGGGGGAAACCACACCCATGGTTCAGTTAACTTCACCTGGTCCCTCCCTTGACACATGGGGATTACTACAATTCAAGATGAGATTTTGGGTGGGGAGACAGCCAAACCATATCAGGACCCTTCAGTGGTTTCCCATTACAATTCGAATAAAGTCCAGGCTGGGCTAGGTGGCTCATGCTTTTAATCCCAGCACTTTGGGAGGCTGAGATGGGCAGATCACTTGAGGTCAGGAGTTTGAGACCAGCCTGGTCTACATGGTGAAATCTTGTGTCTACTAAAAATACAAAAAATTAGCAGCAGGTGGTGGCACACGCCTGTAGTCCCAGCTCCTCAGGAGGCTGAGGCAGGAGAATCGCTTGAACCTGAGAAGTGGAAGTTGCAGTGAGCCAAGATCGCGCCACTGTACTCCACCCTGGGTGACAGAGTAAGACTCCATCTCAAGAAAAAAAAAAAAAAAAAAAAAGAATAAAGTCCAAACTCCTGCACATGGCCTATGGGCCTACAATATCGGACCCCTGTCTTCATCTTCCATCTCTCCTCCTGTCTTCATCTTCCATCTCTCCTCCTACCTCCTTCCTCCACACCAGCCCCTTTTCTGTCAGATTTAACAACCTCATTTCCATCTCAGAGCTTTGCACTTAGTGTTGCTCTGCTGTAATGCTCTGCCCCCATGTCTTCACCTGCTTTCTCTTTCCTGTCATTCACCTCTCGGCTCAAAAGTTGCCTCAGAGAGGCCTTTCCTGATTCCTGTAACTAAAGTTGGACCCTCTAATCCAGTTATTTCAACACCACCATCCTATAACTTTCTTCATAGAACTTATCACTAACTAAAATTACTTTGTTCATTCATTCATCTGTTTATTGTCACTCTACTGCCTTCCCTGGAACATAAATTATATAAATTCTTTTTTTTTTTTTTTTTAAGATGGAGTCTCACTCTTACTGCCCAGGCTGGAGTGCAGTGGTGTGATTCCAGCTTACGGCAACCTTTGCCTTCCAGGTTCAAGAGATCCTCCTGCTGGGACTACAGGCGTGTACCACAACGCCCGGCTAATTTTTGTATTTTTAGGAGAGATGGGGTTTCATTCACCAAGTTGGCCAGGCTGGTTTCGAACTCCTGACATCAAGTGATCCACCCGACTCGCCTCCCAAGGTATTGGGATTATAGGCGTTTGAGCCACCACACCTGGCCCTAAATTCTGTAAATTCTGTGAGAGCAGAGATCTTGCTTATATTGTTCCTACCAGTTTCCCCTGTACCTAGAATTTTGTCCTAGTGCCTAGCACAAAATAAGCACTCAATACATACATATATATGTAGTAATACAGATATATAACACAAATTATATATACTTGTATTTAAGTAATATATATATAATGAATTATTATACAAAATAACTACTTCATTATAAAAACAATTTGGGAAGTACAGAAAAAAATCTTGTACTACCACTATCCAGTGATAAAATACTATTTTTATTTTATTTTATTTTTATTTTTGTAAGACAGAGTCTCGCACTGTCGCCCAGGCTGGACTGCAGTGGCGGGATCTCGGCTCACTGCAAGCTCTGCCTTCCAGGTTCACACCATTCTGCCTCAGCCTCCCGAGTAGCTGGGACTGCAGGTGCCCACCACCACGCCCAGCTAATTTTTTGTATTTTTAGTAGAGACAGGGTTTCACCGTGTTAGCCAGGATGGTCTTGAACTCCTGGCCTCATGATCCGCCCACCTCGGCCTCCCAAAGTGCTGGGATTACAGGCATGAGCCACCATACCCAGCAGATAAAATACTATTTTTTTTTTTTTTGAGACAGAGTCTGGCTCTGTTGCCCATGCTGGAGTGCAGTGGCACGATCTCTGCTCACTGCAAGCTCCGCCTCCCGGGTTCACGCCATTCTCCTGCCTCAGCCTCCTGAGTAGCTGGGACTACAGGCACCTGCCACTACACCTGGCTAATTTTTTGTATTTTTAGTAGAGACGGGGTTTCGCCGTGTTAGCCAGAATGGTCTTGATCTCCTGACCTCGTGATCCGCCTGCCTTGGCCTCCCAAAGTGCTGGGATTACAGGCGTGAGCCACCGCGCCTGGCACAAAAATACTATTTTTAATATGTATCTTCTACACTTTTCTAGTCACACTTTTCCCTTCCAGTGGTGTTTTATAACATATATACAGTATTTTCACTGAACTATTGTTTACAACTTTCTCTTCAAATATATTTCTACATCATTTTTAATGTCTGCATGATATTATATAAGTAGACAACAATTTTGGCTGGGTCCAGTGGCTCACATCTGTAATCCTAGCACTTTGGGAGGCTAAGGCAGTGAATCATTTGAAGCTAGGAGTCTAAGACAAGCCTGAGCAACATGGCAAAACCCTGTCTCTACAAAAATACAAAAATTAGCCCAGTGTGGTGGCATGTGCCTTTAGTCCCACCTACTCAGGAGGCTGAGGTGGGAGGATTGCTTGAGCCTGGGAGGTCAAGGCTGCAGTGAGCTGAGATCACCCTACTGCATGCACTTCAGCCTGGGTGACAGAGTAAGACCCTGTCTCAAAAAAAAAAATTTTTTTTTCTTAACTTGTTCTTCATTATGTACATGTAGATTTAGATTGTTTTCAGAGTTTTCTACTGTCGGAACAAACTCTGAGGTAAACATCCTTAACTATTTTCATAGGCTATATTCCTAGAGATAAAATTACTGGAATAACTATTAATATGTATAATTCATTTTTATTTATGTTCATTAAAATTTATTTACTTATTTGAGACAGGGTCTCTCTTCTGTTGTCCATGCTGGAGTGCAGCATGGGCTCGCTGTAGCCCCAACCTCCCAGCCTCAGGTGATCCTCCCACCTTAGCCTCCTGAATAGCCAGGACTACAAGGATGCACCACCATGGCTGGATAAGTTTTTTGTTTTTTTACTAGAGTCTTGGTTTCACCGTGTTTCCCAGGCTGGTCTTGAACTCCTGGGCTCAGTTGATCCTATTGTGTTGGCCTCCCAAAGTGCTGGGATTACAGGCATGCACAACCAGGCCCAGCCATTTTCTTCCTTTGTTAAACTCAAAATATAAATAAAATTAGCATACTCTGTACCTGTTTTTTGTGTTTTTAAAATTTAGGAATATATCCTGGAGAGCTTCTGTATAATTATTTAGGCAGGGTGTGGTGGTTCATACCTGTAGGCCAAGGTTGGCAGATTACTTGAGCTCAGGAGTTTAAGACCAGCCTGGCTAACATGGTGAAACACCGTCTCTACCAAAAAAAAAAAAAAAAAAAAAATTAGCCGGGTGTGGTGGTGTGCGCCTATAGTCCCAGCTACTCAGGAAGCTGAGGTGGGAGAATCGCTTGAACCTGGGAGGTGGAAGTTGCAGTGAGCCAAGATGGCACCACTGCACTCCAGCCTGGGTAACAGAGTGAGACCCTATCTCAAAACAAAACACAAACAATTAAAGCCAGATATAGTTTTAAAAGATCGTGCTTAATAATAAGTAAATTACATAGAGAAGAAATATGAAAATAAAGTTGATGAATAAAAAGGCACACTTGAAAGTTCAAGAGTAGAAGGAATAGGACATTTCTTTTAGTTCAGTTTCTAATGTAGGAAGGAAGGGAAACGTTAAAATTCTTTTTTCTTTTTTTTCTGAGATAGAATCTAGCTCTATCGCCCAGGCTGAAGTGCAGTGGTGTGATCTTGGCTTACTGCAACCTCTACCTCCCGGGTTCAGGCAACAAAGTGAGACCCCATTCTCCACAGAAAGAAAAAAAAAAAAAAGCTGTGTTTAGGATACTAGTCTTTTTTCCATAAATGTTACAAATATTTTTTTCATAGTTAACCCTTTATCGTTTGGCCTGAGTTATATCTTTGATCCAAATGGCTAGCCATTTGTCATAATACATATATGACATAATTTTAGAATAAATGTAAACTCATTTTATCGTTACAATTACATGCAGATGCCTCAATTGCTTACATTTCAGTTATGAAGTAAATGGTTTCTTCTTTCAGATTCCTTTTTCCAAATTTTTCTTCTCTAATCGAGGAAGAATCCGGGATGTTCAGCATGAGCTTCCGCTTGATAAGGTAACATATTCCTGTATTTTTCACTCAGAACTGTATCATTTTTAATGAATCGGAACTCTGGGGAGACTGAGTTCATTTGAGAAGGCTGGCAGATGAATATTTCTTCTCAGGGCCACTGCTCTTATACCCAGCCAGAGGCTGACTTAGACCTCTCCTATGAACCATACCCCCATCCTGAAGGAATTTTAGAAGGATCATTTTTTAGCATGCCTACATTTTACTTTAGCTATTTTCCCCCCTCCCTTCTCTCCTAATTTAGCTTTAAAATAAGAGTTTATGAACGCTTCAAGGAACTCCATTAGGCATTCATGTCGTCCTTACTAGTCTTTTTGTTTTTTGACATGGAGTCTTGCTTTGTCACTCAGGCTGGAGTGCAGTGGCATGATCTCGGCTCACTGCAACCTCTACCTCCCGGGTTCAAGCATTTCTCCTGCCTCAGTCTCCTGAGTAGCTGGAATTACAGGTGCCTGCCACCACACTTGGCTAATCTTTGTATTCTTAGTAGAGACGAGGTTTTACCATATTGGGCAGGCTGGTTTTTAACTGGACCTTGTGATCTGCCCACCTTGGCCTCCCAGTGTTGGGATTACAGGCCTGAGCCACGACGCCCGGCCGTCCTTCCTAGTCTTAAGTGGCACTACCTAATGAGGAGAGGGGAGGAAGTTGAATGAGGAAAGAAAAGCAGTCTTGTATTTCCTCTTACAGTATGCTATGGGAGAATTAGTAGTATTTGCTAAGGGCTGATAGCATTAAAACCCAGTTATAATCATCACCTGATGGGATTTTAAACTCCTGGAATAATCTCAGTACGTCACTGTATGAGATTTTAATCAATTTCTGTATTTTAAATTTAGATCTCTTCTATAGGATTCACCTTGGCTGATAAAGTGGATGGTCCATTCTTCCTGGAGATAGATTTTATTGGCGTGTTTACTGATCCAGCTCATACAGAAGAATTTGCCTATGAAAATTCTCCAGAGCTTAACCCAAGGCTTTTTAAATAAAGATCATATGGTAGTTTTGTTTTACTAATCTAAGGGTACTAGCATCTACAATGATATAGACAAAATAAAATATTTCTTTAATGGCATCCAACCAATGGCTAGTATGTATTCTCTCTCTTTTTTTTTTTTTTTTTTGAGATGGAGTTCTGCTCTGTCGCCCAGGCTGGCATGCTGGCGTGCAGTAGCGTGATCTCGGCTCACCGTAACCTTCGCCTTCTGGGTTCAAGCTATTCTCCTGCCTCAGCTTCCCGAGTAGCTGGGATTATAGGCATGCACCATCATGCCCAGCTAATTTTGTATTTTTAGTAGAGACAGGGTTTCTCCATGTTGGTCAGGCTGGTCTCGAACTCCTGACCTCAGGTGATCCGCCCGCCTTGGCCTCCCAAAGTGCTGGGATTACAGATGTGAGCCACCGCGCCTGGCTGGCTAGTATGTATTCTCTAAGACAAGTTATAATGCTGTTGCTGGCCAGGCACTGTGGCTCACGCCTGTAATCCCAGCACTTTGGGAGGCTGAGACGGGCGGATCACTTAAGGTCTGGAGTTCGAGACCAGCCTGACCAGCATGGTGAAACCTCGTCTCTACTAAAAATACCAAAGTTAGCCAGGTGTGGTGGCACATGCCTATAATCCCAGCTATTTGGGAGACTGAGGCAGGAGAATTGCTTGAACTCGGAGGCAGAGGTTGCAGTGAGTTGAGATCACGCCACTACACTCCAGCTTGGGCCACAGAGCGAGACTCTGTCTCAAAAAAAAAAAAAAAACCCACAAAGAAAGGCTATTGCTAAGAGGGACTGGATAAGGGGAACACAGCATGAAACCAGGTTCTCTGGTGTACTTTATCTCATAGAATGCAAGTACTGATGTAAATGTACTATGTAAATAACTTAGTGTTTTTGCTCAGAACAGTTGCTGTTAGGAACATTTCCTATATGAGTAGTTTCTAAGGCAGGAGTCTCTGAGATGACTGTTAATGGCCTTCTACCACTCTGTTGCATTTAGATTTCTTCTAATTTCATTTTGTTTTGCTTTTTTGAGATGAAATTCCCTCTGTTGTCCAGGCTGGAGTGCAGTGGTGCGATCTCGGCTCACTGCAACCTCCGCCTCCCAGGTTCAAGCGATTCTCTTGCCTCAGCCTCCCCAGTAGCTGGTATTACAGGCCCACACCACCATGTCTGGCTACTTTTTTTGTGTTTTTAGTAAAAACAGGGTTTCACCATGTTGGCCAGGCTGGTCCTGAACCCCTGACCTCAGGTGATCCGCCCAAGGCAATAACTCAGTAAATCACAGAGACTTACTCCTATGGTTTCTTCTAAGGCTTTTGTAATTTTAGTTCTAACACTTAGGTCTATGCTTTTTTTGAGATGGAGTCTTGCTGTGTGGCCCAAACTGGAGTGCAGTGGCGTGATCTCAGCTCACTGCAACCTCTGCCTCCCGGTTCAAGCAATTCTCCTGCCTCAGCCTCCTGAGTAGCTGGGATTACAGTCATGCGCCACCATACCCGGCTAATTTTTGTGTGTGTGTGACGGAGTCTTGCTCTGTCACCAGGCTGGAGTGTAGTGGCACAATCTCGGCTCACTGCAACCTCCCTGCCTCCCAGGTTCAAGTGATTCTCTGCCTTAGCCTCCTGAGTAGCTGGGATTACAGGTGCCCACCACCACGCCTGGCTAATTTTTGTATTTTTAGTAGATACAGGGTTTCACCATTTTGGCCAGGCTAGTCTTGAACTCATGACGTCATGATCCACCCACCTCGGCCTCCCAAAGTGCTGGGATTACAGGTGTGCCACCGCACCCGGTCCCTCTTTCATCACTTTTTTTTTTGAGACTGAGTCTCACTCTGTCGCCCTGGCTGGAGTGCAATGGCACAATCTCGGCTCACTGCAAGCTCTGCCTCCTGGGTTCATGCCATTCTGCCTCAGCCTCCAGAGTAGCTGGGACTACAGGCGCCTGCCACCATGCCCGGCTAATTTTTTTGTATTTTTAGTCGAGACGGGGTTTCACAGTGTAAGCCAGGATGGTCTCGATCTCCTGACCTCGTGATCTGCCCATCGGCCTCCCAAAGTGCTGGGATTACAGGCGTGAGCCACCGCGCCCGGACTTTTTTTTTTTTTTTTTTTTAGACAGAGTCTCGCTTTATCACCCAGGCTTGAGTGCAGTGGCACGATCTCGGCTCACTGCAAGCTCCACCTCCTGGGTTCACACCATTCTCCTACCTCAGCCTACCGAGTAGCTGGGACTACAGGTGCCCACCACCACACCCAGCTAATTTTGTTTTTGCATTTTTAGTAGAGATGGGGTTTCACCGTGTTAGCCAGGATGGTCTCCATCTCCTGACCTCATGATCCACCTGCCTTGGCCTCCCAAAGTGCTGGGATTACAGGCGTGAGCCACCGTGCCCACTCTTTTTTTTTTTTTTTTTTTAAGAAATAGGATCTTGCTCTGTTGCTCAGGTTGAAGTACAGGGGCTATTCACAGGAGTGCTTATAATGCACCACAGCCTTTGATCTCCTGGGCTAAAGTGATCGTCTGACTTCAGCCTCTCAAGTATCTGAGACTACGGTAGTATATGCTACTGTGCTCAGCCCTATGACCAATTTTAAGTTAACTTTTGTGTATGGTATAAAGGTCCAAATTCATTTTTTGCATCTGAGTATCCAGTTGTCTCTTTTTTTTATTAGTCATTGCTAGTATATGGAAATATGGGGGCCAGGCTCAGTGGTTCACACTTATAATCCCAGCACTTTGGGAGGCTGAGGTAGGAGGATCCCTTGCCCAGGAGTTTGAGACCAGCCTGGGCAACATAGTGAGACCCTGTCTCTAAAACTAAAATAAAATAAATTAGCCAGGTGTGGTAGCACACACCTGTAGACTTAGCTACTTGGGAGGCTGAGATGGGAGGATCCCTTGCCCAGGAGTCTGAGACCAGCCTGGGCAACATAGTGAGACCCTGTCTCTAAAACTAAAATAAAATAAATTAGCCAGGTGTGGTAGCACACACCTGTAGACTTAGCTACTTGGGAGGCTGCAGTAGGAGGATCCCTTGAGCCCATGAGGTCAAGGTTATAGTGAGCTATAATCTTACCACTGCACACCAGCCTGGGTGACAGACCAACACCGTGTCTCTCTAAAAAAAAACACAATAATTAGGCCACGGGCGGTGGCTCACCGCTGTGATCCCCAGCACTTTGGGAGGCTGAGGCTGGCGCATCACGAGGTCAAGAGATAGAGAGTATCGCTTGAACTCGAGGAGAGGTGGAGGTTGCAGTGAGCCAAGATCGCACCACTGTACTCCAGCCTGGGTGACAGAGACAGACTCTGCCTCAAAAAAAAAAAAAAAAAAAAAAAAAAAGCCAAAAATATAATTGTTGGGTCTTGATCTTTTTTTTTTTTTTTTTTTTAATTTATTTTTTTATTGATAATTCTTGGGTGTTTCTCACAGAGGGGGATTTGGCAGGGTCATGGGACAATAGTGGAGGGAAGGTCAGCAGATAAACAAGTGAACAAAGGTCTCTGGTTTTCCTAGGCAGAGGACCCTGCGGCCTTCCGCAGTGTTTGTGTCCCTGATTACTTGAGATTAGGGAGTGGTGATGACTCTTAACGAGCATGCTGCCTTCAAGCATCTGTTTAACAAAGCACATCTTGCACCGCCCTTAATCCATTTAACCCTGAGTGGACACAGCACATGTTTCAGAGAGCACAGGGTTGGGGGTAAGGTCACAGATCAACAGGATCCCAAGGCAGAGGAATTTTTCTTAGTGCAGAACAAAATGAAAAGTCTCCCATGTCTACTTCTTTCTACACAGACACGGCAACCATCCGATTTCTCAATCTTTTCCCCACCTTTCCCGCCTTTCTATTCCACAAAGCCGCCATTGTCATCCTGGCCCGTTCTCAATGAGCTGTTGGGCACACCTCCCAGACGGGGTGGTGGCCGGGCAGAGGGGCTCCTCACTTCCCAGTAGGCGCGGCCGGGCAGAGGCGCCCCTCACCTCCCGGACGGGGCGGCTGGCCGGGCAGGGGGGCTGACCCCCCCCACCTCCCTCCCGGACGGGGCGGCTGGCCGGGCGGGGGGCTGACACCCCCACCTCCCTCCCGGACGGGGCGGCTGGCCGGGCAGAGGGGCTCCTCACTTCCCAGTAGGGGCAGCCGGGCAGAGGCGCCCCTCACCTCCCGGACGGGGCGGCTGGCCGGGCAGGGGGGCCGACCCCCCCACCTCCCTCCCGGACGGGGCGGCTGGCCGGGCGGGGGGCCGACCCCCCCACCTCCCTCCCGGACGGGGCGGCTGGCCGGGCGGGGGGCCGACCCCCCCACCTCCCTCCCGGACGGGGCGGCTGGCCGGGCAGAGGGGCTCCTCACTTCCCAGTAGGGGCGGCCGGGCAGAGGCGCCCCTCACCTCCCAGACGGGGCGGCTGGCTGGGCGGAGGGCTGACCCCCCCACCTCCCTCCCGGACGGGGCGGCTGGCCGGGCAGAGGGGCTCCTCACTTCCCAGTAGGGGCGGCTGGGCAGAGGCGCCCCTCACCTCCCAGACGGGGCGGCTGGCCGGGCAGAGGGCTGACCCCCCCACCTCCCTCCCGGACGGGGCGGCTGGCCAGGCGGGGGGCTGACCCCCCTACCTCCCTCCCGGACGGGGCGGCTGGCCGGGTGGGGGGGCTGACCCCCCCATCTCCCTCCCCGACGGGGTGGCTGGCCGGGCTGAGGGGCTCCTCACTTCCCAGTAGGGGCGGCCGGGCAGAGGCGCCCCTCACCTCCCGGACGGGGCGGCTGGCCGGGCGGGGGGCTGACCCCCCCACCTCCCTCCCGGACGGCACGGCTGGCCAGGCGGGGGGCTGACCCCCCCACCTCCCTCCCGGATGGCACGGCTGGCCGGGCGGGGGGGCTGACCCCCCACCTCCCTCCCGGATGGGGCGGCTGGCCGGGCGGGGGGCTGACCCCCCCCACCTCCCTCCCGGACGGGGTGGCTGCCGGGCGGAGACGCTCCTCACTTCCCAGATGGGGTGGCTGCCGGGCGGAGAGGCTCCTCACTTCTCAGACGGGGCAGCTGCCGGGCGGAGGGGCTCCTCACTTCTCAGACGGGGTGGTTGCCAGGCAGAGGGTCTCCTCACTTCTCAGACGGGGCGGCCGGGCAGAGACGCTCCTCACCTCCCAGACGGGGTCTCGGCCGGGCAGAGGCGCTCCTCACATCCCAGATGGGGCGGCGGGGCAGAGGCGCTCCCCACATCTCAGACGATGGGCGGCCGGGCAGAGACGCTCCCCACTCCTAGATGTGATGGCGGCTGGGAAGAGGCGCTCCTCACTTCCTAGATGGGATGGCGGCCGGGCGGAGACGCTCCTCACTTTCCAGACTGGGCAGCCAGGCAGAGGGGCTCCTCACATCCCAGACGATGGGCGGCCAGGCAGAGACACTCCTCACTTCCCAGACGGGGTGGCAGCCGGGCAGAGGCTGCAATCTCGGCACTTTGGGAGGCCAAGGCAGGCGGCTGCTCCTTGCCCTCGGGCCCCGCGGGGCCCGTCCGCTCCTCCAGCCGCTGCCTCCCGGGCGGCGCTCGCCGGCGCGGCGGCCTTGATCTTTTTTTTTTTCCAAGACGGAGTCTCACTCTGTTGCCCTGGCTGGAGTGCAGTGGCATGATCTTGGCTCATTGCAACCTCCGCCTCCCGGGTTGAAGTGATTCTCCTGCCTCAGCCTCCTGAGTAGCTGGGATTACAGGCGCCCGCCTCCATGCCTGGCTAATTTTTGTATTTTTAGTAGAGATGTGGTTTTACCACGTTGGCCAGGCTGGTCTCCAACTCCTGACTTCAAGTGATCTGCCTGCCTTGGCCTCCCAAAGTGCTGGGATTACAGGTGTGAGCCACTGTGTCTGGCCATAATTGTTGGGTATTGATCTTGTACGTTGCAACCTTACTGAATTTATTAGTTCTAGGAGCTTTTTAGTGAAATCCTTAGGATTTTCTCTATGTAAGATCCTGGTGGTTTTTTCTTTTTTCAGATAGGGTCTCACTACCTAATGGCATGGCTAGATTACACGGTAGACATACTGTTAACTTTTCAAAGAAACTAGCAAACTGTTTTCCAAAGTGGTTGTGACATTTTACATTTCCATCAGATGTGTATTTGACCCTGAATTTTTAAAATTGATCTGATCTCTTCCCCTTGATAGGAAAATCTGAATGTTTCCAGTACCCGGAAGTGTGCCATGTCCTAAAGCCTCGTATATACAAAACAGCATTTAATAAAACCTGAGAGGTACTCTGGGAATATAAAGGAAGCATACTGCCGTTTCTTTTTTGAATGGAAGCAGTGGTCAGGAAAGGGCATACCAAGGGTATGTATAAACTCTTGTTAAGCCTAGCTGCTCACCTAAATCTTGGAAGACTTATGTTTACAAAGAATGAATCTATGACAATGAGAAAAAATTTTATTTATGACGATCTTGAGCAGTATAAAACTCAGAAGCTCCACTGAGGTGAAGGAAACATGGACATGATACTAAGCAAAGCCTAGTCTTTTCCATAAAATGAATAAGAAGTACATTTGGTGGAGTTTGAGACCAGCCTGGGCAACACAGTGAGACCCTGTCTCTAAAAGCATTAAAGCATTAATCCTCGCATTTCGATAGGGCTATGTAGCTTTTAAGTAAGCAATGTTAGAATGAGTTGTAGAGTTTTATTTTTGTGAATATAGTGAGTGACAGATGGCAATTACATGAGGATATTTGAACGAAGGTACATAAGCCTAAACAATTTCACCTAGGTAAAATATTGATGTCATAACCAAACTATATGGCCCCGTTTCATAAAGGTTACTATATTCTATAGAGAGTGAAGAGGTGGCCTTTCTATCCCAGCTTACCCTATTCTTGTTATTGTTCAAATTCTCCTGAAGCTTGCATAACTAGCTGCCATCAGGTAAATGCTATTGGCTAGCAGAAGACTGCAGTTCTGTTAATATTAGAACCAGCAGGGGGAACTTGGGAACTTGACATTAAAAATCTAGAAACAGAATTTTAGGATGGGTCTCGTTAGAAACCTGAATTGTTAATGGACTTAAGTAAAAACCATCCCAAAGAATTTGAGCTTTAAGGTGATAACGTCTTTTCAGAGATCATAGCACATGAAGAACCCATGGACACTACACAGACTATGAACAGTTAGCAGAAAAAGATCTCGTGACTAAAGTGGGGATGACAGCAAAAAAAAAAAATTTACAAAAGGAAAAAAGTTGAGAATACAGGAATATTTACAAGATGTTAAAAAATTATTAATCTTCAGCCAAAATGAGGCCCCTTCGCATTCCCAAAACCTTTGCTTTCTTCTCCTTTCGTTCTTGCTCGCGTTTCTTCCGTTGCTCTTCCCTGAGAGGGATAGGTCACACATTAAGCTCTAGGGAGGCTCCAAAACAGATACTTTAAAGCAACTATTGTTGGACTAACACCCAAACTTCCAAGCAATGACATCCAGCATACTTGTGTAAAACAGACTCTTAGAGGGCACTGTGCTCTGCCTAGTGTTTCTAACACCTGTTCGTCATTGTTGTGTTAAAGGGTTAGAAACTGGTATTTTCCTTTTGTTAACTCAGCACTCTAAAATCATGCATGGAGGCCGGGGCGCGATGGCTCATGCCTGAAATCCCAGCACGTTAGGAGGCCAAGGCAGGCAGATCACTTGAGGTCAGGAGTTCGAGACCAGCCTGGCCAAAATGGTGAAACCCCGTCTCTACTAAAAATACAAAAAAGGTAGCCAGGTGTGGTGGTGCATGCCTATAATCACAGCTACTGGGGAGGCTGAGGCAGGAGAATCCCTTGAACCCGGGAGGCGGAGGTTGCAGTGAGCCGAGATCACGCCACTGCACTCCAGACTGGGCGACAGAATGAGACTGTCTCAAAACAAACAAACAAAAATAAATAATAAAATCATGCATGGAATTGGAGTCAGGAGACACCTTGCTGATTGAATCCAACTCTTGTTATTTTACAGTTTGCTTTAGGCCAGATGCAGTGGCTCACACCTATAATCCCAGCATTTTGGGAGGCCAAGGTGGGAGGATCCCTTGTGCCCAGGAGTTCAAGGCCAAAGTAAGCTATGATCATGCCATTGTACTCCAGTCTGGGTGACAAAAAGTAAGACCCTGTCTCTAAGAAAAAAAAAAAAATTTGTTTTAAATGAGAAATGTCTACACCTAGAAATCAAAGTTGACCAGGTGTGGTAGCTCACGCCTGTAATCCCAGCACTTTGGGAGGCCAAGGTGGGTGGATCACCTGAGATCAGCAGTTTGAGACCAGCTTGGCCAAGATGGTAAAACCCCGTCTCTACTAAAAATACAAAAATTAGCTGCACGCGGGGGCGGGAACCTGTAATCCCAGCTACTCGGGAGGCTGAGGCAGCAGTATCACTTGAACCTGGGAGGCAGAGGTTGCAGTGAGCCAAGATCGCACCACCACACTCTAGCCTGGGCATCAGAGCGAGACTCCATCTCAAAAAAAAAAAAAAAAAAAAAAAAAAACCAAGATAAGTTAATATAATCTTGGGCTTTTTCTTTTTTTTTTTTGGTTTGTCTAATCCTCTGAAAGTAGAGCATAATGGCTAACTCAGTAGATCCTGGTTCTAGTTCTATTCCTTTCACTAAACTATGTGATTTTGAGCTTGACCTTTGACTTTGATTTCTTTTTTCTTTTTTGAGACGGAGTTTTGCTCTTGTTGCCCAGGCTGTAGTGCAATGGTGCAATTTCAGCTCGCCACAACCTCCGCCTCCCGGGTTCAAGTGATTCTGCTGCCTCAGCCTCCCGAGTAGCTGGGATTACAGGTATGTGCCACCACGCCCGGCTAATTTTGTATTTTTAGTAGAGATGGGGTTTCTCCATGTCTTCAACTCCTGACATCGTGATCCACCCGCCTTGGCCTCCCAGAGTACTGGGATTACAGGCGTGAGCCACCTTGCCTGGCCAACTTAATAACGGTGAGCAAAGGCCCTGGTGGCAGTCGTGTATAGCCATGAGTCAACTGACAGGTAACCCTGTGTCACGAGGGTCCAAGCAGGGAATCTGGGCCCAACCATGACTTGCTGCAACCCAGGATGAGCTCTGGCTTTAACTTGGTTTTCATGCTGAAGGAAGCCTCTAAGGACCGTCCTGGGTTTTTCCTCTTTATAGGGCCTTGACGCCTTGTAAGCCTGGTTTTCTTAGGAGTGAGGAATTTATGTCTATCTGGATATGTAGGTGCCCTGGGCTGCTGGGCATTGGTATCTGGAGAGATACCCACATGCCCTGTGTTTAGGCAGATGAGTCATGCAAGAGCAGTGCTCTGAATCTGGGTCTTCTTCTGAATCACCTGCAGAGCCTTGGAAACAATGCAGGTGCTTGGGCCTCACCCCAAATCTGCTGATTTGGAGTCCATTACACTGGAACCTAGGCAGATGTACTCAGAAAGTTATATACACGATACCACTTTTTTTTTTTTTTGAGACGGAGTCTCACTCTGTCGCCCAGGCTGGAGTGCAGTGGCGTGATCTCGGCTCACTGTAAGCTCTGCCTCCCAGGTTCCTGCCTCAGTCTCCCGAGTAGCTGGGACTACAGGCGCCCGCCACCACGCCCGGCTAATTTTTTGTATTTTTAGTAGAGATGGGGTTTCAATGCGTTAGCCAGGATGGTCTCGATCTGACCTCGTGATCTGCCCCCCTCGGCCTCCCAAAGTGCTGGGATTACAGGCGTGAGCCACCGTGCCTGGCCCATGATACCACTTTTTTTTTTTTTGAGACGGCGCCTGGCTCTGTCACGCAGGCTAGAGTGCAGTGGCGCGATCTCGGCTCACTGCAAGCTCTGCCTCCTGGGTTCACGCCATTCTCCTGCCTCAGCCTCCCGAGTAGCTGGAACTACAGGCGCCCGCCACCATGCCCAGCTAATTTTTTGTATTTTTAGTAGAGACGGGGTTTCACCGTGTTAGCCAGGATGGTTTCGATCTCCTGACCTCGTGTTCCGCCCACCTCGGCCTCCCAAAGTGCTGGGATTACAGGCGTGAGCCACCGCACACGGCCATAATACCACTTCTAACCTCCTCTTAAAACACCACTATTACTGAGCCCCTATCCCTCAGAGGTGCTGCTTTTGAAATTAAAATAATTATAAAGCTGGATAATTATGTACTTACTTTGTCTGGAGATGGGGTTGTTTGTAAGTTTTCTTGTAGAAGTTAATTCTGTTGACATGTTGATTTAGATAATTATTTTCTTTAGATTGCCCCCATGGTTTTAGCTTTCCTAGTTTAGGACAGAGACAAAGAATTTTAAAAAGATTGTTTGATTTATATTCCCAACTTCATTCTCTTCATCTGTGGGGTTACCTGCTATCAACATTTATACTTTTTTTTTCTTTGAGACAGAATCTCACTCTGTCGCTCAGTTTGGAGTGCAGTGGTGTGATCTGATCTCAGCTCACAGCAACCTCCGCCTCCTGGGCTCAAGTGATCCTCCCAATTTAGACTCATGAGTAGCTGGGACTACATGCACATGCCACCATGCCCGGGTAATTTTTGTATTTTTTAGTAGAGACGGGGTTTCATCATGTTGCCCATGCTGGTCTTGAGCTCCTGTTCTCAAGCAATCTGCCTGCCTTGGCCTCCCAAAGTGCTGGGATTACAGGCATGAGCCACTGTGTCCAACCAATTTGCAATTTTACAAAAAGAACTGGGACCAAATTTCTTGAAGTTTATGTGTTGCTTTTTTTTTTAATTTAAATTTAATTATTATTATTTTTTAAATTTTTTAGACAGAGTCTCGTTCTGTCGCCCAGGCTGGAGTGCAGTGGTGTGGTCTCGGCTCACTGCAAGCTTCACCTCCTGGGTTCACACCATTCTCCCACCTCAGCCTCCCGAGTAGTTGAGACTACAGGCGCCCGCCACCATGCCCAGCTAATTTTGTTTTTGTATTTTTGGTAGAGACGGGGTTTCAATGTGTTAGCCAGGATGGTCTCGATCTCCTGAACTCATGATCCGCCTGCCTTGGCCTCCCAAAGTGCTGGGATTACAGGCGTGAGCCACCGCGCCCAGCCTGTTTTTGAGGCGTGGTCTCACTATGTCACCCAGGCTGGAGTGTAGTGGTGCAATCTCGGCTCACTGCAACCTCTGCCTCCTAGGTTCAAGCGATTGTCCTGCCTCAGCCTCCCAAGTAGCTGGGATTACAGGCGCCGCCACCACGCCAGGCTAATTTTCTTATTTTTTTTCAGAAGAGACGGGGTTTCACCATGTTGGCCAGGCTGATCTCGAACTCCTGACCTCAAGTGATCTGCCCACCTCAGCCTCCCAAAAGTGCTGGGATTACAGGCCAGAGCCACTGCGCCCGGCCGCAGAATTTGTTTATTCTTAAGTTTTTATTTTTTATTTTTATTTTTTAGATGGAGTTTCACTCTTGTTGCCCAGGCTGGAGTGCAGTGGCACGGTCTCGGCTCACTGCAACCTCCACCTAACAGGTTCAAGTGATTCTCCTGTCTCAGCATCCTAAGTATCTGGGATTACAGGTGCCTGCCACCACGCCTGGCTAATTTTTGTATGTTTAGTAGGTGTGAGCCACTGCGTCCCACCAATCTTAAGTATTTTACAGGCCCTGTAGCTCAAAACACTCCCACATACCTTTGTGTGGTTCATAGTTGAGGGGACGAGACAAACTTGCTTTAAGATCAAACACTGGTTTCTTATTGGAGACTGGAGTCTGCGTTGCCTCAGTTGTCAACTTGAATGGGGTAATAACTAAAAACACACCGAAAAAACCCAAGAGCTTAATTAGAAACAAAGACCTGGTAAAGTGTTTATCAAAGTGTTACTTCTCAATCTTAAAAATACACGTTATAGGCTGGGCATGGTGGCCCACACCTGTAATCCCAGCACTTTGGGAGGCCGAGGTGGGCGGATCACGAGGTCAGGAGATCAAGACCATCCTGACCAACATGGTGAAACCCTGTCTCCACAAAAATACAAAAAATTATCTAGAGGTGTGGTGGCTCACACCTGTAATCTCAGCACTTTGAGAGGCCGAGTCGGGTGGATCACCTGAGGTCAGGAGTTCAAGACCAGCCTGACCAACACGGAGAAACCCCATCTCTACTAAAAATACAAAATTAGCCAGGGTGGTGGCACATGCCTGTAATCCCAGCTACTCGGGAGGCTGAGGCAGGAGAATTGCTTGAACCCGGAAGGCGGAGGTTGTGGTGAGCTGAGATTGCGCCATTGCACTCCAGCTTGGGCAACAAGAGCGAAACTTGGTTTAAAAAAAAAAAAAAAAAAAAATTAGCTGGGCGTGGTGGTGCATGCCTGTAGTCCCATGCCGAGTAGGCTGAGGCAGGGGAATTGCTTAAATCCGGGAAGCAGAGGTTGCAGTGAGCCAACATCGTGCCACTGCACTCCAGCCTGGTGACAGAGCAAGACTCCATCTCAGAGAGGGAAAAAAAAAAAATTAGCTAGGTGTGGTGGCACGTGCCTGTAATCCCAGCTACTCGGGAGGCTGAGGTAGGAGAATCACTTGAACCCGGGAGGTGGAGCTTGCAGTGAGCCAAGATTGCGCCATTGCACTCCAGCCTGGGCAACAGGGTGGGACTCCATCTCAAAAAAACAAAAGAAACAAACAAAGAAAAAAAAGAAGCTGGGTGCAGTGGCTCACGACTGTAATCCCAGCACTTTGGGAGGCCGAGGCAGGTGGATCATGAGGTCAAGAGAGCGAGACCATCCTGGCCAACATAGTGAAACTCCGTGTCTACTAAAATACAAAAATTAGCTAGGCGTGGCAGCGTGTGCCCAAAATCCCAGCTACTCAGGAAGCTGAGGCAGGAGAATCCCTTGAACCAGGGAGTCGGAGGTTGCAGCGAGCCGAGATTGCACCACAGCACTCCAGCCTGGCGACAGTGAGACTGTGTCTCAAAAAAAGAAAAAAGTTATAGCTTGAATGTTTGTATCTCCTGCGATCCCAAATTCATATTGAAATCCTAACTGTCAATATGACTGGTGTAAGGAAGTAGGGCCTTTGGGAGGTAAATAGGTCATGAATGGGATTCAGGGCCTTATATAGGGACCCCATAGAATTTTCTCTAGCTCTCTTTCTGCCACATGAGCATACAACAAGAAGTTGGTAGTCTGCTACCTGGAAAACAGCCCTCACCAGAATCATGCTAGTGCCCTGATCTGCCCTCATCCAGCCTCCAGAACTATGAGAAAGAAATTACCGCTGTTTATAAGATACAGTCTTTGGTGCTTTGTTATATAATAGCAGCCGCAAAGGACTAAGACAATCTACATGAATAGTCTGAAATAGATGAAAGTCTGAAATAAGGGTTAAAATGGAGAAAAGGGGAAAACAATAATTGAGGAAAGCTAACCATTGAGATTAATTTCCTTTGCTAAGCAGCTTTGTAAATGTTCTGAATATTTTGTTTTTGTATTTTTAGTAGAGACGGGGTTTCAGTGTGTTAGCCAGGATGGTCTCAATCTCCTGAACTCATGATCCACCTGCCTTGGCCTCCCAAAGTGCTGGGATCCTAGGATCAGCTGGGAGTTTAGAATTCTGTTGAAGGAAATGACGGTAACTTTTCAGCTTATTTCCCTGATAACAGATATGGCTCACACCTGTAATCTCAGCACTTTGGGAGGCTGAGGCAGGAGGATTGTTTAAAGTCAGGAATATTATTAATAAGGGCTCTTATCACTTCAGAATATTAATTTTTGGCTGGGCGCGGTGGCTCATGCCTGTAATCCCAGCACTTTGGCAGGCCGAGGTGAGCGGATCACGAGGTCAGGAGTTCAAGACCAACCTGGCCAATACGGTGACACCCTGTCTCTACCAAAAATACAAAAATTAGCCGGGCGTGGTGGCGGGCACTTGTAGTCCCAGCTACTCGGGAGGCTGAGGCAGGAGAATGGCGTGAACCCAGGAGGCGGAGGTTGCAGTGAGCCAAGATGGTGCCACTGCACTCCAGCCTGGGTGATAGAGTGAGACTCCGTCTCAAAAAAAAAAAAAAAAAAAGAATATGAATTTTTGCACCACGAAGTTAAAAATATCCAGGATGGTGTAGTTTTTTTTAATTTTTTTGAGACGGAGTCTTGCTCTGTCTCCCAGGCTGGAGTACAGTGATGTGATCTCAGCTCAGTGCAACCTCTGCCTCCTGGGTTCAAGTGATTCTCAAGTGAGTAGCTGGGATTACAGGCGCGTGCCACCACGCCCGGCTAATTTTCGTATTTTTAGTAGAGACGAGGTTTTGCCATGTTGGCCAGGTTGGTCTCCATGCCACCATGCCCAGCCTAAGGATGGTGTAGTTTAGTTAGCCTTTTTGCTACAGTTGGCCATCAGTTAATCCTTTCTCTCCCAATCTCTTTTTTTTTTTGAGACAGGGTTTCACTGTGTTGCCCAGGCTGGCTGGAGTGCAGTGGCACAATCTCGGCTCACTGCAACCTCTGCTTCCTGGTTCAAGCGATTCTCCTACCTCAGCCTCTTGAGTAGTTGGGATGATAGGTGCATGCCACCATGCCCGGCTAATTTTTGTATTTTTAGTAGAGTTGGGGTTTCACCATGTTGGCCAGGCTGGTCTTGAAATTCTGACCTCAAGTGATCCACCCACCTCGGCCTCCCTAAGTGCTGGGATTACAGGCAAGAGCCACTGCGTCCGGCCAATCCTTTCTTTTCATAGGGGGAAGCCACAGGTCATTGCCAAATGTGAACCCTTGCCTACATCTGTGAAACAGCAATCAGGATCTAAGACCACTTAGTTAAAAAAAAGCACAAAACCCTGTGTTCAAGCTATCCCACTGTATCAGTATCAAATGCTGACAGGGAGTAGAACAAGGGACTGCCATACACTGCCACTGGAAGCACAGATTGGTACAATTCATTCAGGACAGTAAATGTCTGCATATTTTCCAATCCAGCTGTCCTGCTCCTAGGTCTAGGGAAACTCTTGCACATGTACAGGAGACATGTTTAAGAGTATTCATAGCAACATCATATATAATAATGGAAGCTGGAACCACCCACATGTTCGTGAATAGTAAAATAGATAAACTGACATATACCCACACCACTGAAAAATACTGTGAAAACGAGTCAACATGGTTGAATCTTGAAACATGAAGTCTGTGGTCTGGGATCCTGTTAGTGTCAGAGTCCTCCAGGACCTTTCCGAGGCTGCAACGAATACTGTGCTCATCCTCCGAATCCCTGAGTCCCACAAGGGGCACAGTGCCCTTCCTGGAGGGTCACCATTTTAGGATTAGATGGAGCTCTCAGGCAGATATCTGGTTTTTGCTTATGTCTCTGGCATTTCCCCCACTAGTACACAATTAAAAATACACTATGGTAAAATTTTTGCTTTTGATTATAGAAATGGAAAGGGTTTAAGGAAACAGATACAGGCCGGGCGCAGTGGCTCACGCTTGTAATCCCAGCACTTTGGTAGGCCGAGGCGGGCGGATCACCTGAGGTCAGGAGTTTGAGACCAGCCTGACCAACATGGTGAAACTGTCTCTATTAAAAATACAAAATTAGCCGGGCATGGTGGCATGTGTCTGTAGTCCCAGCTACTCAGGAGGCTGAGGCAGGAGAATTGCTTGAACCTGGGAGGCAGAGGTTGCAGTGAGCCGAGATCCCGCCATTACACTCTAGCCTGGGTGACAAAAGCGAAACTCCATCTCAGAAAAAAACAAACAAACAAAAAAAACAGATATACCTAATCATTTTGGGAAGTTACATGGCTTAAAAATGAAACAGATTTCTTTTGTTTTTTTTTTTTTTTACCAGCAGCAGAATTCCCCGTGATGGTCTTTAATTTGTGTGTCCCAAGCACAGCCTCGCCTTTTGGGGTGCCCCCAGACACGGTCACATGTGCAGACTTTCTGGCTGGAGTCTTGGTCAGTGAACGCTTATGCTCATTATCTTTAGTAGCAGCTGAAAACCTAAATAGGACAGCAGAGTACAAGACATGAGTACTGTGGCAAGAGTAACTTGTGTCTAGCTTATAAATAAAACCACTTGACTATTAGCAAGCAGTGAAAAGGGCCTCAATTAATAATTGTCATAGGAACGAACCTCTTTTGCAGAAGAGACATATTCCTAAAAGGCTAATGCTAAATTAAATCACATATCAACTAACATTATTTGTAAAATATGTTCTTGTCTTTTCTGCTCTCCCTGCCTTGGACAATGATGGTGATGGAGGAATAGGTGTGGAGGCCTCATTATAGTCCAAGAGGCAAGCCAAAAGCTCCCCTTCCTCCTCCTCCTCCTCCTCCTCCAGGTTAGGGGAAGTCACAGGTAGCAGAAGACTGCTATGCTAGGTGAGTGGTGAGAACAGGTCTTGTATGTTCCTAAAAGAATGTCATTCATTTGTGTGGTAGAGAAATAAGCCCATTCTTTACCATTCTTTACATATGGCAAATTGCCACAAATGTATTTGATTGATTGACTGATAGTATTTTTTCTACATTTTAACATCTCTGAAATTGGGATGTGTTTTTACAATTCATAAGATGTCAATAGTTAATTGGTAGTGTTTTTTCTTGAGACAGGTTCTGGCTCTATTACCCAGGCTGGCATGCAGTGGTATGATCTCAGCTTGCTATAACCTCTGCCTCCTAGGCTCAAGCCATCCTCCTGCCTCAGCCTCCCGAGTGGCTGGGACTATGGGTATGTGCCACTGCGCCTGGCTAATTTTTTTTTTTTTTTTTTTTTTTGAGATGGAGTTTTGCTCGGTCGCCCAGGCTGGAGTGCAATGGTGCGATGTTGGGTCACTGCAACCTCTGCCTCCCAGGTTCAAGCGATTCTACTGCCTCAGCCTCCCCAGTAGCTATGATTACAGGCATGCGCCACCATGCCCGGCTAATTTTGTATTTTTAGTAGAGATGGGGTTTCACCATGTTGGTCAGGCTGGTCTCAAACTCCTGATCTCAGGTGATCCGCCTGCCTCAGTCTCTCAAAGTGCTGGGATTACAAGCATGAGCCACCGCGCCCAGCTAATTTTTATATTTTTAGTAGAGATGGGGTTTTGCCATGTTGGCCAGGCTGCTCTCAAACTCCTGGGCTTCAACCATTCACCCATTTGGAGACGGAGTCTCGCTATGTCGCCCAGGCTGGAGGGCAGTGGTGCGATCTCAGCTAACTGCAAGCTCCGCCTCCTGGGTTAACACCATTCTCCTGCCTCAGCCTCCCAAGTAGCTGGGACTATAGGCGCCCGCCACTACGCCCGGCTATTTTTTTTGTATTTTTAGTAGAGACGGGGTTTCACTGTGTTAGCCAGGATGGTCTCGATCTCCTGACCTCATGATCCGCCCGTCTCGGCCTCCCAAAGTGCTGGGATTACAGGCGTGAGCCACCGCGCCTGGCTGATTTGTCTTTCTTTCTTTCTTCTTTTTTTGGAGATGGAGTCTCGCACTGTTACCCAGGCTGCAGTGCAGTGGCGTGATCTCGGCTCACTGCAACCTCTGGCTCCCAGGTTCAAGCAATTCTTCTTGCCTCAGCCTCCCAAGTAGCTGGAATTACAGGCGACTGCCACCATGCCTGGCTAATTGTTTTGTATTTTTAGCAGAGACGGGGTTTCACTATGTTGGCCAGGCTGGTCTTGAACTCCTGACCTCGTGATCTGCCCGCCTCGGCCTCCCAAAGTGCTAGGATTACAGGTGTGAGCCACCATGCCTGGTCTAATTTGTCTTAATGGTTCATAAAATAACAATGAGCCTTCATTCAATTAATGGTATCTTATGGTGTGAAGTCCAGACCCACCTGTACATTTCAGTGAAGCAAGGGCCAAACCTCTGACCATGGTGTTCTTTTTTTTTTAGACAATGTTTCGCTCTTGTTGCCCAGGCTGGAGTGCAATGGTATGATCTTGGCTCACTGAAACCTCCACCTCCTGGGTTCACGCGATTCTCTTGCCTCAGCCTCCCAAGTAGCTGGGATTACAGGTGCACACCACCATGCCCAGATAATTTTGTATTTTTAGTACAGACGAGGTTTCACCATGTTGGTCATGGCTGGTCTTGAACTCCTGACCTCAGGTGATCCACCCAACTCGGGCTCCCAAGGTGCTGGGATTACAGGTGTGAGCCACCGCACCTGGACCATGGTGTTCTTAAATGAAATCAGAACCACCAATTACAGGTACTTCATATTCCAAGCTAATTCAATAAATAGAATTCTAAACTTAAAGCCATTTTTAAGTTTGAAAAACTACATTGGAGGAACAGGAAAAAAAAAATCTGATTAAAACATGGGCAGGCTGGGTGAGATGGTTCACACCTATAATCCCAGTACTTTGGGAGGCCAAGGCAGGAAGATCGCTTCATCCTGGGAAGTCAAGGCTGCAGTGAGCCATTACTGTGTCACTGAATTCTAGCCTGGGTGACAGAGCAAGATCCTGTCTCAAAAATAGAATAGGCCAGGTGTGGTGGTTCACACCTGTAATCCCAGCACTTTGGGAGGGCAAGGCAGGTGGATCACTTGAGGCCAGGATTTCTAGACCAGCCTGGTCAGCATGGTGAAACACTACCTCTACTAAAAATACAAAACAAACAAACAAAAAAAAGAATTAACTGAATGTAGTGGCACACACCTGTAGTCCCAGCTACTCAGGAGGCTGAGGCATGAGAATTGCTTGAACCCAGGAGATGGAGGTCGTAGTGAGCCGAGATTGCGCCACCACACTCCAGCCTGGGTGACAGAGCAATACTGTCTCAAAAAAAAAAAAAAAAAAAAAAAAGAATAAAATAAAAAATACAATTATGTTAGATAATTGCACATGTTGGAGAAGGGCTGTCATGCACCAGTTCTATTAGATACTGCAAATGTCTTTAAAAAAGTAGAAAATAAAGTTTTGATATTAGAAGTAATCTGAAGACTTTGATCTATGGGGAAAGTCCCACTGAAGGTGACTTTGATGTCAGAAAAGTTACAAGTAAACAAAAACAGGGATCAATGGGGCATGAGATAGTGATGATACTGTAGTTCCCACTAGGTTACGATATTGGTATTTGAGGAAGAGTTAATTTTTCAGTTCACTGTAATGAGATACTTTCTGTAAGCATTTAGCTTCACTTCTATATTTAAGTCAATGGAAAAGTTTCTCCTTAGGCATCTTGGCAGTCATATATTAATAAAATGAAGAATATCTGACTGGGCATGGTGGTTTATGCCTGTATTCTTAGTACTTTGGGAGGCTGAGGCAGGAGGATCGCTTGAGGCCAGGAGTTCAAGACCATCTTGGGCAACATAGCAAGACCTCATCTCTACAAAACAGAAACAAAAGCAAAAGAACACATATTTCAGAGTGCTGTCAGCAAGATGGCTGACTAGAGATGCCTGGCATTCATCCCCCCACAAGAAAGGACAAAGGCAACAAATAAACAGCTAAGATTTTTAGAATTTTATTTTTGGAGACAGCTTTCACTATGTTGCCCAGGCTGGCCTCAAACTTCTGGACTCAAATGATCCTCCTGCCTCAGCCTCCTGAGTAGCTGGGATTACAGGTGGGAGCCACCACAGAAAAAAGCTAAGATTTGACTGGAGTGTCAATGGGAAAGCACTGGAGTGCATCAGGGGAGTGGAGATGCACCTGTGGTGAATGGAAGCCCAGGAGGGCCTCCAGAGGCATCTAGCCTCTGCAGCCCTGTCTCCTCTACCAGAATCAGATCTGCCCGCAGTCAGGAGGGGATTCCTGTTGTGAAGAAACACTAAACTGAAGATCCCCACCAGCCCCCATTGCTACTGCAAGCACCTACAGTCCTTACTACGGGAGAATACCCAAGTCTAATAATACCCAAGTCTAATAATACCCAAGTCTCCCAGTTTGGAGAGTTGCCAGGAATTCCTGCAGCTACACTGCCCTGGATTAGGAGCACAAGGTGTGCATTATCTACCCGCCACTAGCTTCTGCAGCACAGAACCATCTTCAGACCAGAGCCACTTCTGGAGTGCACTGTGCTCTGCTGGGGGCCAGTGGCCACTGCATGTATCCATTACTAGGGCTCAATATTCATTCTACCAAGCCCACAGGGGCTTGGTAGGGGTGGCTGCAACACCATGACCCCAGTTGCTTGGAGCCTAGGCAGATGTGCTCAAGGCGAACCTGCCCTTGAGCTGGCCAAACTGCCACATGCCCTCCCTGGAACGGGAGAGACTCTCAAGCAGCTGACATACTCTGATGCTGGCTGAGTGGCTATGTGCCTGTGGCTAGGGCCTGAGAAACAGCCATGAGATGCCTCACCCCTGCAGAGAAGCCCCTGACCTGCTCAACGCCCCTGTACTCCTAGTAAGGGCCTGAGAGGCAGCGTTGTAAGCAGCCTCTGGTAGACATGCCCGAAGGCCAGCCAAGCAGCCATGCAACTGCATACCAGGGCTGAGAAACAGCCCCACGGTCCCAAACCTGGCAAAGCCACCATCACCACCAACTCTCTTAGCCTAGGCTACTGAGAGACTTACAAATGCCACTAAAATGCATTACAGCTGAAGAAACTACACAGAGACTATATTCCTGTACCCACTTAGAACCAAGGCCAACACACCCCACTTAAATGACACGCTAAGACCTATTCATATGAGTATGTTCTTCCCTATGAAACCTCCTCTATAAAATTGGAAGAGGTGACTTTCCTAACAGATGTGTAGAAATCAATGCAAGGACACATAAACCATGAAAATGTAGGGAAACAAGTCACCTTCAAAGAAAAATGGTAATTCTCCAGTAACCCTATTCATAGGGAAATATATGAAATACCAGAAAAAGAATTCAAAATAATAATCTTAAGGGAACTCAGTGAGATACACAAGAGAATACAGACAAGTCAATGAAATCAGGAAAACAATTCATGATTTGAATGAGAAATTTAAGAGGTACATATACCTGGGTGCGGCCAGGCGCGGTGGCTCATGCCTGTAATCCCAGCACTTTGGGAGGCCAAGGCAGGTAGATCACCTGAGGTCAGGAGTTCAAGACCAGCCTGGCCAACATGGTGAAACCCCGTCTCTACTAAAATAAAAACTTAGCCGGGTGTGGTGGTACGTGCCTGTAGTCCCAGCCACTCGGGAGGCTGAGAATCGCTTGAACCTGGGAGGCAGAGGTTGCAGTGAGTCAAGATCTCGTCACTGCACTCCAGCCTGGGCAATGGAGTGAGACTCTGAATGAAGAAAAAAAAAAAAAAGAAAAAAGAAAAAAAAAGAAAGGTTGGGTGCAATGGCACGTTTGTAATCCCAGCACTTTGGTTGGCCAAGGTGGGATGATCACTTGAGCCCAAGAGTTCAAAACCAGACTGGACAACGTAGTGAGACCTTGTGAAATTAGCTGCGCATGGTGGTTTCAAACAGCTAGAAGGAGGATACTAAATATAAAGCAATGATAACTATTTGAGATGATGGATATGCTAATTACCCTGATCTGACTACAATACAATATATGTATTGAAACATCACTATGGGCCGGGCGTGGTGGCTCACGCCTGTAATCCCAGCACTTTGGGAGGCTGAGGTGGGCAGATCATGAAGCCAGGAGATCGAAACCATCCTGGCTAACATGATGAAAGCCCGTCTCTACTAAAAATACAAAAAATTAGCCGGGCATGGTGGCACGTACCTGTAGTCCCAGCTACTCGGGAGGCTGAGGCAGAAGAATCACTTGAACCTGGGAGGCGGAGGTTGCAGGGAGCTGAGATTGCGCCACTGCACTCCAGCCTGGGCGACAGAGCGAGACCTCATCTCAAAAAAAAAAAAAAGAAAAAGAAAAGAAAAGAAACATCACTATGTACCCTATGAGTATGTACGAATATTATTTGCCAATTAAAAATTTTTTTTTTATATAGTCCATGTGAAATCTTGTTCATGATTACATTTTGGAGTGATTTCTTTACCTGACACCCGTTTTAGCTGCAGAGATAGCAGAGCGCTTGAGTGACCCCTTCAGACCCAAGGTACTCTGACTTGCAGGGCCACAAGACCGGCCTTGCGAGCGTCGTTGGCTGATGGGAGTAGAAGCCACAGAGAGTCTTCCTCTTGGAGGTACTGGAGTCCTGACCCCTCCCTTATTGATGGGCTGCTGCTGAAGAGAAAATGCATCATTTTAAAAGCTTGGCCTCTCCAACATGGTGAAACCCCATCTCTACTAAAAATACAAAAATTAGCCGGGCGTTGTGGCATGTGCCTATAGTCCCAGCTACTCAGGAGGCTGAGGCGGGAGAATCACTTGAACCCAGGAGGCGGAGGTTGCAGTGAGCCGAGATCACACCAGCCTGGCAACAGAGCGAGACTACATCTCAAAAAACAAAAACAAAAAACAAACAAAAAGACTTGGCCTCTGATACAGTATTGTCTCCTAGGCAAAGTTCAGAAGAGCGTTTCCATTTATCCCTGTTTCATTCCTCATTTGTAACTCCATTTGGAATCTTTTCTTTCCTCACTACCTCACCTCATCCTATTCTACCTGTCTGGCTGGCTCCACAGTTACCTGCCATTTATTGCTATGGGGATTCTGTTATAAAGAGCAATTTCCAGTTGAGGCTGAGTAAGGAGTTACAAGAAAGCCTTTCCCGGCTGCTATGGACCCAGGCATTTTCTTTCTTTTTTTTTTTTATTTGAGACAGAGTCTGGCTCTGTTGCCCAGGCTGAAGTGCAGTGGCACAATATGGGCTCACTGCAATCTTCACCTTCCAGGTTCAAGCGATCCTCCCACCTTAGCCTTCTGAGTAGCTGGGATTATAGGCACCTGCCACCATGCCCAGCTAATTTTTGTATTTTTAGTAGAGACAGGATGTTGCCATGTTGGCCAGGCTGGTCTCAAATGCCTGACCTCAAGTGATCTGCCTGCCTTGGTGTCCCAAAGTGTTTGGATTACAGGCGTGAGCCACTGTGCCCAGCTATCTGGGCATTATCTTTTCTTTCTTTCTTTTTTTTTAAATGAGACGGGGTCTCTTTCTTTCACCTGGGCTGGAGTGCAATGGCATGGTCTCAGCTCACTGCAACTTCTGCCTCCCAGGTTCAAGCGATTCTCCTGCCTTAGCCTCCCAAATAGCTGGGACTACAGGCACCCACCACCACACTCGACTAATTTTTGTATTTTTAGTAGAGACGGGGTTTCACTGTGTTGGCCAGGCTGGTCTTGAACTGCTGACCTTGTGATCTGCCTGCCTCAGCCTCCCAAACTGCTGGGATTACAGGTGTGAGCCACCACGCCCAGCCTAGCCAGACATTTTCTAACTAGAGACATAATGTAGAAAAACAGTCCCTTGTAGCCACAAAGGAAGAAAAAAAGATTATTTTGGAAATACGGAAGCTTTGAGACGTTATATACAGTTTATTAAATATAAACTTAGGCCAGGTGTAGTGGCTCACAACCTGCAATCTCAGCACTTTGGGAGGCTGAGGCAGGAGGATCGCTTAAGCCCAGGAGTTCATGACCAGCCTGGGCAACATTAGGAGATCTTGTCTCTACAAAAACAAACCTAAAGAACCTATTATATATTTAACATGTGGAATCTACAAATAATTCTATCCTCTCCCTCTATCCCCAAACAATAGCTTTTTGAAGTCCTTTAAAACAAAAAACAAAAAGAGGGAAGGAAATAAATGCTTGAAGGGTTTCACTTAGGGTATCTGTCTTAGATATTGTCAAGGCACAAAGAGTAATTGAATATCTTATTATCATTAGTCTAACATCTGTTGCAAGCAGAAAAAATTAACTTTATTGCCTGTCAACTGAGATATGACAATTGAAATTAATATTTAGAAAAATAAAAATGTAGGTTAAGAATTAAATACAGGGACTAGAAATAAACATAATCTGGTGGCCCATGCCTATAATCTCAGTACTTTGGGAGGCAGAAGAGGGGGGACCGCTTGAGCCTAGGAGTTTGAGACCAGCCTGGACAACATAGGGAGGCCTGTCTCTACAAAAAACTGAAAAATAGCTGGGTGTAGTAGTGCATGACTATTGTCCCAGCTACTAAGGAGGCTGAGGTGTGAGGATCACCTGAGCCCAGGAGGTTGAGGCTACAGTGAACCATCACTGCACCATTGAATTACCACCTGGGTGACAGGGTGAGACTCTGTCTAAAAAAATATATATATATGTATATAATTTTATATAAAAATTGTATATATATATAGAGAGAGAGAGAGACACACACACAGACAGGCAAGATCTTTTTTTTTTTTTTTTTTAGATGGAGACTTGCTCTGTCGCCCAGTCTGGAGTGCAATGGCGTGATATTGGCTCACTGCAATCTCCGCCTCCTGAGTTCAAGCAATTCTCCTGGTCAGCACCCAGAGCAGCTGGGATTACAGGCATCTGCCACCACGTCTGGCTAATTTTTGTATTTTTAGTACAGACGGGGTTTCGCCATGTTGGGCAGGCTGGTCTTGAACTCCTGACCTCAGGTGATCCACCCACCTCAGCCTCCCAAAGTGCTGGGATTACAGGCGTGAGCCACTGTGCCCAGCCATATATATAAGTATATATGTCTATACATTTTTTTGAGACAGGGTCTCACTGTCACTGAGCCTGGAGGACAGTGGCCCGATCTCAGCTCACAGCAATCTCCGCCTACGGGCTTCAAGCATTTTTCCTGCCTCAGCCTCCTGAGTAGCTGAAGTCAAGACCTTTCTAAGCATGACAAAAAAGTAAGCCTTAAAAGGAAGAGTTGGATAAATATAACTACAATTAAAAATCTTCCACAAGGCAAGATACTATTAATCTAGTTAAAAGGTAAACAATGGGGCCAGGCACGGTGGCTCACGCCTGTAATCCCAGCATTTTGGGAGGCCGAGGCAGGCAGATCACGAGGTCAGGAGATTCAGACCATCCTGGCTAACTCAGTGAAACCCCATCTCTACTAAAAATACAAAAAAAAAAAATTAGCCGGGTGTGGTGGCGGGCGCCCGTAGTCCCAGCTACTCAGGAGGCTGAGACAGGAGAGTGGCATGAACCTGGGAAGAGGAGCTTGCAGTGAGCTGAGATTGCAGATCATGCCACTGCACTCCAGCCTGGGTGACAGAGCGAGACTCCGTATCAAAAAAAAAAAAAAAAGATAAACAATAGAAAAGTACTTAAAACAGATAATATATACCATTAATATAGATAAATAAGAATAATAATTGAGAAAAAGCAAATCTGCATAAAAATAGCCAATTATAAAATATAGAGATTTATAACTATATAAGGTACCTTGGAATACAAGTTTTCCAATCTTTTTATTATAAATAAATAGATAAATTAATTAAAATAAATTAATTAAATGTAGGTATATATGTATTTGTTTATTTGAGATGGGGTTGTTCTATGTTGCCCAGCCTGGTCTTTGACTCCTGGGCTCAAGCAACCCTCCCACCTCAGCCTCCCAAGTAGGTGGGATAATAGGCATGAGCCACCACACCCAGATAGTTTTCTGATCTTTTTAGAGGGCCATTTGACAACTAGATCAAACAAGTCTGTCTTTTGTTATCATAAAAGTCAAAGAGAGGCTGTCATGGCCAGAATGATCTCTTTAGGATATCTGCTTATTACTGTCCATCACCATCTAAATGACCAAGCCCCA
This sequence comes from Homo sapiens, assembly GCF_000001405.40. Classification (NCBI taxonomy): domain Eukaryota; kingdom Metazoa; phylum Chordata; class Mammalia; order Primates; family Hominidae; genus Homo; species Homo sapiens. The sequence goes on along the minus strand of NC_000015.10, from coordinate 41,361,911 downwards.
AATGTGCCAGGAGCAACTTCATCTCAGGTATGGTGAAGTTATTGTAATTTTTTTTTTTAATTCTCTAGTCTCCAAAGAGATCATACCAAGTTATATATCTGATAGGCCAGTTCCTTAAACATTCAGGGTGAACAGTGTTATTTTAGAACTAAACTCATTCAGATGGGTCTACCAGGCTGGAGTTATACTAAAAAGTAAGATAAACTATTCGTTTATTCAACACATTTTCTAGAGCAATACTCAACGTTTATGGTTGAGACAGTCGTTCTTGCTCTGTCCTTAACTTTTACTTAGAAAATTATGTCATCCATATTACAAAATATAGAAAGCAGCAGCTTGACTCTTTTTTTTTCTTTAGAGATGGAGTCTCACTGTATTGCCCAGGTTGGTCTTCAACACTGGGGCTCAAGTGATCCTTCGGCCTAACCCTCCCAAAGTTGTGGATTGACAGGTGTGAGCCACTGTGTCTGGCTGAAACATTTTTTTAAATTAACTTAAATTATTATTATTTTTTTTTTGAGATGGAGTTTCACTCTTGTTGCCCAGGCTGGAGTGCAATGGCATGGTCTCGGCTCACCGCAACCTCTGCCTCCCGGGTTCAAGCAATTCTCCTGCCTCAGCCTCCCGAGTAGCTGGGATTACAGACATGCGCCACCATGCCAAGATAATTTTGTATTTTTAGTAAAGATGGGGTTTCTCCATGTTGGTCAGGCTGGTCTCAAACCCCTGACCTCAGGTGATCCGCCTGCCTCAGCTTCCCAAAGTACTGGGATTACAGGTGTGAGCCACCACGCCCTGGCCTATTTTTTTTGTTTTTTGAGATGGAGTCTTGGTCTGTTGCCCAGGCTGGAGTGCAGTGGTGTGACCTCCATGCACTGCAACCTCCACCTCCTGGGTTCAAGCGATTCTCCTGTCTCAGCTTCCTGAGTAGCTGGGAGTACAGGCACCCACCACCATGGCCAGGTAATTTTTGTATTTTTAGTAGAGACAGGGTTTTGCCATGCTGGCAAGATCTGTCGAACCCGGGAGGTGCAGGTTGCAGTGAGCCAAGATCGCACCACTGCACTCCAGCCTGAGTGACACAGTGAGACTCATCGCAAAAAAAAAAAAAAAAAAAAGATGGATAAACAGTGCCTTCAAATGTGGTAACAGTGAGGACAGGAGTGGTGGCTCACGCCTGTAATCCCAGCACTTTGGGAGGCTGAGGTGGGTGGATCACCTGAAGTCAGGAGATCGAGACCAGCCTGGCCAACATGGTGAAACCCCATCTTTACTGAAAATATAAAAATTAGCAGGGGCTGGGCGCCGTGGCTTATGCCTGTGATCCCAGCACTTTGGGAGGCTGAGGCAGGTGGATCACAAGGTCAGGAGTTCAAGACTAGCCTGGCCAACATAGTGAAACCCCGTCTCTACTAAAAATACAAAAAATTAGCCAGGCGTGGTGGCAGGCACCTATAATCCCAGCTACTCAGGAGGCTGAGGCAGGAGAATTGCTTGAACCTGGGAGGTGGAAGTTGTGGTGAGCCAAGATCACGCCATTGCACTCCAGTCTGGGCAAGAAGAGTGAAACTGTGTCAAAACAAACAAACAAACAAACAAACAAAAATTAGCCGGGTGTGGTGGTGGTTGCCTGTAATCCCAGGTACTTGGGAGGCTGAGGTGGGAGAATCACTTGAATCCAGGAGGTGGAGGTTGCAATGAGCCAATATTGTGTCACTGCACTCCAGCCTGGGCAACACAATGTGACTCCATCTAAAAAAAATAAATAAAATTACAAATACAAATATTAGCTGGGTGTGGTGGTGGGCACCTGTAATCCCAACTACTTGGGAGGCTGAGGCAAAATAATCTGCTGCATCCGGGAAGCAGAGGTTCCAGTGAGGCAAGATCGCACCATTGCACTCCAGCCTGGGTGACAGAGTGAGACTGAGTCTCAAAAAAAAAAAAAGTTTGACAAACAGTGCCTTCAAATGTGGTAACAGTGAGGATGGGAGCAATGGCTCATGCATGTAATACCAGCACTTTGGGAGGTGGGTTGATCACCTGAGGTCAGGAGTTCAAGACCAGCCTGGCCAACATGGTGAAAACCCGTCTCTACTAAAAATAAAAAAATTAGCTGGGTGTGGTGGTGGGCGCCTGTAATCTCAGCTACTGGGGAGGCTAAAGGCAGGAAAATCACTTGAATCAGGGAGGCAGAGGTTGCAGTGAGCTGAGACTGTACCATTGCCCTCCAGTCTGGGCAACAAGAGCGAAACTCTGTCTCAAAAAAAAAAAAGAAAAGAAAAGAAAAAAAATGGTTGTAACAGTGGTTTTACATCGTTAAAATGAATGTTTATTATTTCAATTAAGCTTCTCACCAAGAAGCTTAAGTACTTAAATTATTTACAATTTATCACCCAGTGAGTTTTCCTCTTGGCCCTAGCTGCCAGAAAACTTAAACTCAGCTGAGTGACTGATGGTAGTAAATACTGTACCTACTAACAGTGCTAATTTTCTGCCGCTTTTAAATTGACTATACTATTTTATATTTAATACCATAAACTTACATTATTTTGAGAATAGGCCTTAAATTCTTTTTGAGAAATAGGGAAGTTATGTAAAATAAACATGGGGTTAAGAATTAAATACAGCGAATAGAAATAAATATAATCTGGTGGCTCACACCTGTAATCCCAGCACTTTGGGAGGCTGAGGTGGGAGGATCACTTGAGCCTAGGCGTTCAAGGAGAGCCTGGGAATCATAGGGAGACCCTGTCTTTATGAGAAAAATACATAAATCCATAAATATTTAAAAATGTGTTTCCTGCCCTCCATTCGGCACTGCCTTAACACCAGATACCAATAACATCAACTTGCTAGAATGTTACTCACTACTTTGCTAACTCAGCCTCAGAGTTGACTTTATCACCTTCTCTTACTTGAGGAGGCTTTGAGTCCTGTGGAACCTGGACTGAAAGCCCTCGAGGGAGCTGTTACCACAGGAACCCTTCAGGTTTGCCACTATTAATCACCCATTTTCCTTTACATAAGGGACGAGGGAAAGAAGATGGCTTCAGCCATAAGTTGGTTCATCATCAATGAAAGTAATAGGCAAAACATCTGAATATGGAAAGTAGAATGACATTGCCATTTTGGAAATAGTTTCTCATAGTCAGGATTCACTGTTTTCTTTTTTTTTGAGACGGAGTCTCACTCTGTCACCCAGGCTGGAGTGCAGTGGCGCGATCTCAGCTCACTGCAATGTTGGCCTCCTGGTTCAAGTGATTCTCCTGCCTCAGCCTCCTGAGTAGATGGGATTACAGCCATGTGCCACCCCCTACTAATTTTCTGTATTTTTTGTAGAGACAGGGTTTCACCATGTTGCCCAGGCTGGCCTTGAACTCCTGACCTGAGGTAATCCACTTGCCTTGGCCTCCCAAAGTGCGGGGATTACAGGCATGAGCCACTGCGCTTGGCCATGGATTCACTGTTTTATCTAGAGGACTTTGAAAATTCTCAGGGTAGGGGAAAGCAAGTTTTAGATAAAGATATATTAAATTCAAACAAATCTACTGGTAGAGTGACAGCCAGTTGTTGTAACCACGGTGTTATATAGTTTCAAAATTATAATCAAACAGTTTAGTTCCATTAAGAACATAATTTTATCTACATACCTTCAGTTCATTCATGGAATTGTGTTCTTCAAAATGTTTCTTTTTTCTCTCAATATATTGATCAATGGACTCCATTTCCTTAAAATGAGCTTCATGAAGCTTCTTAAAGTCTAGAATGTTCCAATATAAAAATTAATAACAAAACAAAATCCATTTATTTATCTTCTCTGTGTTTTTCTGTTAACACTTATTCTCTTCTTTGCATCCCTGACATTCAACTTCAATATAATTTTTGCTAAAACATTAATTTCAAAATACTTAGTTTTTGGAAACTCAGGGGCAAAGCACATTCATCTTATAAACTATCAAACATTCACCATCTCCCCACTGACAAATTTCACTAAATTGACATCTTGGTTTAATCCAGAGGATTAGAGTAGAAGATTTATCTTCTCCCCTACCAATTAGTCACAAGTGGTCTTTATTTAATAATGAATTTGATATTTTATAATGCTGTATGTCAAGGACTGACAAATTTATTCTATAAAGGGCTAGATAAAAGTATTTAAGACTTGGCTGGTCATGGTGGCTCAACACCTGTAATCTCAGCACTTTGGGAAGCCAAAGCGGTCAGATCACCTGAGGTCAGGAGTTCGAGACCAGCCTGACCAACATGGAGAAACCCCATCTCTACTAAAAATACAAAAATTAGCCAGGTGTGGTGGCGCACGCCTGTAATCCCAGCTACTCGGGACACTGAGGCAGGAGAATCGCTTGAACCCGGGAGGTGGAGGTTGCAGTGAGCCTAGATTGCGCCATTGCACTCCAGCCTGGGCAACAAGAGCAAAACTTCGTCTCAAAAAAAAAAAGTATTTTAGGCTTTATGGCCACATATGGTATGGTCTCTGTCTCATATTCTTCTTGTTTTTATGTTATTTATTTATTTATTTTGAGACGGAGTCTTGCTCTATTGCCCAGGCTACAGTGCAATGGCATGATCTTGGCTCACTGCAACCTCTGCCTCACAGGTTCAAGCGATTTTCCTGCCTCAGCTTCCCAAGTAGCTGGGGTTAAAGGCACCTGCCGCCACACCTGGCTAATGTTTGTATTTTCAGTAGAGATGGGGTTTCACCATGCTGGCCAGGCTGTTCTCAAACTCCCAACTTCAGGTGATCCAGCCCCCTGGGCCTCCCAAAGTGCTGGGATTACAGGTGTGAGAACCGCACCCGGCCATTCTTCTTGTTTTTAAATTCTTTAAAAAATGTAAAAACCACTCTTAGCTCAAAGGATATAAGACAGGCCAAGGCAGGCAACAGTTTGCTGACCCCAACTGTATCCTATTCTGATTAAGTATATGAACATTTATTGAATTTTGAATATACGATAAGCAGCATTGCAACTACTATAAATATAATAATCAACATTCTATGTGCCAAGCAATGTTCCAACAATATAAGATAGAGAAGACTTACATGCCCAAAAACGGAATCATTTAGACTTATGAAAAACTCATTAGAAGGTGGATATTGTACCAAGTAGTTCATACATTGATTCATCAGTTGTTTATTGAATCCTTGCTGCATGCTATTTGCCGTGATAGGGAAGCAGTAGTGGAAAAAGTATTCTCAATTTATGTATCTATCAACCTGATGAAATAGGTACTATAGGCCAGGCAGAGTGGCTGACGCCTGGAATCCCAGCACTTTGGGAGGCCGAGGCAGGCGGATCATGAGGTCAAGAAGTTGAGACCATGCTGGCCAACATGGTGAAACCCCATCTGTTCTGAAAATACAAAAATCAGCTGGGCGTGGTGGAGCACACCTGTAGTCCCAGCTACTAGGGAGGCTGAGTCAGGAGAATCACTTGAACCTGGGAAGTGGAGGTAGCAGTGAGCCAAGCTCACGCTACTGCACTCTAGCCTGGGTGACAGAGCAAGACTCTGTCTCAAAAAAAAAAAAAAAAAAGAAAGAAATAGGCACTATAGTATAACTATTTCCACTTTGCACTGAGGAAGTGAGTTTATTGAGGATGAGTAAGTTCCCCAAGATATCAAACCTAAAAGACGAGAGAACTAGAATGTAAACTGGTTCCAGCCTCTATGCTTTCAGCTGTTACAGTCCAACATCATTCCGAAGTGGGGCAACCATTACTTATTATGGCTTTGTCTACAAAACTTACTTGGAGTAGTGATTGCAGTTCTTTTATTTTTTCCAGGTTTGGATGACTCATCTGTGTAGAGAGATTTCTTTCCTTCTGAAGGTACCTTTGAATCTCTGTTACCTAAATCCAAAGACACAGAAATAATGAAGGATTTCAAAAAAGTTCTCATTAAGAAATATGTGGCCGGGCACGGTAGCTCACGCCTGTAATCCCAGCACTTTGGGAGGCCGAGGCGGGTGGATCACGAGGTCAGAAGATCAAGACCATCCTGGCTTATAAACTATCAAACCCCATCTCTACTAAAAATACAAAAAGTCAGCCGGGCGTGGTGGTGGGCGCCTGTAGTCCCAGCTACTCGGGAGGTTGAGGCAGGAGAATGGTGTGAACCCGGGAGGCGGAACTTGCAGTGAGCCGAGATCGCGCAACTGCACTCCAGCCTGGGCAACAGAGTGAGACTCCACCTCTAAAAAAACAAAAACAAAAACAAAAACAAAAAAAAAAACGTGTGTAAGTTAACAGAGTATTTTCACATGGTAGGCTCTGTCAAGATGGTGGTAGAAACAGCACATAGGGAGCACAAAAAATTAGTTACAGCATTCCTACGATTACAGGTCATATGCTTCAAGTAGGCATTCAGAAATTTTCTGACACCTGTGGAGAAGTTATATAAACATATTAGAAAGTTGGTCAGGCGCCGCGGTGGCTCCCACCTGTAATCCCAGCACTTTGGGAGGCCGAGGCGGGTGGATCATGAGTTCAAGAGATGGAGACCATCCTGGCCAACATGGTGAAACCCTGTCCCTACTAAAAATACAAAAATGAGCTGGGCGTGGTGGGGCGTGCCTGTAATCCCAGCTACTCAGGAGGCTGAGGCAGGAGAATCGCTTGAACCCAGGAGGTGGAGGTTGCAGTGAGCTGAGATCACGCCACTCTACTCCAGCCTGGCAACAAAGCGAGACTCTGTCTCAAAAAAAATAAATAAATACATAAAATAAAAATACAGAAAGTTGGCCAGGTGCAGTGGCTCATGCCTGTAATCCCAGCACTTTGGGAGGCTGAGGTGGGTGGATGGCTTGAGTCCAGGAGTTTGAGACGAGCCTGGGCAACACAGCAAGACTCTGTCTCTATTTTTTTTTTTTGAGATGGAGTCTCGCTCTTTCGCCCAGGCTGGAGTGCAGTGGCGTGATCTCGGCTCACTGCAAGCTCCACCTCCCGGGTTAAAGCCATTCTCCTGCCTCAGCCTCCCGAGTAGCTGGGACTATAGGCGCCCGCCCCCACACCCGGCTAATTTTTTTTGTATTTTTAGTAGAGACAGGGTTTCACCGTGTTAGCCAGGATGGTTTCCATTTCCTGACCTTGTGATCTGCCTGCCTCAACCTCCCAAAGTGCTGGGATTACAGGAGTGAGCCACCGCGCCCTGCCCTGACCCCGTCTCTATTACTAAAAAATTATTTAATATAAATTAAACATATATATATATATATATATCGGTTAAAACAAACTTTTTCAGTTTTTATTATGAACATAATATTGTTACAACTAGTGATAAAAGTCACGTAATCCAATCAGCCAAAGAAAACACCATTAACGTCTGGCATATTTCCTCTGGTCCTCTGCTTCCTATACTTATTTTGGTTGTTGTCATTTGTTTGTTTTGAGACGGACTCACACTGTCGCCCAGGATGGAGTGCAGTGGCGCGATCTTGGCTCACTGCAACCTCTGCCTCCAGGGTTCAAGAGATTCTCCTGTCTCAGCCTCCTAAGTAGCTGGGATTACAAGTGTGAGCTACCACACCCGGCTAATTTTTGTATTTTTAGTAGAGACAGGGTTTTGTCATGTTACCCAGGCTGGTCTCGATCCTGACCTCAGGTGATCCATCCACCTTGGCCTCCCAAAGTGTTAGGATTACAAGCGTAAGCCACTGCGCCTGGCCTGTTTGCTTCTGTGAAGAGACAAGGTCTCACTACGTTGCCCAGCTGGCCTCAAAATCCTGGGCACAAGTGATACTTCTGCTTCAGCCTCCTGAGTAACTGGGACTACAGGCATGTGCCACTGTAGCCAGCTTATTATTATTATTTTTTAACTTCAGTTGAAATTATGGTATATATTAGGTTAGGTATTTTTTCCCACTTACCATAATCATTTTCCAAATTCTGTCGTTTCTTTATTTTTTTGACCTTAATGGAATTTATTAGGCAAGGATGGAAAAGAACCATTCCAGGCAGAGGGAACAATAGTGATATATAAAGCTGTAGTACAGTGGAAATAATGACATTCAGAGAAACTGAGGTAGGCTGAAATTGCTGAAGTGTAGGGTGCATAAGAGGGAGTGGAGGACGTTGAGAATAGGACAGGTAGCGGGTTAAACCATAAAGGGCCCCGTATAATATGCTATAGAGCTATGAGTCTAATCTTACAAATATAAGAAAGCCTCAATCTTACATCTTTTTCAACTTCAGGCAATCTATTTTAAAAATATGCAATGAGCTTTCATCTCTTTTTAATTATTTTTTTCTTTTCTTTCAACCACTGATTTACAAGCAAGTGGGTTTCCAAGAAATACCATTTCTAAAGTTCTCATCCTTAAGTTTCCCCAATGTATCCGTAAAACAAGGCAGAGGAATGTTCTGTCAGTGTTGGAATGGTCGCAGGGGCTTCTGCTTAGACTTTGGCTATAAAACCAGAAGGTGAAAGTTTCATGAGAAACAGGATATTTGGCAGGGTTTGGTGGCTCACGCCTGTAATCCTGGCACTTTGGGAGGCCGAAGTGGGCCGATCACCTGAGATTAGGAGTTCGAGACCAGTCTGGCCAACATGGTGAAACCCTGTCTCTACTGAAAAAACAAAAACATGGTGGTGCACACATGTAATCCCAGCTACTTGGGAGGTTGAGGCAGTGGAATTGCTTGAGACTGGGAGGCAAAGGTTGCAATGAGCCGAGATCCTGTCACTGTACTCCCGCCTGGGCAACAGAGAGAGACTCTGTCTCAAAACAAAACAAAACAAAGAAAGGATATTTATGTAGAGTAACTCTCCACAGGATACTTACTAATTCCAAGTGGTAAAAGAGTAACTTCACAAAGAAACAACCTAGCAGACACCACCATAACTAACTGATGGAAGTTAACGTGACTAGCCATAGGAAAAACCAGCACTTGTGCCTCCTAGGGTGCTTACTGAGGAAGCAACAGCATTGCTCTTTGGGATTCCTGCCAACAGCCCATAGTCTGATTCTAAGCATGAGGACATATTAGACAAACCAACTCAGAGGACAAAAAACTGGCCTGTATTAAAAAATGCTGGCTGGGCATGGTGACTCACACCTGTAATCCCAGCACTTTAGGAGGCTGAAGTGGGCAGATTACTTGAGCTCAGCAGTTTGAGACCAGCCTGGGCAACATGGTGAAACCCTGTCTCTACTAAAAATACAAAAATTAGCCGGGCGTGGTGGTGCATGCCTATAGTCCCAGGTACTCAGGAGGCTGAGGCTGCAGTGAGCTGAGATCGTGCCACTGTGCTCTAGCCTGGGCAACAGAGCAAGACCCTGTCTCAAAAATAAATAAATAAATAAATAAATAAAAATTAAAAATTACCTGGGAGACTTGTTAAAAACTGAAGATTCCCAAGCCCATCTCAGACCCAAGGAATCCTGTAATTTTCTAGATTCAGTATGACACTCAAAGTTTTAGGGAAAATGAGAAGGCTCAGGATTAGAAATTCCAGATTTAACTGCTTGGTGGATACTGGAATGAATTATCCTCTCTCAGTCTCTCTAACTCCTCCTCTGGCAAGGCTCAGGGCCCTAGCAGATTTGCCCAGGTGAAACTAATACTGAGATATTTTATTTTCATTTATTTATTATTATTTTTTATTTTTTAAGAGCAGAGGTTTAGTAGGCAAAAGAAAGCGAAAGGAAGGCCGGGTGCGGTGGCTCACGCCTGTAATCTCAGCACTTTGGGAGGCTGAGGTGGGTGGATCACGAGGTCAGGAGTTCGAGACAAGCCTGGCCAACATGGTGAAACCCCGTCTCTATTAAAAATACAAAAATTAGCTGGGCCTGGTGGCACGAGCCTGTAATCCCAGCTACTTGGGAGGCTGAGGCTGGAGAATCGCTTGAACCCAGGAGGTGGAGGTTGTAGTGAGCCAAGATCGTACCATTGCAACTCCAGCCTGGGCAACACAGCAAGACTCTGTCTAAAAAAAAAAAAAAGAAATTCTATAACATGGTGCTATGGGTTGAATTGTGGCCCCCTAAAAGATATGTTGAAGTCCTAACCACTGGTACCTGTCATATGACCTTATTTAGATATGGGAATTTTTTTTCAGATGTATTAAGGTTAAAATGACATCATTTGGATGTTCTTTTAATTTTTTGAGATAGGGTCTCACTCTGTCCATGCTGGGGTGAAGTGGTATGAAGATGGCCCACTGCAGCCTTAACCTCCTGGGTTCAAGCAACCCTTTCACCTCAGCCTCCTGAGTAGCTGGGACCACAGGTGTGCACCATCATGGCTGGCTGATTCTTTTGACTTTTTGTAGAGACAGGGTCTCACCATGTTGCCCAGGCTGGTCCTGAACTCCTAGGCTCAAGCAATCCTCCTGACTTGGCTTCCCAAAGTAATGGGATTATAGGCACCAGCCACTATGCTTGGCCTATTTGGGTGGATCCTAATCCAATATGACTGCTGTCCTATTAAGAAGACATAGAGAGAGAATGTCATGCGCTGTCAGAGCCAGAGACTGGTAATGATGCAGCTGCAAGCCAAGGAACACCAAGCGTCGACAGCCATCGCAAAGTAGTCAGAGGCAAGGAAGGAGTCCACCCAGAGTCTCAGAGAAGCATGGTCCTGCTGACACATTGATTTTGGACTTCCAGCCTCTAGAACTATGAAAGAGTAAATTTCTGTTGTTCTAAGCTGCCCAGTTGTGGTGCTTTGTCACAACAGTCCTAGGAAATTAATGTACCTGGCTACTTCTAGCAATTTTGGTTTTTAAAGTTACTTGACATACCATTTATTCCACGTTTACCTGAGGAAACAGCATTCTCAGCTTCTTGGTGCTCGTCTGGTGGAGAAGGAACTTTTGCAGTAGCTCTGAGATCCTGGCTTTCCTGCTTTTCATGATTCTGGAATTCAGTGGGATTACTTATTTTTATCTCTGAATGATTCTGCTACAAATTTAAAAAGGAAATAAAAGATTTCGATGATAAATAAGAATTGCTGCCTTCCAAAGATAAGTACCAAAGTGAGGGGGAAAAGGGGTTAAAGGAAGAAAAGTAGGAGAATGAGATTTTTGGTGGCAGATTTGGTTCTCTGCCTTATCAACTGTCACGAGAATGTAAATTTGAGAACAGGAGATACTAGGGCACATTAAGAGGAAAATAGAAATGGCAAGATTAGCTCTGTTAGCAAGGACAAATGAAGAAACCTAGACAGTCTACTGAGCAAGTGACTACATTGAGGCAGAAATTTAAATAATAATAAGTACTGCATTTATTCACTCCAAGAAAAGTAAAAACTAAGGCCCAGAATGTGGCAAGGCAAGAGTTAAAAAGAAAAGAACAAGTTTTCCTCTGCCTAGTAGCTCACTTTGAAGACAGTTAGAAGATAACGCTGTCCAAATAGCCAAGGCCAAAGGAATAAGCTCCAGACACCACCCTCCCCCCGACCCCTGGTTCCAGAGCAAGGTTGAAAGAAAAAAAAAAGAGAAATACAAGTTCTTTTAATGTTACTCTTTTCCCGGGCTTCTTAAGCATGATTAGCATGATTATGTTTTACAAATGTCTGTATTTAGCCAGTTCTTGTTTTTCTTTTAATGCAGCTACAAGGCCACTGGCTAAGTCACAAGTTATGTTACGCTATAGATTATGTAACCTGTTACTGTATGATTAATTGCTTTTATTTTGCTTCTGTAAAGCCACTTATAAAAACCCGCTCAGTCTTTGTTCAAGGCTCAGCTTTTAGATGTGAATCCTCCGAGCCGGTGCGTGCCTAAAATAAACAAATCCTCCTGTACTCCGTATTAGTCTCTCCGTTCCTCAGTTTACTGCAACAATATGAACATAGAAAAGAAAATTAAGACTGTGTTTCAGGGCTGGGCATGGTGGCTCACACCTGTAATCCTAGCACTTTGGGAGGCCGAGGTGGGTAGAGCACCAGAGGTCAGGAGTTCAAGATTAGCCCAGCCAACATGGTGAAATCTCGTCTCTACTAAAAATACAAAAATTAGTTGGGCGTGGTGGTGGCCACCTGTAATCTCAGCTACTCAGGAGGCAGAGGCAGGAGAATTGCTTGAACCTGAGAGGTGGAGGTTGCAGTAAGCTGAGATGGTGCCATCACACTCCATACTGGGCAACAAGAGTGAAACTCTGTCTCAAAAAAAAAAAAAAAAAGAAAAGAAAAAAGAAAAAAAAGACTGTGCTTTGTAAAAATTACATTTGAATAAAAGGATAAGATAAAAGAATAAAACCAGAGTCTACGGAAAGCAAGCGAGGGAAGCCCCTTGCTAATCATGTGATCACACTGCTGAAAGACTAAGTACAGGGTGATCACCAGGCCAGGGACAAGGTAGGAAGGAGAATTTAAACAAACGAAAAAACAACAAAAAACACATTTAATGCTTGTTTCTCTTTCCTTCCTACCTACTACACCTCACTTAAGTGAACACTCAATGAATGTTCATATTTATACAACAAATATTTAATGTGAGCTTAATACTTAAAAAGTGCTTCCTGAGGCCCAAGCCCTGGGATGCAGTGATGAGCAGCTGGACTTGGGTCTGGGCTTTCATGGAGCTTACAGCACACAGTAACCTTACAAACACATGACATCACATGGGAATTTAAAAAGAAATCTCCATAAAAGTATGCCAATTTTGGCATAGGTGGTTTATTTTCAGTTTGTATATTTCCATTCACCTGTGAGTCAGGGTCCACACGGACAGTCTTGCACCTTCTCCTTGTTTTGGTGACATGGCCAAGTGGCTGTCTCTCAGCTTCTTCCTGGTTGCTGATCTGTATCTCAGTCTCATCACAAGAGGATGCAGAAGTTTGACTTTCATCCTGAAAAGAGAGGTATTAATCTGCTATGTGCTATGTCTACAGTTATAATGCTCAGGAAGAATCAGAATTGAGACAGAATAAAAAACATATTACATATGCAAAAGAAAAAATTTAAAACTCTCTAGCGGTAAATTGTAGGCAAAGACAAGAATTATAGAGTATTTAGGCCAGGCACAGTGGCTCACGCCTGTAATCCCAGCACTTTGGGAGACCGAGGCGAGTGGATCACCTGAGGTTAGCGAGACCAGCCTGGTTGACATAGTGAAACTCCATCTCTACTAAAAATAGAAAATTACCCGGGCATGGTGGTGCATGCCTGTAATCCCAGCTACTTGGAAGGCTGAGGCAGGATAATCACTTGACCCGGCAAGGGGAGGTTGCAGTGAGCCAAGATGGCGCCATTGCACTCCAGCCTGGGCAACAAGAACGAAACTCCGTCTCAAAAACAAACAAGCAAACAAACAAACAAACCCTTATAGATTATTTAAAAAGAAATAATCACACTTAGCAACCCAAATTAATAAATTAGGGTAGTAAAGTATTCAAAGTTATTTTAGTGTGAATAAATACAGAAATTGGGCCAGGTGCAGTGGTTCACACCTGTAATCCCAGCACTTTGGGAAGCTGAGGCAGGTGGATCACTCGAGCCCAGGACTTTGAGACCAGCCTGGGCAACATGGCAAAACCCCATCTCTACTTAAAATTATTAAAAATGTATTAAGCCGGGCCAGTGGCTCACACCTGTAACCCCAGCATTTTGGGAGGCCAAGGCTGGTGGATCACCTGAGGTCAGGATTTCGAGACCAGCCTGGCCAACACAGTGAAACCCTGTCTCTACTAAAAATACAAAAATTAGCCAGGCGTGGTGGCAAGTGCCTGTAATCCCAGTTACTCAGGAGGCTAAGCCAGGAGTTATATTTTGTATTATCTTCATTTCCTTTAGGGTCATCTTTTTCTTTCTTTCTTTCTTTTTTAGAGACAAGGTCTTGCTCTGTTGCCTAGGCTAGATTACAGTGGCTTGATCTAAGTTCACTGCGGCCTCAATTTCTGGAGCTCAACTGACCCTCCCACCTCAGCCTCCCAATCAGCTGGGTCCACAGGTATGTGTTACCACACGTAAGCTAATTGTTTTAATTTTGTAGAAATGGGGTCTCACTATGTTGCCCAGGCTGGTTGTGAACTCCTAGGCTGAAGTCATCCTCCTGCCTTGGCCTCGCAAAATGTTGGGATTACACACGTGAGCCTCTATGCCCAGTCCGTTTTCTTTCTTTTTTTTTTTTTTTTGAGACGGAGTCTCACTCTGTTGCCCAGGCTGGAGTGCAGTGGCATGATCTTGGCTCACTGCAAGCTCCACCTCCTGGGTTCATGCCATTCTCCTGCCTCAGCCTCTTGAGTAGTTGGGACTACAGGCGCCCGCCACCACGCCTGGCTAATCTTTTGTGTTGTTAGTAGAGACGGGGTTTCGCCTGTTAGCCAGGATGGTCTCGATCTGTTGACCTTGTGATCCGCCCACCTCAGCCTCCCAAAGTGCTGGGATTACAGGAGTGAGCCACCGCACCCGGCCATGTCTATTCATATTTCATAGCAAATCAGGAAAAACCTCATTAGGAGCTTGAGTGTGCAGGAAATGTGTGTTATTTGGCAGGATTCCTTGGTTAGGGAGGAGGCCATTATGCTGGTGGTTCCTTGAATGCCCAAAGGCAGGAGCCTTTGTCTGATAACTATTTAATTTCCTTAATGAGAAATCTTCCAATATTTTAGAGGGTAGGAGACATCTGGTAGACTGATTACAGGCAGTCTACCAGATGTCTATTTCACTATTAGTAGTCAGTCAATTTCACTATTATGGCCACAGGCCATCCCTTGATAGTCTATTTATTTGGCTTGAGGTTTAGTGAGGCCTATCATCAGTATTTTTTTTGTTTTGAGACAGAGTCTAGTTCTGTTGCCCAGGCTGGAGTGCAGTGCTATAATCTCGGCTCACTGCAATCTCCGCCTCCCAGGCTCAAGCAATTCTCCTGCCTCAGCCTTATGACTAGCTGGGATTACAGGTACATGCCACCATGCCCAGCTAATTTTTGTATTTTAGTAGAGACGGGATTTCACCATTTTGGCCAGGCTGGTCTCGAACTCCTGACCTCAGCTGATCCACCCACCTTGACCTCCCAAAGTGGTGGGATTACAGGCGTGAGCCACTGTGCCTGGCCATACATCAGTATTTATTTATTTATTTATTTATTTATTTATTTATTTATTTATTTATTTATTTTTGAGACGGGGTCTGGCTCTGTTGCCCAGGATGGAGTGCAATAGCACAATCTTGGCTCATTGCAACTTCTGGCTCCTGAGTTCAAGCGATTCTCCTGCCTCAGCCTCCCGAGTAGCTGGGACTACAGGTGCGTGCCACCACACCCGGCTAATTTTTGTATTTTTAGTAAAGATGGGGTTTCACCATTTTGGCCAGGATGGTTTTGATCTCTTGACCTCGTGATCCACCCACCTCGGCCTCCCAAAGTGCTGGGATTACAGGCCTGAGCCACCGCACCCAGCCATCCGTATTTTTAAAAAGTTCCCCAGCCTAGGCAACATAATGAGACCCCAGTCTCTACAAAAAAAATTTCTTAAAAAGTAACAAGGTGTAGTGAGTGTGCCTGCAGTTCCAGCTACTTATGAGGCTGAAGTGGGAGGACTGCTTGAGGTCAAGCCAAAAGCAAGCCATGATTATGCCACTGCACTCCAGCCTGGGTGATAGAGTGAGACCCCATCTCAAAAATAAATAATTAAGAAAAAATATATAAAAAAATATAAAATATATCTGTTGGGAATGAAAGAATAAAGCTTAAAGAATAGAAGGACTGGCTGGGTGTGGTGGCTCACGCCTATAATCCCAGGACTTTGGGAGGCCAAGGTGGGCACATCACTTGAGGTCAGGAGTTCAAGACCAGTCTGGCCAACATGGTAAAACCTCCACTCTACTAAAAACACAAAAATTAGCTGGGCATGGTGGTGTGCATCTGTAATCCCAGTTACTCAGGGCAAGACTCCATCTCAAAAAAAAAAAGAATAAAAGGCCTTAACCAGAGGTAAAATATTACAGAAGTGGAATAGTTCCAAGTGTTGTAAGGTCTAGGATATGCCCAGAGAAGTAGACGGTTGATAAAGAGCAAAAACAAAGATCACTAGCATTAAGGGACAAGGAGGCCACAGTAGTAAGAAGAGACATCCAGATGGACCTTTGAACTTGTCCAAAATAAGATGAAGACATGAGGAAATGATGACAATGAGACAGAGAACACTAGAGAGTAACTAGGAGCTCAGCAGATGGGAGATTAAAATAGGTAAGCATATGCGGTGGCTCACCCCTGGAATCCCAGCACTTTGGGAGGCCGAGGTGGGAGGATCACCTGAGGTTGGGAGTTTGAGACCAGCCTGACAAACATGTGAAACCCCGTCTCTACTAAAAATACACAATTATCCGGGTGTGGTGGCGCATGCCTGTAATCCCAGCTACTCAGGAGGCTGAGGCAGGAGAATCGCTTTAACTCAGGAGGTGGAGGTTGCGGTGAGCCGAGATCGTGTCATTGCACTCCAGCCTGGGCAGCAAGAGTGAAACTCAGAAAAAAAAAAAAGAAAGAAAAAAATAGGTGATCATAAATTTCAAAGGAGAAGAGATTTTTTTTCCCTTTATCTTTGGCCTTTTCAAGATGAGCTAAAAAAGGAGCAGGGGTTTTTACATGAGAATAGAAAAATGTGGATCCCACTTTCCAACTCCCTGATAGTCACGGAGAAGAAAGTAAAAGAGGAGAAACTGGCAGAGCGTCTGTAATCCCAGCACTTTGGGAGGCAGAGGTAGGCAAACTACTTGAGCCCAGGAGTTTGAGACCAGCCCGGGCAATATTGTGAAACCCCGTCTCTACTAAAAATACAAAAAATAGCCAGGAATGGTGATACAAGGCTGTAGTCCCAGCTACTCAGGGGAGTGAGGCAAGAGGATCACTTGAGCCTGGGGGGTCCAGGCTGCAGTGAGCCCTGATTGTACCACTGCACTCCAGCCTGGGTTAGAGTGAGACCCTGTCTCAAAAAAAAGTAAGAGAAATTGTTTCCATGTATTAGGTTGGTGCAAAAATAAGTGCGGTGGTTTTTTTTTCTTTTTTTCGGAGACGGAGTCTCATTCTGTTGCCTAGGCTGGAATGCAGCGGCGTAATCTTGGCTCACTGCGACATCTGAATCCCAGGTTCAAATAATTCTCCTGCCTCATCCTCTTGAGTAGCTGGGAGTACAGCTGTGTGCATCCATGCTCGGCTAATTTTTGTATTTTTAGTAGAGACGGTGTTTTGCCATGTTAGCCAGGCTGGTCTTGAACTCCTGACCTCAGGTGATCCACCCGCCTTGGCCTTCCGAAGTGCTGGTATTACAGACGTGAGCCACTGTGCCCAGCCTGGTTTTTGTCATTTTTTTTTGAGACGGAGTCTCGCTTTGTCGCCCAGGCTGGAGTGCAGTGGCATGATCTCGGCTCACTGCAAGCTCCGCCTCCTGGGTTCACTCCATTCTCCTGCCTCAGCTTCCCTAGTAGCTGGGACAACAGGCGCCCACCACCACGCCTGGTTAGTTTTTTGTATTTTTAGTAGAGACAGGGTTTCACCGTGTTAGCCAGGATGGTCTTGATCTCTTGACCTCATAATCCACCCGCCTCAGCCTCCCAAAGTGCTGGGATTACAGGTGTGAGCCACCGCGCCTGGCCTGGTTTTTGTCATTTTTTAAAGTAATGGCAAAAACCACAATTACATTTGCACCAACCTAGAAGCAGTACCTTTGAGTTACACATGTTGCTGGAATATAAAGAGACAATTTTTAGTTGTTGTTTCTTTTTTTTTTTTTTTTTTTGAGATGGAGTCTCATTCTGTCTCCCAGGGTGGAGTGCAATGGTTTGATCTCTGCTCACTACATCTGCCTCACGGATTCAAGTGATTCTCCTGCCTCAGCCTCCTGAGTAACTGGGACTGCAGGTGTACACCACCATGCCCAGCTAATTTTTGTATTTTAGTAGAGATGGGGTTTCACCATGTTGGCCAGGCTGGTCTCAAACTCCTGACCTCAAGTGATCCACCCACCTCGGCTTACCAAAGTGCTGGGATTACAGGTGTGAGCCACTGCGCCTGGCCTATAATTTTAATTTCAAATGGCACTACAATCATGTACCCTTAACCATAAAAAAGAAATTGATATAGAAACTTTTAAAGCTAGAATTCAAAAATAGTTCTTGTCTATTTTCAGTTAATTAAAGCCTGGAATCAAAAATAAATTTGACGCCAGGTGCGGTGGCTCACACCTGTAATCCCAGCACTTTGGGAGGCTGAGGCAGGTAGATCAACTGAGGTCAGGAGTTTGAGACCAGCCTGGCCAACATGGTGAAACCCCATCTCTACTAAAAATACAAGAAAATGGGCCGGGCATGGTGGCTCACCCCTGTAATCCCAGCACTTTGGGAGGCCGAGGTGGTGGGATCACCCGAGGTCGGGAGTTTGAGACCAGCCTGACCAACATGGAGAAACCCTGTGTCTACTAAAAATACAAAATTAGCTGGGTGTGGTGGTGCATGCCTGTAATCCCAGCTACTCAGGAGGCTGAGGCAGGAGAATTGCTTGACCCCAGGAGATGGAGGTTGCAGTGAGCTGAGAACACACCACTGCACTCCAGCCTGGATGACAGCAAGATTCTGTCTCAACAACTACAACAACAAAAAGAATAAAAGAATCTTGGCTCTAATGGGGCACTCATTCATCCGTTTAGGAGTCATGCCTTATCAAAAATCTTTGCTGTGGGTCTGAAGCGGCCATGACAACTCCCATCAGCCATCAGCAGTGTTTTATAGCTTACAAGTCACTTTCACAATCCCTACTTCATGTGATGCTCACAACACTCAGTTCAGCAGAACAGATATTATTTCCATTTTAAAGAAGAGGAGTTTGAGTTTTCTAATGTTGCAGAGAAATAAATGAGAGCTGGTACTTGACCAAGGTGTTTCTGATTTCAAATCCAGTTCCCTCTCTACTTAAATCATGCCATCTCTCGTAGTACTTGGCAACTAGTACTCAGCCTTTGTATCTGTGTAAAAACATGTTATTCAACAGATTACTTGGCGCAAAACAGTTTCACCATTCACAACAGCAGATAGTTAATCTGAAAGGATTCAGTCCTTGGCACTATTACCAATAATGATCTCTTTTTTAATAAACAGCATATCTTTTTTTTTGTTTTTTGAACGGAGTCTTGCTCTGTCACCCAGGCTGGAGTACAGTGGCGCGATCCTGGCTCACTGCAACCTCCACCTCCCGGGTTCAAGCAATTCTCCCTGTCTCAGCCTCCTGAGTAGCTGGGATTACAGGCTCCCGCCACCACATCTGGCTAATTTTTGTATTTTTAGTAGAGACGGGGTTTCACCATGTTGGCCAGGCTGGTCTCGAACTCCTGGACTCAAGTGATCCGCCTGCCACTGCCTACCAAAGTGCTAGGAGTATAGGCGTGAGCCACAACACCTGGCCAACAGCATGTCTTAAATCATCACTAGTTGTGTGTTAATTGCCCATTAACCAAATATGATTATTTTGCTAGCTAACAGGTAAACATGAAAAACATTACTCACCTGATTCTCATTTCCTTTTCTTGCCTCATGTTTAATGTAGCCTTTCAAGGCTTTTAACAACTTGGTTGCCTGCAAGAGAGACCTTATTATTAGAGCCAAAAGTCAAATAAACAAGGAAGATACGTTGAATATTTTTTGCTGTTCTTGTATTCATTAAATGTACTCTGGTCAGACCATAGGACTAGAACCATTACTTAGAAAGAATGGGTCTCTGCTCTAAGGAATTTCACATCTGAGTGGGAAAGTTAGACAAGGAAAGAGGCAATTGCAATACAGTGGGGTAAATGCCCACGCTAGGAGGCTCAGGCTGTCATGAGAACATAGGTAGGCATGGCCATCAAAGTTGGGACTGCTAGGTTAGACTTCAGCAAGTATCTGCACAGGGCAGTTCTCAGATAAAGATGTGATGTCTCTAATTGCTGAGATCTGAAGGATGAAGAGAAGGTAGAGAAAGAGGTAGAGGAATGGCACAGCAAGGCAACAATGAGGGTGGAGTTTGAAGAACTTAAGTTCAGTGTGGCTGGAACATGGACCTGTTTGTAGGAGATAGTAAGAGACAATGTTGGGAAAGTGAGCAGGGCCGTGATGTTACCAGGCCTTGTAAGCCTTTAAAGAGTATGAACTTTACTCTCAGAGAAAAGGGCAGTCTCTGAAGAGTTTGCAGCAAGGCAGTGGGTGACCAATTTTGCATTACTCAGAATGAGTAGTCTACCTGCACAATGTGCAAGATGCATTTGATGGGGATGAGCCAGAAATGCTGTGGCCTGAACTGGAGCGGGGCTAAGGCAGTATGGATGAAGTCAAAACCTTCTTAGGAAGTGAAATCAGTGTGAACATGAGAGTTGAGGAAGAGGGAAACTTTGTTATGCCAACGTTTCTGGCTTGGACAGCTGGTGAAGTGTGGTACGGTCCCTAAGATGAGGAATGCAAAAGGTGACGGGGTCTTAGGGGGATGGTTGTAGGTCTCTGCCGGGGGAAGGGAACACTGAGCTTCTCTTCCCAGCCTAGGAAAACCTCCCTTCTTGTTCTTTCCTGAAAGAACAATGTTAATTTGATTGGTTACATTTTCCTGTGCTTTAAAAGTCAAGTTTGGTTGAGCGGGGTGGCTCATGCCTGTAATTCCAGCACTTTGGGAGGCCGAGGCAGGTGGATCACGAGGTCAGGGGTTTTAGACCAGCCTGGCCAACATGGTGAAACCCCGTCTCTAATAAAAAAACAAAAATTAGCCGGGCATGGTGGTGTGTGCCTGTAGTCCCAGCTACTTGGGAGGCTGAGGCAGAAGAATTGCTTGAACCCAGGAGGCGAAGGTTGCAGTGAGCCGAGGAGATGATGCCACTGCACTCTAGTCTGGGCGATAGAGCAAGACTCCGTTTAAAAAACAAAAGTCAAGTTTTTTGGTTGGGTTCTTTTTTTCTTCCTCTTCCACCCAGCCATGCAGTTGAGGGCCACAGCCATCCTTCTCAAGGTGGGCCCAGCCACCAGGCTTGGCTCTATTCTTCTCATGCCTTTTATCATGGGCCATGTGTCCAGTAGAGAATAGCAGAGATCCTGAAATTTGGTTTGTGCTCAAGCTTTTGCTTGTGGTGCAAGCCTAAGCCACAGTCTCCAATCCACTTTACCAGAATGCTCTGCATCAAGATATCAGGCACTATTTCAGCTAGTAATAAAGTGGTACCTTATTTTCTACTTGTTCCTTGAACCACCCTTGAGGTTTTCTCTGGGAAGGGGATGATTGGCAGGGCAGAATTCAGGCATTCTTGATTTTTCTAATACTCTCTTAATATACCTTCAAAATCTCACCAAACATACAAAAATGCATGAAGTGAGGCACCTGTGGCAGAACCCAGTGAGGAGGTTGAATGATATGAGGTGGTGTTCAAGAGTTGTGCTGAAGGTGCAGATGTTAGTTATCAGCATATATTCATGCATTCCTTCAACAAGCATTTATTGTGCTGGGCACTGTTCCAGACACTAGAGAGTGATTAATTAAACAGACAAGGTGATTGCCCTCCAGGATCTTCTAGCAGAGGTGAAACAGTTACCCAAGAAAGCTAGAAATGAATGATATGACGTCAGGTATTATGATGCAAAAATAAAACTGGGCAACTGGGGTGGGGTGGGGATGCTACCTGAATTAGGATGGCTGGGAAAGGCCTCCCGAGATGTGAATGAGGAAAGAGGCAGCAGGTGAAGAGCACTCCGAGCAGAGCGAGCGCCAAGAACAGGAGCCCTGAGGTGGACTCATGAGTTGAAAGACAGAAACTGCCCTTATGGTAGAAGTATGGTGAACACTGAGGTATATGGAGGGCAGGGAGATCAGAGATGTGACCAGAGGCTGGGTCAAGTAGAGAGGTAAAGGCCACAGCAAAAATTATGAATTTCAGCCAGGTACAGTGACTAATGCCTGTAATCCTAGCACTTTGGGAGGCCGAGGCAGGAAGATCACCCAAAGTTAGGAGTTCAAGACCAGCCTGGCCAACAGGGTGAAACCCCATGTCTGCAAAAAATAGCTGGGCGTGGTGGTGGGCACCTGTAGTCTGAGCTACTCAGGAGGCTGAGGCGGGAGAATCACTTGAACCTGGGAGGTGGAGGTTGCAGTGAGCCGGAATCGCACCACTGCACTCCAGCCTGGGTGACAAGAGCGAAAGTCTGTCTCAAAAAAAATAAAAAAATAGAAAAAAAATTAATTTCTTCCCCTAAATTGTTATTAGAAAAAAAGTCAGGCCTATAGAAAAGTCAAAGTAGGCTGGGTGTGGTGGCTCACGCCTGTAATCCCAGCACTTTGGGAGGCCTGAGGCAGTCAGATCACCTGAGTTCAGGAGTTCCAGACCAGCCTGAACAATATGGAGAAACCCTGTCTCTACTAAAAATACAAAATTAGCTGGGCATGGTGGCACATGCCTGTAATCCCAGCTACTTGGGAGGCTGAGGCAAGAGAATTGCTTGAATCCAGGAGGTGGAGGTTGCAGTGAGCTGAGATCATGCCGTTGCATTCTAGCCTGGGCAACAACAGCGAAACTCCGTCTCAAAAAAAAAAAAAAAAGAAAAGTCGAAGTAATGTAATAAACACTCATATTTCCCACCAAGATTCAATAGTCATTTGCATTGTCTCATATTTGGTTTCTCTATATTAATATATAATTCTTGTGAAAGAATTTGAAAATAAGTTCCAGACATCATGATTCTTTACCACTAAATATATCAGCCACATCTCCTAAAAATAAGAGATTTCCCCACATGATCCTCTAATGCATTAGTGTACTCAGGAAAAGCAATAATTTCCTAATATCACCTAATATGTGGCCCATAATGAAATTTCCTTCTCTCCAATTTTAGCTATTTTCTTTTTAAAAAAATTTCCCTCCAAATCAGGGTCAAACTAAGTTTCTCTCATTACACTGGAAAGAGTTTAGATTTTATTTTAGATGTGAGGGAAGTCATTGGAGGGCACTGAGCAGAAAGACACGTTCTAAGTTTATTTTTTTTTTTGGAGACAGAGTCTCGCTCTGTCGCCCAGGGTGGAGTGCAGTGCCGTGATCTTGGCTCACTGCAGCCTCCACCTCTCAGGTTGAAGGGATTTTCGTGCCTCATCCTCCCGAGTAGTTGGGATTATAGGCACATGCCACCACGCCTGGCTAATTTTTGTATTTTTTTTTTTTTTAGTAGAGACGGGGTTTTGCCATGCTGGCCAGGCCGGCCTTGAACTCCTGGCCTCAAGTGATCCACCCACCACGGCCTCTCAAAGTGCTGGGATTACAGGTATGAGCCACTGCGCCTGGCGCCTGGTCTCTCTCTCTTTTTTTTCTTTTCCCTAAGTTTCAAATATCACTCCAACTACCAAGAGAACACTATTGTGAGGTAAGAGTTGAGGCAGGAAGCCCAATAGGGAGACTGAGGCAGTGGTCAGGAGATGAGAGTGCTGTGGCACAGGTTTGCAGCGCTGGAGATGGTGCCCAGAGGTCAGATTTCAGGTCTATTTAGGAGGAGGTGCTGACAAGAATGGATGGCTGTGGGTGAAGAAGAGAGGAATCCAGGGTGATCCAAACTGGGCCTGAACAATGTACTGAGATGGGGAAGAGACTGTCAATGCTTGGACCTGACCGTGTTGTTGAAAATGCACTTAAATACACGAGTCAGCATCCCAGGGGAGAGAGAGGTCCTACTGGAGATGTGGGTTTGGGAGGCATTAGCTTTTGGGTAAATTTTAACTTATGGGAATGGGCCGGACGCAGTGGCTCATGCCTGTAAACCCAGCACTTTGGGACGCCAAGGCAGGTGGATCACTTGAGGTCAGGAGTTTGAAACCAGCCAGGCCAACATGGTGAAGTCCTGTCTCTACTAAAAATACAAAAAAATTAGCTGGGCATGGTGGCAGGCACCTATAATCCCAGGAACTCGGGTGGCTGAGGCAGGAGAATCGCTTGAACCTGGGAAGTGGAGGTTGCAGTGAGCCGAGATTGCGCCACTGCACTCTAGCCTGGGTGACAGAGCAAGACTGTGACTCAAAAAAAAAAAAAAAAAAAGAAAAAAGAAAAGAAAAAAAAATGGGGTGGATAAGATCACCGAGGGATAGAGCATAGTTAGAGAAAAGACAACCAGGAAGAGAGCCCTGGGGGCACTCCACATTTAGAGATCTGGCAGATGAAGAACCAACCAAGGAGACTAGAAAGAAGTGCTAGTAAGGCAGGACAGCGTGAAATATCAAAGCCTAGAACAGAAAGTGCCTGGAGCAGAGGGGAATGTTCAATCATGCCAAATGCTACTGATAGGCACAGGTGAGGGGAGAGAGGGAACACAAGCTTTGTAAGATGGCGACCTTAATAAAGCAATTTCAGTAGAAAAGAACAGAGAAATAGGGCAGTAGATGGAATGAGGACATGGGATCAGGAGAGGATTTTGGCTTTTTTATTTTTTTAAAAGATGGGTGATAGTAAAACATGATTGCATGCCTTATGGCAAATAAGCTAGCAGAGTGGAGAAATTAATGAGGAGAGAGGCTCTAATTGTAGGAATGTAGTCCTAGGGGAAGCAAGAGGGCCCAGGATCTTCAGCATAAATGGAAAGGTTGCCCTTAGACAGGCAAAGAAGCAGAGTATGTGGATGTAGATGCAGGGTGGCTAAAAGGTTTGGTGGTGGGGCCAAGCCTAGGGTCTCACGCCTGTAATCCCAGCACTTTGGGAGGCCAAGGCGCGAGGATCGCTGAATCTCAGGAGTTGGAGACCAGACAGGGCAACATAGTCAGACCTCATCTCTACTAAAATTCAAAAAAACACTGGCCAGGCAGGGTGGTCATGCCTGTAGTCCTAGCTACTCAGGGGGCTGCGGTGGGAGGATTGCTTGAGCCCGGGAGGTTGAGGCTGCAGTGAGTCCTGATTGTGCCACTGCACTCCAGAGAACTCCAGGCTGGCTGACAGAGCAAGACCCTGTCTCAAAAAAAAAAAAAAAAAAAAAAAAAGAAAAGGAAAGGAAAAAAAGGGGGGGATTTGGTGGTTGAACGATAAGGCAGTTTTCTGTTGATTGCATCTATTTTCCCATGACCTATGAGGTAAAGTCATCAAGGGAGGGAAGGGAACCAAGTTGAGTCAAGATGATAAAAAGTAATTATCCTCAAAAGTAGGAAAGTTCATGACTAAGAAGAAAATGGGCCAGGTGTGGTGGCACGTGCCTGTAATCCCAGCTACTTAGGAGGCTGAGGTGGGAGGATGTCTTGAACCTGAGAGGTTGAGGCTGCAGTGAGGCCTGATTGTGCCACTGCAGCCTAGGCAACAGAGCGAGACCTTATCTCAAAAAAAAAAAAAAAAAAAAACCAAAAGGAGGAGGATCAAATGCCCATATTAAGGTTTAGCGTTGCATATTTAAAATAAGTTCGCTCAACAAAGTTAGGTGTTTTCTCCAACTAGAGTTAGCTGCAGAGGTATAGGCAAAGATTAAGCACATAGCTGGGTTTAATCAGGCTTGGGTTTTGCCAGGTGAGTATAGGGAGGTGCAAGGAAGTGGAAATAGTGCCAGTGTTTGTAATTTAAGCTCGCAAGAAAGGAAGTGAGGGCATGAGTGACAACAGGACCAGTCGCCCCACTAACATTAATAACTGGCTCCTTCAAATTGCTATACCATTAAGAGAAGTCTCTCAAAAGAGGGAATATTATCTCCTATATATTTATTATTATTATTATTATTATTATTATTTTTAGACGGAGTTTCGCTCTTGTTGCCCAGGCTGGAGTGCAATGGTGTGATCTTGGCTCACTGCAGCGTCTGCCTCCCTGGGTTCAAGCAATTCTCCTCTCCTGCCTCAGCCTCCCGAGTAGCTGGGATTACAGGTGCCCCCTGCCACGCCTGGCTAAATTTTGTATTTTTAGTATAGATGGGGTTTTGCCATGCTGGCCAGTCTGGTCTCAAACTCCTGACCTCAGGTGAGACACCTGCCTTGGCCTCCCAAATGCTGGGATTACAGGTGCAAGCCACCATGCCCGGCCATAAATTTATTTTTAATAATATCATACTAGTAAAATTATCAAGATTTGATTAAAATAAAACATTACAATTTAAATAAATTTTACTAGTACAAATATACTAGTATACATAAAAATATAGTATATTTAGTATATTTATATTTATACTGGTATAATATAGTATATTTAGTATATTTATACCAGTATAATATAGTATATTAGTATATTTATACCGGTATAAATATAGCATATTTAGTATATTATACCGGTATAAATATAGTATATTTAGTATATTTATACTAAACATACATACTATATTTAGTATATTTATATTTAGTATATTTATATATTTAATATATTTATATATAGTATATTTAGTATATAGTATATTAAGTATAGTATTTATATTTATTTATAGTATAATATATTTAGTATATTAAATATATTTAGTATACATATTAGTATATATAGTATATTTAGTATATAGTATATCTATACTAAATATATATACTAATACACACTAAATACTAAATATGTAAATTTAGTATATTTATATAGTATATTTATAGTATATTTATCTAGTACATATAGTATATTAATATAGTATATTTAGTATATATAGTATATTTATATATTTAGTTTATTTTAGTGTATTTAGTATATTTAGTATCCTAGTATATTTATATATACTAGTATATATATTATATATTTATACTAGTAATAATATATATAGTATATACTAGTATAAATTATAAATTTTATTAGCATAATTATACTAGTATATTTATGCTAGTAAAATTTATTTAAATTGTAGTGTTTCATTTTAATCAAATCTTGATAATTTCTCAGAGCAATTTATTAATTTTTTTGCTATGTACTAAAATTTCAAAAGGCAATTGACTTAATGAGCTCTTAGGTTGTACCAAGTTAATAATTTAAAACATCTTATTATGGAAAATTTCAAACCTAAAAAAGTAGAGAGAATAGTGCAATCCCCCCATGTACCTATCTCCAGTTTCAGTAATTATTAACATTCTTCTGTTCTTACTTCATCTAGTTTCCCTCTCTTTTTCCTTGAGTATTTTACAGCAAATTTTACAGGTATCATAACATTTCACCTATAAATACTTGATTCACATATAAATACTTGATATGGGCCAGGCGTGGTGGGTCACGCCTGTAATCCCAGGACTTCGGGAGGCCGTGGCGGGAGGATCGCTTGAGCCCAGGAGTTCAAGACCAGCCTGGGCAAGATGGTGAAACCCTATCTCTACTAAAAATACACACACACACACACAGCCAGGCAGATAAAGGAGAAAGAAGGTGATCTGAGGCTAGAGGGTCAAAATGAGCAATGGGACAAAGATAGATAAAAGTGCCAAGTGTTCAGGGATGCAGCCTTGGATAAAAGATTCTAGCTAGGCAGCAAAAAAGCCTAAGGAATTTAGGCTGAGATATTAAGGCTTTGTTTACGAAGTATAGAGGAGCCACTAACCACTACAGCCCAGAAATATCCCCAAGGAAAACCCTTTGGTCATTCAGCCCCAACAGGCACTTAGGCCCTGATTATTTTGTTTAAACAATTTAGGTCGGGTGGGGTGGCTCACGCCTGTAATCCCAGTACTTTGGGGGCTGAGGCGGGCGGATCAGGAAGTCAGGAGTTCGAGACCAGCCTGACCAACATGGTGAAACCCCATCTCTACTAAAAATACAAAAATTAGCCAGGCGTGGTGACACGCGCCTGTAATCCCAGCTACTCAGGAGGCTGAGGCAGGAGAATCGCTTGAACCCAGGAGGCGGAGGTTGCGGTGAGCCGAGATGGCGCCACTGCACTCCAGCCTGGGCGACAGAGCAAGACTCCGTCTCAAAGAAAAAACAAACAAACAAACAAATAAAAAAAAAATTGTGACGATTGATTTAAGCATTTACTCACTGTCAGTATCACAGCCTGCAGGAGAAACCTCCAGAGTATATAGCAGTATTATGTGGGAAGTCTCAACTATTAACAAAATATATAAAACCGCTATCCTACATTAAATCCCCAAATCTTCTTCTAACATCTTGGGTTTTTTGTTTGTTTTTGTTTTGTTTGAGACTGAGTCTCTCTCTGTCACCGAAGTTGGAGTGCAGTGGTGCGATCTTGGCTCACTGCCACCTCGGCTTCCCAGGTTCAAGCGATTCTTCTGCCTCAGCCTCCCAAGTAGCTGGGATCACAGGCAAAAAGCTTGGATCACAGGCGTGTGCCACCACGCCCGGCTAATTTTTTAAGGGCCAGGCTGGTCTCGAACTCCTGACCTCAGGTGATCCGCCTGCCTCGACCTCCCAAAGTGCTGGGATTACAGGCGTGAGCCACAGCGCCGGGCCAACTCTCCAAACATCTTGTAGCCTCGGAGTCAAAGACCTTACTGGTTTTGATAGAGACCATCAACCCAACA
The DNA here is from genome assembly GCF_000001405.40 of Homo sapiens. Lineage (NCBI taxonomy): Eukaryota > Metazoa > Chordata > Mammalia > Primates > Hominidae > Homo > Homo sapiens. Next base: position 41,333,567 of record NC_000015.10, on the reverse strand, counting down.
GTCATCAATAAAAATTTACCCAAGGAGGTGCTCCCCTAAAAGTCGATTTTTTTTTTCTGACAGGTCCATCAATAAAGTATCAAGAGATTATCGGCAATATTACAAATCACTGGAGTCTGTTTGGGGTTTTCCAGAAGCTGAGCCAATTATTTACTTAATTGTCTAACGATTAACGACACCCCTTGTGCTTTCTGGGCCTGAGTTTCGTAATCGACGCCCTGAGAGGTATACAGTAATTTCAAAACAAAACAAAACAAAAAACAATAAACCATCCCTCGGAATAGAGCTTATCATGTGAGCACCCAGACAAGCCAGCTTCAAAATGAGGTGAAAACTACAGTTCCTCTTCCGTTTATCAGAGTTCTAACTGGGACTACCGTGAACCACATCTACTGCCCGAGGGGCAGGGAGAGCTGCCTCAGTCCCGGGCTTCCCTCTCGGTCCCTTCGCACCGCATCTCCCCGAGGCCGCTATTCCCGCCGCGCCCGCCCAGGGACCCGCACCGCCAGCGCCGTACCCTCAGGTTGGCCCGGAGACCCAGACTCTTGGCTAAGTTCTGCAGGTCACTGTACTTGAGGGAGTCCAGCTCCTCTAGAGAGGGGATGATCATCGCGATTCGAAATCCCGGCGATACTCGGAAGATGGATCACCAAACTTCGTCAGCGCGGTTCAAATCCCTGGCGCCACTCTTAACTTTGACTAGGCAGAAATTTATAGACAGTTTAAATGAAGAATGCCGCGCTTCCATTGGTTGAAAATGCCTCAAAGGCGGGGTTTCTAACCCTGACCAATAGAAAGGCTGATTTCCCGTCCCAACAGAGGCGCGCTTTTTTCACACTTCACGAATACGCAGGCGCCAAAGGGCCTGTAACGCCTGTTCAGGTAACGAGTGCGCGGACTCGGACTCCAGTGCTTGGATTGCCCATGATGTCCAATGAGGACGCAGGAGCTGTGCTTGGGGCGGGGCCTGGCGTGTATTCGAAAGGAAGGCGCCGGCTGCGGGAAGATGGCGGCTCAGCCGCTGCGGCATCGCTCACGTTGTGCAACGCCGCCCCGGGGGGACTTTTGTGGTGGCACTGAGAGGGCGATTGACCAAGCTTCTTTTACGACCTCCATGGAGTGGGATACGCAGGTGGTGAAGGGGTCCTCGCCGCTCGGCCCCGCAGGGCTGGGGGCTGAGGAGCCAGCCGCCGGCCCGCAGCTGCCGTCTTGGCTGCAGCCTGAGAGGTGCGCTGTGTTCCAGTGCGCACAGTGTCACGCAGTGCTCGCCGACTCGGTGCACCTCGCCTGGGACCTGTCGCGGTCCCTCGGGGCCGTGGTCTTCTCCAGTGAGTGCAGTGAAGCGTTCGGGAAAGGCAGAGGCTAGCCCGAGAGGGTGTTCCCGCTTTCTCCACCGGGTGGCGGAGAACCACCTGGGGAAGAAAACGGGATGAAAAGTTGGAAGCAAATAACTCCTTGGCCTGGGGATGGGGCAGGGAATCGGGGAGTCTCCTGATATTTACGGCCAGGATGAGTCTGTCTAGAGGAGAGATTTTCCATTTCAAGGCCCGCAGAGTATGGGTTCTGACCCGTGTTTGTCTTCCTAGGAGTTACAAATAACGTCGTTTTGGAAGCGCCCTTCCTAGTTGGCATTGAAGGTTCACTCAAAGGCAGGTACGTATTGATAATTACATTGGTCTCTAGTCCCTGACTTTATGAGACTGAGGATCGTGGAACTGACATGTACGAGGAGAAAACAGTTTGGGATGCTGCTTTTACCTGTTTGACTCTTATATGAACTTGATGTATTAATGAAATGAAAAAGTTGTATTTGTGTATTGGTTTTAGGATCTTCCTGAGGGCCACTTCTCCCAGGTGGCTTGTACAAGTGAAGTGAGGCTAAGAAAGATGTATCTAGTAGTGGACAAAAGAAAAAAATAACCTTTTGGTTTACAGTGAGAATAACATACTATAAACTACAATCCTTTTAGATATTAGAACTTTTTGATACAGGGTCTTGCTCTCGCCCAGGCTGGAGTGCACTGGTGCGCTCATAGCTCACTACAGCCCCTACCTTCCTGGCTCAAGCTATCCTCCCAACCTCACCCTCCGGAGTAGCTGGGACTACAGGCACACAGCACCACTCCCGGCTAATTTTTAAATTTTTTGTAGAGGCCTTAGTATGTTGCCCACGCTTGATATTAGAACTTTTAAGTTTGCGATTATGGTTAGTTTGTAATAAGCTATGCCAGGGCTAATTCTTCAGTAACCCCAGAAACTGGAGAAAAACACAACTAGAATGTTATGTACTTGAATACTGCCTGGTAAACTTTGCGACCTGCCTGTACTATGATTTACAAGTGACAATAAAGTAGTCAGTGAATTTGGTATTGCAAGGCTCCTCAATTTTGAGTTTTGGCTTTAACATTGAGACAATTCATTTCATTCTGACCAGTTTGATTCAACGTTACGGTTAAAATATAGGAATTCTTAGTTGCTTTGTCCAGTAACCAGGAAGATTTCTGCAGCTTGGACAAACTTCAAAAACGGAGTTAGACCCACAGCTCCCTTTCTTTTTCCTGAATAAAAGACACTCCCTATCGCTATAGGAGTCCCCTTCCCACCCAAAGGGGACAAAGCAAGAAGGAGCAATTGCCTGCTTGGAATTGGGTGTATTCTGGGGCCAGAGGCAGAAGGTTCCTGAATGTGCTCTTGGAGAGGAGGCTAATGAATCTAGACCCGTGCTGTCCTATACTGTAATCACTAGTCATATGTAGCTATTATATATTATTAAATCTGCATTGAGATATGCTGTGAACACAGAATACACACTGGATTTCAAAGACTTAGTACAGAAAAATTAATCATTTACAAATACTGATTACGGGCCGGGCGTGGTGGCTCACACCTGTAATCACAGCACTTTGGGAGGCCGAGGCGGGCGGATCACAAGGTCAGGAAATCGAGACCATCCTGACTAACACGGTGAAACCGTGTCTCTACTAAAAATACAAAAAATTAGCCAGGCATAGTGGCGGGCGCCTGTAGTCCCAGCTACTCAGGAGACTGAGGCAGGAGAATGGCGTGAACCCGGGAGGCGGAGCTTGCAGTGACCGAGATTGCGCCACTGCATTCCAGCCTGGGCGACAGACTCCGTATCAAAAAAAAAAAAAAAAAAATACTGATTACGGCTGGGAGCGGTGGCTTACGCCTATAATCCCAGCACTTTTGGGAGGCCATGACAGGCAGATCACCAGAGGTCGGGAGTTCGAGACCAGCCTGACCAAAATGGAGAAACCCTGTCTCTACTAAAAATACAAAATTAGCCGGGCATGGTGGCACATGCCTGTAATCCCAGCTAGGCTGTAATCCCAGGAGGCTGAGGAGGGAGAATCGCTTGAACCCGGGAGGTGGAGGTTGTGGTGAGCCGAGTTCACGCCATTGCACTCCAGCCTGGGCAACGAGAGCGAAACTCTGTCTTAAAAAAAAAAATTGATTACATGGTGAAATGACATTTTTGATATATTGGGTTAAATAAAATATTTAAAAACTAATTTCACCTGTTTTTATTTTATTTTTTAAAGCAAAATTAGGCCAGGCGCCGTGGCTGATGCATGTAATCCCAGCACTTTGGGAGGCCAAGGCGGATGGATCACGAGGTCAGGAGTTCAAGACCAGCCTAGCCAAGATAGTGAAACTGTTTCTACTAGAAATACAAAAATTAGCTGGGCGTGGTGGCGGGCGCCTGTAATCCCAGCTACTTGGGAGACTGAGGCAGAGAATTGCTTGAATCTGGTAGGCGGGGGTTGCAGTGAGCCAAGATCATCCCACTGTACTCCAGCCTGGGCAACAGAGCGAGACTCTTCCTCAAAAAAAAAAGCAAAATGAATAGAAAATTTAAAATTACATATGTGACTCACATTATATTCCTATTAGACAATGCTTGTTTAGATGCTTTGTAAAAAACTGGAGGAAGGCCAGGTGCAGTGGCTTACACCTATAATCCCAGCACTTTGGGAGGCCAAGGCAGGCAGATCACAAGGTCGGGAGTTCGGGACCAGCCTGGCCAGTATGGTGAAACCACGTCTCTACTAAAAGTACAAAAATTAGGGGGGCGAGGTGGCAAGCGCCTATAGTCCCAGCTACTTGGGAGGCTGAGGCAGGAGAATGGCTTGAACCTGGGAAGCAGAGGTTGCAGTGAGCCAAGATCGCACCACTACACTCCAGCCTGGACGACAGATCGAGACTCCGTCTGAAAAAAAAAAAAAAAAAAAACTAGAGGGAAAGCCCCATGTGTTTCTGTATTTGTGGAGTAAGATGAGCTATATGGGACTTACGAAGAGGGTTATGAAATGGCACAGCTCAAGACAACTTGATTTTTTTCTAAGTGTAGGTTCATTACCTAGATGGGGTCAGAGAATGAATTAAGAGGATGATTAATGATGCAGCTAAAAGAGCATAAATTTTAGAGACAGCAGACTCGGGTTCTTTTTATTCTTTTTTTTTTTTTTTTTTTTTTTTTTTTGAGATGGAGTCTTGCTCTGACCCAGGCTGGAGCACAGTGGCGGGATCTTGGCTCGCTGCAACCTCCGCCTCCCGGGTTCAAGCTATTCTCCTACCTCAGCCTCCCGAGTAGCTGGGATTCCAGGCGCACGCCACTATGCCTGGCTAATTTTTGTATTTTTATATTTTTAGTAGAGACGGGGTTTCACCATGTTGGCCATGCTGGTCTCGAACTTCTGACCTTGTGATCCACCTGCCTCAGCCTCCCAAAGTGCTGGGATTACAGGTGTGAGCCACCGCACCAGGCCTTAACTTTACTCTTAATGAGGCATGTGAAATAAATTGATCCCTCTCAATCTGTCATATTTGAATACTCCTAAAATATACTCCCTCCGACATTTATTTAAACATTCTACAATTGGCATGAACCTCTTAGATTCAAAGTCATAAAGTAGACAGATACAAGGTTACTTCCGTCTACATTTTATTGTTCTCTTACTGGTAGAGGATTTATTGTAACTAATTTTAAAAAGGATTATTATAGTATGTTGACACTTAGAAATAGCTTTTTTACCCTGAGCTTTTGTTGTGCTCAACAGCATATTTAAATGGAATTTTGTTTGTATTATAAGTGAAGTACATTTTTTTCTAATTGTTATGGCAAATTCAAACCCGAGAGAAGAATATAATGAACCTCTGTCTACCTGTCACTAAACTAGAGCACTTATCAACTCTTGGCCAATCTTGTTTCATCTAAAATCATAGTTGGCTTATCATGCTGGCTCACGCCTGTAATCCCAACACTTTTGGAGGCCAAGGTGGGAGGATCACTTGAACCCAGGAGTTCAAGACCATCATGAGCAACATAGCGAGACTTCATCTCTAAAACAAAACAAAATATCTATCCTCCACAATGTTTTGAAGCAGATACCTGAAATTACATCATTCCATCCATAAATATTTTGGTAAGGATCTTTATAAGAAACTTTTTTCTATTTATTTATTTTTTGAGATGGAGTCTGGCTCTTTTACCCAGGATGGAGAACAACCTCCGCCTCCCAGGCTCAAGCCATCCTTTCACCTCAGCCTCCCAAGTAGCTAGGACTATAAGGCATGCACCACCATGCCCAGCTAATTTGTTGTAGAGATAGGGTTTCAACATGTTGCCCAGGCTGGTTTTGAACTCCTGAACTCAAGTGATCTGCCCACCTTTGCTTCCCAAAGTGCTGGCATTACAAGCATGAGCCACTGCACTCAGCCTTTCTTTTCAATTATTTTATTTTATTTTTTATTTTTTTGAGATGGAGTCTTGCTCTGTAGCCCAGGCTGAAGTGCAGTGGCAGGATCTTGGCTCACTGCAAACTCCGCCTCCCGGGTTCAAGTGATTCCCCTGCCTCAGCCTCCCGAGTAACTGGGACTACAGGTGCATGCCACCACATCTGGCTAATTTTATGTATTTTAGTAGAGACGGGGTTTCACCATGTTGGCCAGGATGGTCTTAATCTCCTGACTTCGTGATCCTCCCACCTCAGCCTCCCAAAGTGTTGGGATTACAGGCGTGAGCCACTGCGCCCAGCCTCTTTTCTTTTTAAAGATATATCCCAATTCTGGCTGGGTACAGTGACTCACGCCTGTAATCCCAGCACTTTGGGAGGCCGAGGCGGGAGGATCACGAGGTCAGGAGTTCAACACCAGCCTGGATGACATAGCGAAACCCCATCTCTACTAATACAAAAATTTGCTGGGCGTGGTGGTGGGCGCCTGTAATCCCTGCTACTGGGGAGGCTGAGGCAGGAGAATCGCTTGAACCCAGGAGGCGGAGGTTGCAGTGAGCCGAGATCACACCATTGCACTCCAACCTGGGTGACAAGAGGAAGACTCCATCTCAGAAAAAAAAAAAATTTAAACATACCACAAACACTATAATAAGCCCCAGGTACCCAGTTTCAACAGTTATTAATATTTTGACAATTATTTTCCTCTATACTCTTCACTTTTTTTTTTTTTTAATTCCTGGAGTATTTTGAAACAAATCACATACAGTAAATCAACTCTTCATCACTTTGGTATTACTTCCTGTTGTCTTGTAGATTCACAGACTGTTATAACCAAAAAAATAACATAATCTAGTTGACCTCATTCTACTGATAAGGATATGGAGAAACAGTTGTATTTGGTAGTGTATTGGAAGTATTTTCCTCCTATAATATTCTCCAGTGCCCATGATCCAATGTAATGATGGAAGGCCCAGCAAGCTAGGTGATGCTAACCCTTAGTGGCAGAGCAAGGCAACCCAAAGCAGCTCAGCACGGATGGTTAGAGACGTAGTACCTACTGTGGTAAGATTGTTAAAAACATGGGGCCGGGCACGGTGGCTCACACCTGTAATGCCGGCACTTTGGAAGGCCTAGGTGTGCAGATCACCTGAGGTCAGGAGTTCGAGACCAGCCTGGCCAACACGGGGAAACCCCGTGTCTAGTAAAAGACAAAATTAGCCAAGCGTGGTGGTGCACGCCTGTAATCCCAGCTACTCACTTGGGAGGCCGAGTCAGGAGAATCACTTGAACCTAGGAGACGGAGGTTGTGGTAAGCCAAGATCACGCCATTGCACTCCAGCCTGGGGAATGAGCGAAACTCCATCTCAAAAAATCACAAACAAAAAACAATAAGGAGCCACAGACTATACACATGATCAGAGGCAAAGTGTGGGAATGAAGTTCTTTTTTTCTTCTACAGTGGTCAACTTAGGATAAATTTTTTTAAATCATAAACCATGGTTTAGCCACTGAGGCACCGCTATATCATTAATCTCACTATCTGAACTTATTGCAATTTTCTTTTCCTTGTTTTATAGTAATATTCAATAAAATATACTGTGTTTTACTGCACTTGCAGATACTGCTTTTTTGTTTGTTTGTTTTTTTGAGATGGAGTCACACTCTGTCACCTAGGCTAGAGTCCAGTGGCATTATCTCGGCTCACTGAAACCTCTGCCCCCTGGCTTCAAGCAATTCTTCTGCCTTAGCCTCCCTAGTAGCTGGGATGACAGGTGTGCCCTACCACACCCAGCTAACTTTTGTATTTTCAGTAGAGACAGGGTTTTGCCATGTTGGCCATGCTGGTCCTGAACTCCTGACCTCAAGTGATCTGCCCACCTTGGCCTTCCAGAGTGCTGGGATTACAGGTGTGAGCCACTATGCCCAGCCCAGGTAATGCAATTTTTTTTTTTTTTTTTTGAGACGGAGTCTTGCTCTGTTGCCCAGACAGAAGTGCAGTGGCATGATCTTGGCTCACTGCAACCTCCACATCCCGGGTTCAAGCAACTCTCCTGCCTCAGCCTCCCTAGTAGCTGGGATTACAGGTGCGTGCCACCACGCCCAGCTAATTTTTGTATTTTTATTAGAGATGGGTTTCGCCGTGTTTGCCAGGCTGGTCCTGAACTCCTGACCTCAAATGATCCACCTGCCTTGGCTTCCCATAGTGCTGGGATTACGGGTGTGAGCCACTGCGCCCAGCCCAGGGACTGCATTTTTTTTTTTTTTTAACAAATTGAAGGTTTGTGACAAGCTTTTGTTGAGCAAGTCTGTTGACACCATTTCTAACAGCATGTGCTCACTTTGTGTCTCTGTGTCACATGTTGGTAATTCTGGCAGTTTTTATTTTTATTATTTATTTATTTTGAGACGGAGGCTCGCTCTGTCACCCAGGCTGGAGTGCAGTGGCGTGATCTAGGCTCACTGCAAGCTCAGCCTCCTGGGTTCACACCATTCTCCTGCCTCAGCCTCCCGAGTAGCTGGGACTTACAGGGGCCCGCCACCACACCCGGCTAATTTTTTTGTAGTTTTAGTAGAGATGGGGTTTTACCATGTTAGCCAGGATGGTCTTGATCTCCTGACCTCATGACCTGCCTCCCTCGGCCTCCCAGAGTGCTGGGATTACAGCCACTGCGCCCGGCCAATTCTGGCAGTTTTTAAAACCTTTTCATCATTATGTCTGTTAACACTGATCTGTGATCAGTGATCTTTGCTGTTACTATTGTAATTGTGGGATGCCACAAACCGCACCCATTGAAGATAGCAAACTTAATCAATACATGCCTGTGTTTTGACTTCCACCAACTAGCCATTCAGTCTTGCCTTCTCAGGCCAATTAATAACCCAACAATGGCCTTTAAGTGTTCAAGTGAAAGAAAAAGTTGCAAGTCTCTCATTTTAAATCAAAAGCTAGAAATGATTAAGCTTAGTGAGGAAGGCATGTGAAGTCATGCCAAATTGTGAATATGAAGAAAAAAAATGGGGTTAGGCGCGGTGGCTCACGCTTGTAATCCCAGCACTTTTGGGAGACTGAGGCGGGTGGATCACATGAGGTCAGGAATTCAAGACCAGCCTGACCAACATGGTGAAACCCCATCTCTACTAAAAATACAAAATTAGCCGGGCATGGTGGCGCACACCTGTAATTCCAGCTCTTTGGGAGGCTGAGGCAGGAGAATTGCTTGAACCCGGGAGGCGGAGGTTGCAGTGCACCAAGAACACACCATTGCACTCCACCTTGGGCAACAAGAGCGAAACTCCATCAAACAAACAAACAAATAAATAAATGGAAATTAAAAGTGCTATTCCAGTGATAAGCTGATATGGAGAAAGTTTGAGTGGTATGAGTAGAAGATCAAATCAGCCACAACATTCCTTTAAACTAAAGCCTAATCCAGAACAAGGCCCTAACTCTGTTCAATTCTGTGAAGGCTGAGAGGTGAGGAAGCTGCAGAAGAAGTTTAGAGTATCAAATGTTGGCTCGGTGCAATGGCTCACGCCTGTAATCCCAGCACTTTGGGAGGCCGAGGTGGGTGGACTGGTTGAACCCAGGAGTTTGAGACCAACCTGGGCAACATGGTGAAATGCTGTCTCTACAAAATACAAAAAAATTTAGCCGGATGTGGTGGCGCACACCTATAGTCCCAGCTGCTTGGGAGGCTGAGAAGGAAGGCTGGCTTGAGCCCAGAGAGGTCGAGGCTGCAATGGAGCTGTGATTGTGCCACCACACTCCAGCCTGGGTGGGTGACAGAGCAAGACCATCTTAAAAAAAAAAAAAAAAAAAAAAGCAGAGGTTGGTTCATGAGATTTAAGGAAAGAAACCTTCTCCATAACAAAAGTCCAAAGTGAAACAGCAAGTACTGATGCAGAAGCTACAGAAAATGAAAGTGGGTACACTAAAGAACATATTTTCAGTGCAGATGAAACAGCCTTCTGTTGGAAGAAGATACCATCTCAGACTTTCATAGGTAGAAAGGAGAAGTCATTACCTGGCTTCAAAGGAGCTGGTCACAGTGACTCACATGTGTAATCCCAGCACTTTGGGAGACCAAAGTGGGAGGATTGCTTGAGCACAGGAGTTCAAGACCAGCCTGGGCAACATAGCAAGAACCTGTCTCTACGAAAAATTTAAAAATTAGATGGGCATTTTAGTGTGTACCTGTGGTCCCAGCTACTTGGAAGGCTGAGGTGGGAGGATCACTTGAGTCTGGGATGTCAAGGCTGTAGTGAGCTGTGATTGTACCACTGCACTCCATCCAAAAGAAAAAGAAAAAAAAGCTTCAAAGGACAGGCTTTCTTGTTAGGGGCTATTGCAGCTGGTGACTTTAAGTTGAAGTCAATGCTCATTTACTATTACTATCTATAGCTACTATAGATAGTTATTCCTCTGATGGATCTGGGCAAAGTAAATCAAAAACCTTCTGGAAACCCAGCTAAATTTTGTATTTTTAGTAGAGACGGAGTTTCACCATGTTGACCAGGCTGTTCTCAAACTCCTGATCTCAAGTGATCTGCCTGCCTCCCAAAATGCTGGGATTACAAGCGTGAGCCATTGCGCCCGAATGGAAATTAAATTAATTTCCACTGAGACATTTGTTTATAAGTACTGTGCTTTGTCTGAATTAATTAATTCCTACGTGGAATTTCAAATTAATGACACTTTATTTCATATTTTGCTTTTTGGTTAACTATATTCACAAGATTACATTACTATATGTGTGGTGTGGGTGTGGGACTTCATTTACCAATAAACTCAATATATTGTTATTTGTTCTTTTTTAGTATCCACTGACATGAATATTTCTTTTTAGCTATGTGATTTTTTTTTTTCTTTTTTAAGATGGAGTTTCGCTCTTGTTGCCCAGGCTGGAGTGCAGTGGCACAATCTCCGCTCACTGCAACCTCCGCCTCCCAGGTTCAAGCGATTCTCCTGCCTCACCCTCCTAAGTAGCTGGGATTACAGGCACCCGCCACCAGGCCTGGCTAATTTTTTTATTTTTAGTAGAGACAGGGTTTCGCCACGTTGGCCAGGCTGGTCTCGAACTCCTGACCTCAGGTGATCCACCCGCCTTGGCCTCCCAAAGTGCTGGGATTACAGGCGTGAGCCATCATGCCCGGGCTAGCTATGTGATTTTTATGTTGTATTTTGTTAATAGAATTCTCCTAGCCTGGGAAACAAAGTAAGACCCCATTTCTGCCAAAAAAAAAATTAGTAGGGCATGGTAGCATGCACCTGTAGTCCCAGCTTTGGGAAGCTGAGGCAGGTAGATCAGTTGAGCCCAGGAATTCAAGGCTGCAGTGAGCTATGATTGTATCACTACGTTCTAACCTGGGCGACAGAGCAAGAACTTGTCTCAAAAAAAAACCAAAAAAAACTTCATACTATATATTAATACAATTTATTTTTCCTTTACCAAACCACTTTAAAATTGCTTTTAGCACATGCATGATGAAATATTTTCTTAAAGTGCTTTTCTTGTAAAACATTTATTTATTTTTTAAGACGGGGTATTACCATGTTGCCTAGGCTGCTCTCGAATTCCTGGGCTCAAGCTATCTGCCCACTTTGGCCTCTCATAGTGCTGGGATTACAGTAGGTGTGAACCACTGTGCCTGACCAAAATGTTTCTTTCTAATATTTAAATATGTCTTATATACCAGCAAATATGATGACTTGCTCAAGAATTGTAATGAGAGCTAAAATCAACATCTGACTCTTCATCAGTAATCTTTTCAGAGGATAAGGAAAACAAAATAGATGGCTTGCTAGGGTAATAGGATTCCCTTTTCTTTCTCTTTTAGTCTGCGCATTTTTTTCTTTTTTATTTATTTATTTATTTATTTATTTTTTTATTGATCATTCTTGGGTGTTTCTCGCAGAGGGGGATTTGGCAGGGTCATAGGACAATAGTGGAGGGAAGGTCAGCAGATAAACAAGTGAACAAAGGTCTCTGGTTTTCCTAGGCAGAGGACCCTGCGGCCTTCCGCAGTGTTTGTGTCCCTGGGTACTTGAGATTAGGGAGTGGTGATGACTCTTAAGGAGCATGCTGCCTTCAAGCATCTGTTTAACAAAGCACATCTTGCACCGCCCTTAATCCATTTAACCCTGAGTGGACACAGCACATGTTTCAGAGAGCACAGGATTGGGGGTAAGGTCATAGATCAACAGGATCCCAAGGCAGAAGAATTTTTCTTAGTACAGAACAAAATGAAAAGTCTCCCATGTCTACTTCTTTCTACACAGACACAGCAGCCATCCGATTTCTCAATCTTTTCCCCACCTTTCCCCCTTTTCTATTCCACAAAACTGCCATTGTCATCATGGCCCATTCTCAATGAGCTGTTGGGTACACCTCCCAGACAGGGTGGTGGCCGGGCAGAGGGGCTCCTCACTTCCCAGTAGGGGCGGCCGGGCAGAGGCGCCCATCACCTCGCGGACGGGGCGGCTGGCCGGGCGGGGGGCTGACCCCCCCACCTCCCTCCAGGACGGGACGGCTGGCCGGGCGGGGGGCTGGACCACCCCACCTCCCTCCCGGACGGGGCGGCTGGCCGGGCGGGGGGCTGACCCCCCCACCTCCCTCCTGGACGGGGCGGCTGGCTGGGCGGGGGGCTGACCCCCCACCTCCCTCCCCGACAGGGTGGCTGCCGGGCGGAGACGCTCCTCACTTCCCAGATGGGGTGGCTGCCGGGCGGAGGGGCTCCTCACTTCTCAGACAGGGAGGCTGCCGGGCGGAGGGTCTCCTCACTTCTCAAGATGGGGCAGCCGGGCAGAGACGCTCCTCACCTCCCAGGCAGGGTCGCGGCCGGGCAGAGGCGCTCCTCACATCCCAGACGGGGCGGCAGGGCAGAGGCGTTCCCCACATCTCAGACCATGGGAGGCCGGGCAGAGACGCTCCTCACTTCCTAGATGGGATGGCGGCCGGGAAGAGGCGCTCCTCACTTCCTAGATGGGATGGCGGGCGGGCAGAGACGCTCCTCACTTTCCAGACTGGGCAGCCAGGCAGAGGGGCTCCTCACATCCCAGACGATGGGTGGCCAGGCAGAGACGCTCCTCACTTCCCAGACGGGGTGGCGGCTGGGCAGAGGCTGTAATCTCGGCACTTTGGGAGGCCAAGGCAGGCGGCTGGGAGGTGGAGGTTGTAGCGAGCCAAGATCATGCCACTGCACTCCAGCCTGGGCACCATTGAGCACTGAGTGAACGAGACGAGACTCCGTCTGCAATCCCGGCACCCTGGGAGGCCGAGGCTGGTGGATCACTCGCGGTTAGGAGCTGGAGACCAGCCCAGCCAACACAGCGAAACCCCGTCTCCACCAAAAAAATATGAAAACCTGTCAAGTGTGGCGGCGCGTGCCTGCAATCGCAGGCACTCGGCAGGCTGAGGCAGGAGAATCAGGCAGGGAGGTTGCAGTGAGCCGAGATGGCAGCAGTACAGTCCAGCTTTGGCTTGGCATCAGAGGGAGACCGTGGAAAGAGAGGGAGAGGGAGACCGTGGGGAGAGGAGGGAGAGGGAGAGGGCGCATTTTTTTCATTAACTTTCTTTTTTAATATAAGCAAAAGACAAACCTTGATTTTAGTTCTATGAACAATTTGTTTAGTAAGGCCCCAGTCAACTTGATTATTTTTCAACAACTGTGAATTTATATAATGATAGCCATTTTACATGATTTGTAGTTTTAAATGTTTAAATGTTAATCAGATTAGTTAGCTCTTTTTGTGTTTATTAGGGGTAAATTACCTTTCTCTTCTGAAGCGACAATTATACATCCATGATTGCTTTGACCAGAATATACGAGGGTATCCGCAATCCAGCATGTAATTAAATTACAATCTGAGTTACCCTTTCTTGAATGTGACATTCTTTCCGTCTCATTCCTATTACAATGTAATTTTCACCCTGACTTAGGTGTTAGGAATGCTTCAGAGACTAGTTATTTTTTATTTCTTATATGATTTTTTATTCTTACCCATATTGTGTTTTTCCCCACCCCTAGTACTTACAACCTTTTATTCTGTGGTTCTTGTGGGATTCCCGTTGGTTTCCATCTGTATTCTACCCATGCTGCCCTGGCTGCCTTGAGAGGTCACTTCTGCCTTTCCAGTGACAAAATGGTGTGGTGAGTAGACTTAGATATTGATCATCAAATACATTTTATTTTATTTATTTTGAGACAAAGTCCATCAAATAAATTTTAAAAGGTTTTTCAGGAAAGACAAAGTAGGCTGAGCACAGTGGCTTATGCCTGTAATCCCAGCACTTTAGGAGGCTGAGGCGGTGGATCACTCGAGGTCAGGAGTTTGAGACCAGCCTGGCTAACATGGTGAAACCCATCTCTACGAAAAATACAAAAATTAGCCAGGTGTAGTGGTAGACGCCTGTAATCCCAGCTACTCAGGAGGCTGAGGCACGAGAATTGTTGGAACCTGGGAGGCAGAGGCTGCAGTGAGCTGAGATCACGCCACTGTGAGATCACGCCACTGCACTCCAGCCTGGGAGACATAGTGAGATTCTGTCCAAAGGAAAAAAAAAAAAAAGTAGCTGGGCATGCTAGTGCACACCTGTAATCCCAGCTACTTGGGAGGCTGCGGCAAGAGAATTGCTTCAACCTGAGAGGTGGAGGTTGCACAGTGAGCTGAGATTGCACCACTACACTCCAGCCTGGGTGACAGAACAAGACTCTGTCTCAAAAAAAAAAAAAAGAAAAAAGACAAAGTGTTTGTACCAAAAAGATGCTAAAGTCAGGCACTGTCTTTGACAAAAAGATAGCAGTGGGCCAGGTGTGATGGCTCGCGCCTGTAATGCCAATGCTTTGTGAGGCCAAGGTGGGAGGACTGCTTGAGGGCAGGAGTTCAAGACCTCCATGGGCAATATAGTGAGACTCCTGTTTTTTTTTTATACAAAATTTTAAAAAATTAGCTGGATGTGGCGGCGTGCCCCTATAGTCCCAGTTACTTGGGAGGCTGAGGTGGGAGGATCACCTGAGCCCAGGAGTTCAAGGTTACATTTTGCTGTGATCATACCACTGCATTCCACTTTGGGTGACAAAAAAAAAAAAAAGCAGTGGGACCAAAATATAATCTTATAACATTATGATTATCTTCCATGTCTTATCATACCATATCTTAAAAGTCATACCATGGGAAAATTCAGAGGGTATTCTTTCATTAAAGAAACTTGTTGCCAGATGTGGTGGTGTGTGCCTGTAATTCTAGCTACCCAGGAGGCTGAGGCAGGAGGATCACTTGAATCTTGGTGTTTGAGACCAGCCTAGGCAACATGGTGAAGCCTCCCATCTCAAACTGCTCCCTTATGGGCCGGGTGCAGTGGCTCACGCCTGTAATCCCAGCACTTTGGGAGGCTGAGGTCGGGGGTTCACCTGAGGTCAGGAGTTCGAGACCAGCTTGGCCAACATGGTGGAACCCCATCTCCATTTAAAATACGAAAATAAGCCAAGTGTGGTGGCACACGCCTGTGGTCGCAGCTACTCGGGAGGTGAGGCAGAAGAATTGCTTGAACCCAGGAGGCGGAGGTTGCAGTGAGCCAAGATCAAGCCACTGCACTTCAGCCTGGGTGACAGAGCTAGACTCTGTCTCAGAAAAAATAAAAATAAATAAAAGATAAAAAGAACATTCTAGAAGGCAAGCTTTTGCAAAATAATGTTGCAGTAGATACCTTTTGGGTTTGTGCCCAGCCTCTCTCTCCCTCTAATAGGTGGGGCCTTGTATATTTGTATCATGTGTGATTTGTATCATGTGTGATTCCCACTCCCAGGTACTGGATCAAGAATGAATACCTGGCCAGGCATGGTGGGTCATGCCTGTAATCTCAGCACTTTGGAAGGCTGAGTTGGAGGATTGTTTGAGCTTAGGAGTTTGAGACCAGCCTAGGCAACATAGCAAGACTCTGTCTCTACAAAAAATTTAAAATATTAACTGTGTATGGTGGTGTATGCCTGTAGTCCTAGCTACTCTGGAGGCTAAGGTGGGAGGATAGCTACAGCCCAGGAGTTCAAGGTTACAGTGAGCTATGATTGTGTCACTGTATTCTAGCATGGGGAGCAGAGCAAGACCCTGTCTCTTAAAAACCAAAAACGGTGCTGGGCGTGGTAGCTCACGCCTGTAACCCCAGTACTTTGGGAGGCCGAGGTGGGCAGATCATGAGGTCAGGAGATCGAGATCATCCTGGCCAACATGGGAAACCCCGTCTCTACTAAAAATACAAAAAAAATTAGCTGGGCATGGTGGCGCATGCCTGTAATCCTAGCTACTTGGGAGGCTGAGGCAGGAGAATCACTTGAACCGGGGAGTCAGAGGTTGCAGTGAACCAAGATCGCGCCACTGCACTCCAGCCTGGCAACAGAGCGAGACTCTGTCTCAAAAAAAAAAAAAAAAAGAAAAATGGATACCTGACCCAAACTAAGCCAACCAGTTTTCTACCTTAGGAATTTGAAACAAGGGCCCAGAAATACCAGTTACGTGTAGATAGTACTAGTGTTGAAGTTTGGAAGTGAAAGCTCTATGTATGGGATAGCTATTTCCCATGTGATGCATGTAGCTGCAGGGAAGTCTTCTCTGCAGTAAAACATGAAGCAGACACAGAGAAAAGTAAAAATAATGATCATGTAGCCTCATAGTGTCAGAAAAACTACCCTACTGGTTATCCTTTCTCATGAATTACATTGGCTATTTCATTATTTTCCTAATAAATTGCACTTTTAACTTAAGCTTTTTTACTTATTACAAGAAACTGAAACATCCTTAGAAGTCTTTCCTTGACCATTAAAAAACAAAAACAAGCATTGACAACCTAGTTTATGTAGGCATTATGCTTATATCACTGAGTTCTTAATATAGTTTAAGAAAACTAGGGCTCAAAGAGGTGGAAGAGCTGAGATTTGAGCATGTCTTAACTCAAAAGCTTATTTTCCTTTCATAAAACTAAAAGGTTTCCTTTTTCTCATGTCTTTTTTTTTTTTTTTTTTTTTGAGATGGAGTCTTGCTGTGGCGCCCAGGCTGGAGTGCAGTGACGTGATCTTGGTTCACTGTAAGCTTCACCCCCTGGGTTCACACCATTCTCCTGCCTCAGCCTCCCAAGTAGCTGGAACTACAGGCGCCCACCACCACGCTTGGCTAATTTTTTGTATTTTTAGTAGAGACGGGGTTTCACTGTGTTAGCCAGGATGGTCTCGATCTCCTTGACCTCGTGATCCGCCCGCCTTGGCCTCCTAAGGTGCTGGGATTACAGGCATGAGCCACCGCGCCCGGCCGCTTTTTCTCATTTCTTATGCTTAGATAGATGTTTTTAGCTGAGTTATGGTTGACTAAACAATAAAACTTATCAGCCAGTCCTTTACCATGGGTTGCTCACTGTGCATTAGGTATACCATTTGTTCTTCATTGCAAATTTCCAACACAAAATATATACCTGAGATCCTGAGATGGATTGATCATTCTCTTTTTTTAAAGACGGAGTCTCACTCTGTCACCCAGGCTGGAAGTGCAATGGCATGATCTCAGCTCACTGCAACCTGCACCTCCTGGGTTCAAGTGATTCTCCTGCCTGGGCTTCCCAAAATGTTAAGATTACAGGCATTAATCACCATGCCCAGCCTCAATTTTTAGATTCTTTTTTTTTTTCTTTGAGACGGAGTCTTGCTCTTTCGCCCAGGCTGGAGCTGGAGTGCAGTGGCACCATCTCGGCTCACTGCAAGCTCCGCCTCCCAGGTTCACGCCATTGTCCTGCCTCAGCCTCCCGAGTAGCTGGGACTACAGGCGCCCGCCACCATGTCTGGCTAATTTTTTTGTATTTTTAGTAGAGACGGGGTTTTACCGTGTTAGCCAGCATGGTCTTGATCTCCTGCCTTGGCCACCTAAAGTGCTGGGATTACAGGTGTGAGCCACTGCGCCACCAATTTCTAGATTCTTAAGCAATTTCTATTTAGAATTAACTTTAAAGTGGGAAAAAAAACTGTAAATGTGTGCTGTTAGTAATCCCACATCTTTTTTAGAAATCAGTACAAAAGTAAATGTTCTAGAGAAGCAATAATTGCATTTTTGTTAGGGCAGTAAGCTTTTAGTAACATATTTTTAACATAAATTTGAAAAGCATTATGGGATTTTGGTTAATTTCTTAATCTTTAAAATGAGTTGGATAAAAGGTCAGGACATTCTTTTTGATTAAGTAGAAACTTTGGCCTTTTCCTCTTGGATTCGGGATGGCTGCTGCAATTACAGTCATTACATCTATTGATGATAGCATCCTAAACATGAAGGAAAAGGATATGGAGAGTATGGGAACACAAGAAAATTCCCCCTTTTCATCAGCATAAATTTTTTTTTTTTTTTTGAGACAGAGTCTTGCTCTGTCACCCAAGTTGGAACACAGTGGTGTGATCTCAGCTCATTGCAACCTCCGCCTCCCAGGTTCAAGTGATTCTCCTGCCTTGCCTCCCAAGCAGATGGGACCACAGGTGCGCTCCACCACAGCCTGCTAATTTTTGTATTTTTATTAGAAATGGGGTTTTACCATGTTTGCCAGGCTGGTCTCAAACTCCTGACCTCAGGTGATCCCCCCGCCTCGGCCTCCCAAAGTGCTGGGATTACACGCATAAGCCACTGCGCCCCGCCAGCATAAATTTTCTTAATCTTTTTTTTATTCTTTTTTTTTTTTTTTTTGAGACAGGGTCTCACTGTCACACAGGCTGGAGCGATCATGGTTCACTGCAGCCTCAACCTTTTGGGTTCAGGTGATCCTCCCAACTCAGCCTCCCAAGTAGCTGGGACTACAGGCATGCCACCACATCTGGCTAATTTTTGTATTTTTTGTAGAGATGGGGTTTCGCTGGCCAGGCATGTTGGCTCACAGCTGTAATCCCAGCACTTTGGGAGGCTGAGGCAGGCGGATCACTTGAGGTCAGGAATTCAAGACCAGCCTGTCCAATATGGTGAAACCCTGTCTCTGCTAAAAATACAAAAATTAGCTGGGCATGATGGTGGGCACCTGTAATCCCAACTGCTTGGGAGGCTGAGGCAGAAGAATTGCTTGAACCTGGAAGGCGGAGGTTGCAGTGAGCCGAGATCTCGCCATTGCACTTCAGCCTGGGTGACAGAGTAAGACTCTGTCTCAAAAAAAAAAAAAAGAGATGGAGTTTCGCTATGTTGCCCAGGCTGGTCTCAAATTTCTGATGTCAAGCCATCTGCCTGCCTCAGCCTCCCAAAGTGCTGGGATTATAGGTGTGAGCCAGCACACCCATCCCATTTTCTTACCCTTGTTGGCCAGAACTATGTCACATGATCACCTCATCTGAGAAAGCAAATATGTAACAGTAGGCTCATGGCAAAAATCTGGATTCTGTTGGCAATAAAGAAGTGAGGAAGGCTGGGCTCGGCTCACGCCTATAATCCCAGCACTTTGGGAGGCCCAGGCAGGGGGATCACCTGAGGTCAGGAGTTCGAGACCAGCCTCGCCAACATGGTGAAACCCCATCTCTACTAAAAATACAAAAATTAGCTGGGCGTGGTGGCGCAAGCCTGTAATCCCAGCTACTCGGGAGGCTGCGGCAGGAGAATCGCTTGAACCCAGGAGGCAGAGGTTGCAGTGAGCTGAGATTGTACCACTGCACTCTAGTCTGGGCAACAGAGCGAGACTCCATCTCAAAAAAAAAAAGTGAGGAACAGCTACTGGGAATAGGTGACCAACACTATGTCTCATACTGGGATTACTTTCTTTCAAACTGTGCTACAGGATCCTACTGATGAAGTGTAAAGCTTATAATCATCGTAATTATTCATATGAGCCTGGTTTTTGTCTTTAATTTACCCTGAGATAATTTTGTCTCTGGTGGGATGCGGCAGAGATCCTCTCCAATTTGTTTATTTTTGAATTTGTTTTTCCAAGAAAATGCAGTCATCCTTCAGTATCTGTGGTTCCAGGACCTCACCAGATACCAAAATCCATGGACACTCAAGTTTCTGATATTAAGTGGTGTAATATTTGCATATTACTTTTGGATATCCTCCTTTTTAAAGTATAAAAGTATATATTTTATACTTTAAAATAATCTCCAGATTACTTATGACAGCTAACGTAATGTAAATGCTATGTACATTACAAATTTACATAGGAAATTTACAAAGTTGTTGTAATGTTAAGGGAATGATGACAAGAAAAAGAGTGTACCTGTTCAGTACAGACACAATCCAGTTTTTTTTTCCTGAATATTTTTAGTCTGTGGTTGTTTGAATCCATGGATGCTATACCCATGGATATGGTGGGCCAACTGTAACATCATGAGTCTTGAAATGAAAATCATTAAGAAGCCAGGCTTTTTTTGACACATACTTTCTTTAGAAGGTAAGTTTGGTTCTTTTATAATCTTAACCATGGTATGACACTAATATTTTTCTTTTTTCCTATCTAGCTATCTCTTAAAAACAAAAGCCATAGTAAATGCATCAGAGATGGATATTCAAAATGTTCCTCTATCAGAAAAGATTGCAGAGGTAAAATTTCATGATGGTTGTATGCTTTTTTAAAATACAGACAACTCTTGATAACTTCTACCAATGAACTTGGGGATGATGAAATGGCATGATGCTCAATAATCCTTTTTACTTGATTTGACCTTCCCTATTGAATTTGTAATGAAAAACAAAATACTAAAACCACACTGTAAGGTATAGTTCAGGAAGAAAGGAAAAGCTGCTCAACTGCTGCACTCCTGCATTCTCCTTTGTGCTGGGAATGGATATCATCATCTTGCCATAGAGGTGTCTTCTTTGCAAATACCTTGTAATTGCTCAACTGTCTCAGACATAAGAGTGATGAAACAGTTATTAAGAATTCCTGGCCGGGCGTGGTGGCTCACGCCTGTAATCCCAGCACTTTGGTAGGCCAAGGCGAGCAGAACATGAGGTCAGGAGATGGAGACCATCCTGGCTAACACAGTGAAACCCCATCTCTATTACAAATACAAAAAATTAGCCGGGCGTGGTGGCACGTGCCTGTAGTCCCAGCTACTCGGGAGGCAGAGGCAGGAGAATTGCTTGAACTGGGAGGTGGAGGTTGCAGTGAGCTGAGATTGCGCCACTGCATTCCAGCCTGGGCAACAGAGCAAGACTCTGTCTCAAAAAAAAAAAAAAAAAAAATTTAGCCGGTCATGGTGGTGGGCGCCTGTAATCCCAGCTACTTAGGAGACTGAGGCAGGAGAATCGCTTGAACCCAGGTGGTGGAGGTTGCAGTGAGCCGAGACTGCGCCACTGCACTCCAGCCTGGGCAACAGAGCGAGACTGCGTCTCAAAAAAAAATAATTCTTGCCTGGGCGTGGTGGCTCACGCCTGTAATCCCAGCACTTTGGGAGGCTGAGGCGGATGGATAACCCGAGATCAGTAGTTCGAGACCAGCCTGACCAACATGGAGAAACCCTGTCTCTACTAAAAATACAAAATTAGCCGGGCGTGGTGGCACATGCCTGTAATCCCAGCTACTTGGGAGGTTGAGACAGGAGAAGCACTTGAACCTGCGAGATAGAGGTTGTTGTGAGGCAAGATCATGCCATTGCACTCTAGCCTGAGCAACAAGAGTGAAAATCTGTCTCAAAAAAAAAAAAAAGAAAAAAAGAAGGCTGGGCATGGTGGCTTATGCCTGTAATCCCAGCACTTTGGGAGGCTGAGGCAGGCAGATCACCTCAGGTCGGGAGTTTGAGACCAGCCTGACCAACATGGAGAAATCCCATCTCTACTAAAAATACAAAATTAGCCGGGCGTGTTGGCGCATGCCTATAATCCCAGCTTTTCGGGAGGCTGAGGCAGGAGAATCGCTTGAACCTGGGAGGCAGAGGTTGCAGTGAGCCGAGAGCTTGCCATTGAGAGCGAAACTCTGTGTGGAAAAAAAAAAAAAGAATTCTTATTGGCTGGGTGCGGTGGCTCACACCTGTAATCCCAGCACTTTGAGAAGCCGAGGTGGGTGGATCATGAGGTCAGGAGTTCAGCCTGGCCAAGATGGTGAAACCCCGTCTCTACTAAAACTAGAAAAATTAGCCAGGCGCAGTGGCAGGCGCCTATAATCCCAGCCCCAGCTACTCAGGAGGCTGAAGCAGGAGAATCGCTTGGACCTGGATGGCAGAGGTTGCAGTGAGCCAAGATCACGCCATTGCATTCTAGCCTGGGTGACAGTGAGAATCTATTTCAAAAATAATAATAATAATAATTGGTATGGGAAATGACTTTGGAATGGCAGTATGAGGAGTTCCATGGATAGGATCCAGGAAGAATATTATAAAGGAAACAACCATCTTAAGTCTGTGGAAATTTTCTTCAAGGTATATGGCAAATACAGAAACATTTATTTGTTTATTTATTTTTGAGACAAAGTCTCACTCTGCCTCCCAGGCTGGAATGCAGTGGCACAGTCTTGGGTCACTGCAACCCCCTCCTCCCGGGTTCAAGCGATTCTCCCACATGGAGAATCCTTGTCTCTACTAAAAATACTAAAAAGCCTCCTGAGTACCTGGGACTACAGGCGCGCACTACCGTGCCCAGATAATTTTTGTATTTTTAGTAGAGACGGGGTTTTACCATCTCTGCTAAAAATGATGGCCAGGCTGTTCTCGAACTTCCGAGCTCAGGTGACCCACCCGCCTCGGCCTACCAAACTGCTGGGATTACAGGTGTGAGTGCCAGGTTCAAGTGCTTCTGCTTCAGCCTCCCCAGTAGCTGGGAACCCAGTTGCCCTTGCCCCCAGCTTGCTTGTAGGGTGGAAATCCTATGCTGGGAGGGGCGAATGGAGATTATCAGAAGCCACTGCTCTTGCCCTGCTGAGTAACAACACTAAATTTCATGCTAAATATAGCTGTAAGAACTCTTAAAAATTACCTAATTGCAACAGTTATCTGTTCTAAACCTAATAACCAGAGTTAACTTTGCAGACCATTAGTAGAATGTTAAAGTCAGAGAGGCATTTGTTACTGTTAACAAAGTGTTAAAAGAAAAGCTAAATTCTTGCCACTGGAAAAGGAGGAGAAGCCTGTCTCCACAAAGCACTGTGACCAGACTTTATTCATCTTCACAGTAGCAGTGCTGCTCAGCAATGTTTTGTCTTTTTTCACACGAAACTTTACATCTGAGGATCTTTTTTTTTTTTTTTTTTGAGACGGAGTCTCGCTCTGTCACCCAGGCTGGAATGCAGTGGCACGATCTTGGCTCACTGCAAGCTCTGCCTCCTGGGTTCACTCATTCTCTTGCCTCAGCCTCCTGAGTAGCTGGGACTACAGGCGCCCGCCACCGTGCCCAGCTAATTTTGTTTTTGTATTTTTAGTAGAGATGGGGTTTCACCGTGTTAGCCAGGATGGTCTTGATCTCCTGACCTCGTGATCTGCCCAACTTAGCCTCCCAAAGTGCTGGGGTTAGAGGCGTGAGCCACTGCGCCTGGCCACATCTGAAGATCTTACTGTGCGCTACGTTGTTGTATAAAGTTCTTCCAGAATTAGAAGAAATTTATTCCTCAAATGCATTTAGACATTGCCAGCTCCCAATTACTAGATATAAACTAGCTTAAATTTGAAATGGTGTTTGTGACCAGCAAATTGACAGTTAAGCTTAAAATGCCCAGATATCCATCTTGGTGTGGTGGCTCATGTCTGTAATTCCAGCACTTTGGGAGGATCACTGACTGCCAGGAGTTCAACACCAGCCTGGGCAACAAAGCAAGACCCCCATCTCTACAAAGAAAATTTAAAACACATGACTGTAGTCCTAGCTAATCAGGAGGCTGAAGTGGGAGGATCACTTGAGAGCAGGAGCTTGAGGCTGCAGTGAACTATGAATGTGCCACTGTACTCCAGCTCAGGCAACAGAGTGAGACCCTGTCTCTTAAAATAAGTAAAAATAAAAAAAGATGCCCTGATATCTATATATTTCTCTTCCTAGCTGAAAGAGAAGATAGTGCTAACGCACAATCGCTTAAAATCACTAATGAAGATTCTGAGTGAAGTGACTCCTGACCAGTCCAAGCCAGAAAACTGATCCTGTACCAAAGCTTGAGTGTCAGGTTCAGGCTTTATTGCTGTCTTCAACAACAGGTGCTGCTTAGTCATTTCTTGAAAAAGATTGGCTTCAAGAATGGAGGGGAAATGCAGTTTCTATTTACCTTTAGGCTGATTTTCCAAATTATTTGTGAAGCTGTTTTTAGAAGATGAGAGACTAAGGATTCTTCTCTTTTATAGCTATTTGCCTTAAGAACTTACTTTAGATTCTTATTGAATTCATAATACTTATCTCTGAAAATGTCTTTGACTGTAAATTTAGGAATTAAGATGCAGAGTCCCATGTGTCCTCTGATCTAAAGTTGCATGGTTGGTCTGAAAATAGAGTTGGGCTTAATGTTGACTTCTATTACTCCTGCATGGAGCAGTTGTTATGAATACTAATACATCACTTTTTAACTTCTGTAAAATACAGATCATAATATTCTATAGGTAATGTTTAATAAATTGCCTGAATAATATACAATTTGTCTTTTTCAGTTGTAAACTGAGGTTAACAGAGAAATAATGAAAGCAATGATAAAACGAAACAGTTACCAAAGTACTATTTTCTATAATTTTGTTTTATGTAGCACTTTGAGTAACTTATCAAAATATTAATTTAATATATATTTGTAAAGTGTTAGACTAGGTGCTGGGGATAAAAGGTAAGCAAAAATAGACACACTATCCTTAGAATTTATAATCTAGTCAGAGAGGGACATTCAAATAATCACATAAAGATACATAAAATTACAGGCCTGGCGCAGTGGCTCACATCTATAATTCCAGATTTTCGGAGGCCGAGGCAGTGGATCACTTGAGGTCAGGAGTTCAAGACCAGCCTCGCCAACGTGGTGAAACCTCGTCTCTACTAAAAATACAAAAATTAGCCAGGCATGGTGGTGCGCACCTGTAATCCCAGCTACTCAGGAACCTGAGGCAGAAGAATTGCTTGAACCCAGCAGGTAGAGGCTGCAGTCAGCCGAGATCGTGCCACTGCACTCCAGCCTGGGCGACAGAGTGAAACTCCATCTAAAAAAAAAAAAAGATATGTAAAATTATGACGCTAGTAAGGGTTTTGAAGTAAAGGAACATAGGGATACACGCACATAAAGCAGGTAACTGACCTGGTCTGGGTTTCTGGGAAAGAAAGCCTCTGTGTAGAAGTGAAGTTTCAGCGGTGGTCTGAAAGACGAATAGGAATTAATAAGGTGATGGAGGGATGACCTTTATGAGGTCCTTAAAAGAAGGCCTGCCTAATCAAATTTACTTTTTCAGAATGTCACTGTGGTTGTCCTGTGGAAAACAGGTGGGAAGGACAGCAAGCAGACCACTAAGGAGAGCCTTTGGCACTAGCACAATCAAGAAATTACATATCCAAGTGGTGGAGGATAGAAAAGCTAACTTGGCTGGGATGTAGCTAGCAGAATATATATATATAAATTTTTTTTTTTTCTTCCCGAGATGGAGTCTTGCTCTGTCGCCCAGGCTGGCGTGCAGTGGCCTGATCTCTGCAACTGCCATCTCCCGAGTGTTGAAGCGATTCTCCTGTCTCAGCCTCCTGAGTAGCTGGGATTACAGGTGCATGCCGCCACGCCCGGCTAATTTTTTGTATTTTAGTAGAGACGGGGTTTCACCGTGTTGCCCAGGGTGGTCTCGAACTCCTGAGCTCAGGCAAATCCACCCACCTTGGCCTCCCAAACTGCTAGGATAACAGGCGTGAGCCACTGCGACTGGCCTGCTTATGCTTTTTTTGAGGGGAGGGTGGTGAGACAGGGTCTCACTCTGTCACCCAGGCCTGAGTGCAGAGGTGTGAACATGGCCCACTGCAGCCTTGACTTCCTGGTCTCAAGTGATCCTCCCAACTGTATCCTGAATAGCTGGCACCACAGGTTTGTGTCACCACGCCTGGCTAATTAAAAAAAAAAAAAAAATTGTAGAGACAAGGCCTCACTGTGGGCTCAAACTGGGCTCAAGGGATCCTCACTTCAGCCTTCTGAAGTGTTGGAATTACAGCGGTGAGCCATTGTGCCAGGTCTGATTATGCGTAGAGTTGCAAAAATTTGGTCCTATAAGCAAGGTTGATGCTTTCTGGCAAAAACCAGCCCAATAAAAGCTTTTACTTTTTAAAGAATAAGACCTAATATAGGCCAGGTGCAGTGGCTCACGCCTGTAATCCCAGCACTTTGGGAGGCCAAGGCGGTCAGATCACGAGGTCAGGAGTTCCAGACCAGCCTGCCCAACATAGTGAAACCCTGTCTCTACTAAAAATACAAAAATTAGCTGAGCATGTGGCGTGTGTCTGTAGTCCCACTACTCGGGAGGCTGAGGCAGGAGAATCGCTTGAACCTGGGAGGCAGAGGTTGTGGGGAGCCAAGATCATGCCACTGCATGCCAGCCTGGGTGACAGAGTGAGACGCCGTCTCAAAAAAAAAAAAAAAAGACCTAATAAGTACCACATTGAGTCACCCCTGGTTGCTCTGGGCGACAGAGCAAGACTCCGTCTCTAAATAAATAAATAAATAAAATTAAATGCTTGACCTTTACGTCAAATTAAACTGGCTAGCTTTAAATAGATTTTTTTCAGATTACATGCTCACTCTAGAAAAAAGAGATGTGTGACAAAATACAGAGTGAAAGTATACTTCTTCCCTTTCTATTTTTTGAGAAGCACAATATAGCATCCTGGTAAGTGAGCAGGCTCTGGAACCAAACTGGATTGAAACTGTGGCTTGGGTACTTACTAGCCATGAACTGGAACAATTTATCTGTTTTAATTTCCTTCTATGTAAAATAGGGATAAAAACTATAGTAATTAGAGCTGTAGTGAGCATTAAATGAGTTAATTAATGCATCTAATGTAATTAGAGCAGTGCTTATCACATAGTTGGTGCTCAATGAATACTATTATTAAACTCCATGTATGTGGATACACAGAGACACAAAATAAAGGCAATTACAAATATGTTAGAAAAAGTATTCCAAAACTCCTTATGGCTGTAAAAGCAGCATTACATATTGAGGTTTGAATGGCTGCCTGTTCCATTGTACAACACACTGGAAACTGCTACAGCTAGGTCTCAAGTAACCTGGTCCTTTGTTCTTTAACATCTGAAGAGTACTTTGGCACAGGTCTTTGGAAAGGCTCCTTCTCCCATCATCAGTATGTACTGCATTATTTAAAATTACCCATTTCAAGTAACGACACACAATGAGATTTCAGTGCATTCTCAGCCCATGCTGCTTTATTGCTAAAATATATATATACACAGGTGCAGAGCTTCCAACTTTTTTAACAGTTCCTTTTTACATCAAAGAATTAAATTTCTTCAAAAACCCCAAAGATGCATAGATTAAGAAGCAAGCTGCCTTTTGTAATACTTAAAATAATATTCAATGAAACTCTTAACGTTATACACCAATGGTGCAATGGAGAATATGGAGGACAGCAAGTAAACACAGTGAGCAACTCTTATTCTTACAAGGCAGTAGGTAAAGTATAATGTGAAGGACAGTCTAAGATAATCTTTCTGGTTATAAGAAATGGGTCGGTTTTGTGATAAGTGCCAAGACTGTTACTGTTTAAGGATTGATGATAATGTATTACCAGAATACCTTTCTTATCCCTGGGAGAAAATATTTTTTCACTGATGGAATGACATATCACCAAGGGAGAAAAAAACCTGAATACTGTCAGTAACTAAGATACCTATTCTGACTTTAAAGAAGATTTAGGACTTCATGGAGAAATCTGTGATGTCTGGTTTCCCAAAATTAAGTATTTTAATGTGCCTTAGTGGAATAATCGGAGGAATTTAGAGAAACTCTGTTCTTAATCTTTACTGGCTGACAGACATGCTATCAAGTAATTGGGGAAGACAAACTATATTCAGGATATGACATCTCACTTCATATATTTCAATGGAAACCAAACATCACAGTCACAAGAAGTCTAATTCAATTCTGAACCACTGGAAAGTTACCATTCCACTTTATTCATTCCCAAAGTTATTTGTAGCAAAATCCTACAGGAAAGAATGAAATAAAAAGTTTTCAAAAAATTTTTTTCAATCATAGAATGTAAAACCTTGAATGTGCTTTGTGAAAATCATTTAGTCTAATCTTGAATTCTATTTAGGCTTGTTTCAGACATCATGAATGCCATTTTTACGTCATTTGTCACAATCACTTGTACTTATATAAGGGTTATTTTTAAAGTCAGGAATTTTCTCAAGGAAAATTTTAAGCTACTACAGGCCAGGTGCAGTGGCTCACACCTGTAATCCCAGCACTTTGGAAGGCTAAGGGGGGGCGGATCACGTAAGGCCAGGAGTTAAAGACCAGCCTGGCCAACATGGCGAAACCCCGTCTCTACTAAAAATACAAAAATTAGCTGAGGGTGGTGGTGCATGTCTGTAATCCCAGCTACTCGGGAGGTGGAGGTTGCAGTGAGCTGAGATCACATTGCTTCACTCCAGCCTGGGCGACAGAGTGAGACTGTTTAAAAAAAAAATTTTTTTAAGCTACTGCAATAAATTTGTTTATTCATCAAATAAAATAAATAGCAAGGATTTTCTTCTATTGGAAAAAATAGATAGCAAGGATTTTCTTCTAGTGGAAAAAGTTTCTCCTGTTTAACCTGGCATTAAAAGCTTTAGTCAAGAAATTGCAGTCTGGCCAAACCCATCAAGGATAAAACTTTGGCTATAAAATTTGTTTAAACTGTTTTTTATGCAATAAAATAACAAACTAACCACAGATCTGTCAGTATTTTCAGGACTATTCTACAAAAAGGAAGTCTCCCTTATTGCAGGGGTACTTTATAGTTGGTCATTGGTAGTTGGTACCAGTATCATCCACAACATGTGCCTAGTCATCTGAAAATCCTGAAATAGTGGAAATATGTGCATCCTGACTCTTTTCAACTCAAATCCCAGTTTTAAAAGACCTCAAACTTTGTCTACATAAAGCATATCATAAACAAACCCCATATCCATATCTAGTTATTTTACATACTCCATACTGGCATTCCCTACTTTCCTACTCTTTCTGAAACTCTGCACCTTTCTGATTATTACAGCCATAGCAGCTAGTTTTATTCAGCATGCTTAGTTTGTGTCTTTTGTTTTCAAACATGCTTGGGGACTAATGGAACCAGGCAAGTGGTTAGAGGGTGGGCACTGCTACGCCCTAGTCCTGACAGTTTGAATGTCTTGTGGTTGCCCCTGTTTATCTTCTACTTCCCATTTTCAATGGAAGTAAGAAAAATCCTTTATTAAAACATGAAAATAATCTGAATATATTCAAGCTATTGGTCTTAGTCTCTATTGCTTCATTATTAACAAATGCATATATAAAATAACTAGTAACCACAACACTGGACATTTTGAGTCATGCATTAGAATGTTCGTACTCTAAAACCAGAGTTAAGGTCCTGTCACTATTGCTTGCACTTTCAATCAGACCCAGTTTGAGTTTAATAAGCATGCAAAATAAATTCCTTGATTCAGAGGAATTACGGGACATAACAAGGATCCATGCAAGTTTCAACTCAAAAGTTGGGTTAATAATTGCTTAGAAATGCAGGTAGAAGCTCCACATCTATCACAATGCTGCTTCAGAAAAGGGATAGGAGTCATACACAAAAATGTTAAAATTAGGACCACTAGTCAGTTTTAAAAGGCTTATATGCAAATCCTGGTCCATCTGAGTAGAGAATGATGTACAAACTCTGGGAAAAGAAAGAGAATTGAGGGATGTAGAGTCTTAAGGAGCTGTTAATTTTCTTCGTGATTTACTGACAACTATAACAGGAGAGCATAGGTGGTTTAGGGGGATGGTTAAGATGCTCTTAGGCAGAATGGTTTCTTTTCTGATTCATGCTAATGAGCATTACCTGCATAGCTCCCTGGGGAAAAAAATGATAACGAGCAGGGCTAATACAATGTAAACTCAAGCTATCAATACCCTGAAATTTAGCACAGCCCTCTGCTTTTTAAAACTGTTCACCAAGGGATCCTTCCAAATAGGATATAATTAATAGCCAAGCAATGTTCATTAATAAACTAAAGCAATCTGCTTGAACCAACAGCACCATGAGAATGTAAACTCCTGGAGGCCAAGAGTCTTCATCTTTTTGCATATCACAGATACAAGAAGAGTAAACATGAGACCACAGTAACTTTGAAAAGTAATTAACTGTATACTTTCAAGACTATGAAAAACTCGTAGTATATTTTAGCATTTAGATGTATTAACATGGCTGTTAAGGGTAATCTTTAATTGTTCCAAGTAACTGAACTGCTGACATCATTGTACTATGTAGCGCTGTCCCCAGATAGTGCAGATGTCTGAATATTGCTTGGTTATTCCCATGTCTCTAAGACCAACTGACAGCATAGGACATTTTAAGAGGAGCTATAATCAACTTAACATAGCCTTTTCCCTGTGTGTTAGTTGTCATGTAAGAATTAAATATTAAAGAGGCACTATTTCTTAGATCTACATCACTTCGTTTTTTCCCTGGGAAAACAAAGACCCAGTCTTTTCAGGGATAGTCAAGGTGCTAAAAGGCCAAGATAGACATCAGGTGAAAGGGAGTGAAGTCACCCTAGTTCCACTATTATATTCTGATGTGAGCTGTGTGGTTCCTCAGATCAAGAAAGAAACTAGTTTGCTGAGTTCTCATTGATAAAGAATAAGCAGTCACAGGCCATAGGACACATCTATATTAGACAAGGTTTCACACCTCACCCACTGAAACATATTCACTGGCTATTCCTTTCAGTCCTTCTGCTTTGCATCTTTAAATCCTAACTCCCTAATCATAAGCATGAGAGAAATCCGGCTTATCCATGTTCTTGGGAGTTTTTTTAAAACATTAAACTCACAAACTTCTCTCCCTTTAAAAAAAATGTACCCAGGAAACCAGTGGAGAAAGATGAGGAGACAAAGCAGAAAGTATACCATTCTACAAAATAAATGCCTGTTGCTAAAACATCGTAAGCAAAAAACCCATAGAGCGGCTTCAGTGGGGCTGTAGTACATTTGTTTCCAGGTTAAGCACTATAAAGGTTTAATTTCAACAGCTCTAACCCTCTGATTTAGGAAACAAGCAGGGTCTTTAACCTTTAACTTACAAAAAAGATTATTTCTCACATAAAGATAAATTCATATACATTCATACTGTTCTAAAAGAAAGTACCTTTCATATGCTCTTTATCCAGAACATTTTTTCCTTTTGTGCATTTTTTGTTTGTTTGAGGTGGAGTCTTACTGTCACCAGGCTGGAGTACAGTGGTGTGATCTCAGCTCACTGCAACCTCCGCCTCTCAGGTTTAAGTGATTCTACTGCCTCAGCCTCCTGAGTAGCTGGGATTACAGGCATGTGCCACCATGCCCAGCTAAGTTTTGTATTTTTAGTAGAGATGGCATTTCACCATGTTGGCCAGGATGGTCCTGATCTCTTGACCTTGTGATCCGCCCACCTTGGCCTCCCAAAGTGCTGGGATTATAGGTGTAAGCCACCGCACCTGGCCCTTGTGCAACTCTTGGTTGCAGAGCCCCACAAACTCCAGTAGTATCACTTATTCTATTGTACAACCTTGCTAATGCAAATTACTATACATGCACAAACTTATTGCTACTAAAATTCTACCTCTTGAAAATTACTATTAATTTTATGGCTTTTTTTTTCAACAGGAAATATCCTTTCCTATATATTGTGCTATTCTGTATTCACTACCTTTTCAGTTTTTTTTTTTTTTTTTTTTTTTTTTTTTAAGTTAAATGCTTTTCAGTAATGGATTCTCCCAGGCACTAAACTACTTAAGCCAGGAGTATAACTACTTCAAATACACTATGAGAACCTAAACTTGGGTCTCTGGAGATCTGCTGCCAGAGTCTACTTGTTCTAACCTGTGTATGCGCAAGATACACCACATTATAATAGTTTTGCATTTGCTATCATACATTAGTTATGTAGAATCTGTGTCAGCAAATGCTGGACTCTCCCTAATACTGAAATTTAAAAATCACCTCAGAAAACTGCCAGTTCTGAGTTCTCAAGGCAGCTTTTAGAGGTAGGAATTCCTTCTCTACAGAAAGCTATCTTATTCTTTCAGAACAAAATGACTGTTTTATTTCCACAAGTAAAGTAGATAAAAGTGAAAGCTGTCTGAGGCTTACTATACCCAAGAGAAAGTCTACTCACTACGTAGCAACCTAGGTAGGTGCCACCCAGCTACATTTCCAGTTCTCATGAAAAGATCTGAAAATCCCATCAATAGACAATTCAGCACATTTGGAAATAGGAAGAGCCCTAACAAATAATTGAATACTCCAAATTACTGAGTGTTTGCACACAGCATGCTGCAAACAGGAAATGTAAATGGTCTGCAGATTAGAAAAGCACTCACTGAAGCAATTAACAGCATCTCCATAAGACATGCAAAATGTAATTTCTTGACATACAAGGAGTAGGAAAATAATGAAACTAAAAGACATGCCATGTTAAGACATGAAAAGAGCAGGCCAGGTGGATTACTTGAGGTCAGGAGTTTGAGACCAGCCTGGCCAACACAGCAAAACCCCGTCTCTACTAAAAATATAAAAATTAGCTGGGCGTGGTGGCACGTGCCTGTAGTCCCAGCTACTCGGGAGGCTGGGGCACGAGAATCACTTGAACCCAAGAGGCAGAGGTTACAGTGAGCAAAGATTGTGCCACTGCACTCCAGCCTGGGTGACAGAGTGAAACTCTATCTCCCCCCCACCCCAAAAAAAGAGCAAAGCAGAATAATTAAATGCGGTCTCATTTTGACTTGAGGTTTCATAAGACACAAAGACAGCTGGTTTCCAGATACCTTATGGAAAGCTGAAATGTCCTCAAATATAGTATCTCAGATTTTGACCCCACATTTCTATTCATAAATGAGTCTTTTGGGCCTTAATCTCTTTTCCCCAGGAAGAATATAACAGATTTAGACATTATGGAAAAAGAAAAGGTTTAGATTTTCCACTCTTTTTACACTATTTGTTATTATCAATAATTCATCCTGAAGTTTAAAATCACTAGACTCATGCACTAACCCCTAACATGGCACTACAATATGCTACCAAGCACTAATGCTTACAAAACTATACACATCTCAAAATGGAAGACATTGGTGATTTTGTTGTTCTTAAACAACTTGTAACATTTGTCCACAAGTATTAAAATATACATATATATATATATATTTCTATTGCACATATCCCGGTTTTAACTTTTCAAAAGAAAAACTGCCAGCTAACATGGATGAGCAAGGGAAAGGAAGGAAGCATGGCTACAAATCGACGTATAGTCCTGCCTAAAATTATAGCTTTTCCTATCAAGGGGACCAAAATAGACAAGAAAAAAATGTAGATGTGTTAAGTAAACACTGGGCAACTACAGCTGGAATATATCCATTTTGTTAAATGCATCTGGTCTGAAGCATGGAAGATACAATTTCAAGAGCATTAAACACTGGTTCTCTCAACTGTATATAAAGCATATAGAGACGCTGAGTCTGATAGCTATTCAAACAAGTGGGCCAGAGCTGGTTTCAATGGTGCCAAAAGTACAGGTACTCTACCCCCTGCCAAATGATCCTACCAAAAAAGATGCCAGAAGTACACAGAGAAGATGGGTTTAACAGACACCTGGAAGGTGTCTCCATTCTCCATGATATGACATTTTCAACATACTAGTGGAACACCATATATGTAGGCTCCATTCTGTCTTGAACAGTTCCAAAATATTAAAGAAAAACATCAGGAAGTTGGTAGATTACTTAAGAGAAAAATTTGAGTTACTTTTAACCAAAGTGATTTCTACTATGCTTTTATCACTCAGTAGCTGCCCTCAAAAAAAGAAATATTTTATATATAATATGTAATTATTTTACTGAAAGTATTTTTTACCCATTTCAAATGGGCTGATTGACCAATCTCACTAATAATAAGAGTGCTCACCATTTCCCATTTTAGGCCATTTTTATCACTCTCAAATTTTGGTGAATCTTCCCTAAGTTCCCAGCATCACAGCATTCATGGACCTGAGTAAACATTCCGGAAAACACAGAGATGTTCCAATACTCTGTTCTTAATTTCATCTAATTAGTTTTAAAATTTATTCTCTACTCACAAGAAGCATAAATAAAGGTTTCACTCTTATATAAAGACCTGACAATACATACAATGGTCCTCTGCTGATTTGGAAGCAAAGACAGTTTTCTACGACAGTCTGTTCTTTATAATGTATAACTGTTGTGGGAAAAAAGAAAATCCATTTCTTATTGTAATTATTTTTCTTATTTGAGGTTTCTTTTCCACGATGACCCAACCACAAGTTTGGGAACATTGCTTCTGAGGCCCATTCTCTGATGAGAAAGTTCAGTCCCAACTGGGGAAAGTACCTGAGTCCCAGCCTTTTCAGCCTAGAAATCAGGCTGAGCGTGGTGGTGCGCGCCTGTAATCCTAGCTACTTGGGAGGCTGAGGCAGGAGAATCGCTTGAACCCGGGTGGGAGAGACTGCAGTGAGCAGAAATCACGCATCACTCCAGCCTGGGCAACAGAGAGAGACTGCCTCAAAAAATAAATAAATAAATAA
The DNA here is from genome assembly GCF_000001405.40 of Homo sapiens. Lineage (NCBI taxonomy): Eukaryota > Metazoa > Chordata > Mammalia > Primates > Hominidae > Homo > Homo sapiens. The sequence goes on along the minus strand of NC_000015.10, from coordinate 41,299,121 downwards.
ATAAAAATCAAACATCCAAGTATCCACCTTGGGTTGCAGGAAGAGTTAATCTTATGCGTTTATTAAAAAAAGTAACTATATAATGTGAAACACCATAAAGTCAGATGGCACTGCATGAGGGATTTTTGCTTCTTTTTCTTAAGGAAAAGGAGTTACATGGAAAATTCTCTCATCCTCCCCCCTCTGCCCCCAACTCCTCTATGTCCAAAGTTGTTTTTTATTTTTCTGAGACGGAGTCTCACTCTGTCGCCCAGGCTGGAGTGCAGTGGTGCAATCTCAGTTCACTGCAACCTCCGCCTCCCGGATTCAAGCAATTCTCCTGCCTCAGCCTCACGAGTAGCTGGGATTACACGTATCTACCACCACACCTGGCTAATTTTCTATTTTTAGTAGAGATGGGGTTTCTCCATGTTGGTCAGGCTGGTCTCAAACTCCCAACCTCAGGTGATTTGCCTGCCTTGGCCTCCCAAAGTGTTGGGATTACAGGTGTGAGCCACCACACCCGGCCTAGGTTTTTGTTTAAAATTGGGCCTTTGTTCCTATTCAGTAAATCTATGTCACAGGATGAGCCAGGATTTAAATATACAAATATAAATTTTTAGTATCTTTCACGTCAAATTAGAAACACATATTTGGAATTTACTGCTGCAGTCTCAACTGTGCTTATCATGGTAGTGGCTGAAACTGGAAGACATTTTTTTTAAACCCTGAAGTCATTCATACTTGCTACTTCTTTAGTCTTCTTGCTTGGAATGAAAAGTATTCACAAATACCACCACCTAAGCACCTGTTTCAAATGAAACTCAGCCTTCTGCTTGCAAAATGATGTCTTTATAATTAAGCAAACAGCAAAAGACCCATGTGAGTTGCTTCTTTCTTCCTGGAGATGTTAGCAGGATAACTGGAATCCTAGGAGCTCCTCTGTGTTGAATTTGAGAGGCAGAACAAAAAGAAAAGTGGCCTTTTCCATTCCAAATCATGGAGGTAATGTGTAGAGAAGTGATAGCCACATTTCAAAAACGGGAAAGTAACTGGGTAAAAGAAGCAGGACTACCCACTCTAGGAGACAACATAGAGACACCTAGAAATACAAAATAAAAACAGAAAGATTAGGACAGGTACTTTTGCATAAGCTGACTCAAAACAATATCTAAAATGTAAAGAAAAGAATAGGCCGGGTGCAGTGGCTTACATCTGTAAACCCAGCACTTCGGGAAGCCGAAGTGGGTGGATCACCAGGTCCGGAGTTCAAGACCAGCCTGGCCAACATGGTGAAACCCCGTCTCTACTAAAGATACAAAAATTAGCTGGGCGTGGTAACGGGTGCCTGTAGTCCCAGCTACTCAGGAAGCCGAGGCAGGAGAATCGCTTGAACCTGGGAGGCAGAGATTTCAGTGAGCCAAGATTGCATCAGTGCACTCCAGCCCAGGCAACAGAACGTGACTCCGTCTCAAACAAACAAACAAACAAACAAAAAAAAGAATATTTTGGATTACATATTATCTAGAAGAAAATGACCAACCATAACACCAAATTCAGTACTATTATCAGAAAAGCAATAACAGCTAGAAAAAAAAAATACAAGCATGATACAAAAAAAGCTGGATTTATACAAGCATGATACAAAAAACTTTTGCATATAAAACATTTTTTTTTGTTTGTTTTTGTTCTTTCTTTGAGACAAAGTCTTACTCTGCTGCCCAGGCTGGAGTGCAGTGCTGTGATCTCAGCTCATTGCAACCTCTGCCCCCTGGGTTCAAGTGATTCTCCTGCCTTAGCCTCCCAAGTAGCTGGCATTACAGGCATGTACCACCACACCCGGCTAATTTTTGTATTTTTAGTAGAAACGGGGTTTCACCATGTTGGCCAGGCTGGGTTCAAACTCCTCACCTCAAGTGATCCACTCGCCTCAGCCTCCCAAAGTATTGGGATTACAGGCGTGAGCCACTGGGCCCGGCCACATTTGTGTTTTAAAGTAGCACTGAGCCAGGTGCAGCAGCTCACACCTGTAATCCCAGCACTTTGGGGAGGCTGAGGCAGGGGGATCCCTTGAGCCCAGGAATTGGAGACCAGCCTGGGCAACATATCAAGACCCCACTCTACAAAAAATAAAAAATTAGCAGGGCGTGGTGGTGCCCTCTTGTGGTCCCAGCTACTTTGGAGGAGGCTGAAGCAGGAGGATCGCTTGAGCCCTGGAGGTTGAGGTTGCAGTGAGCCATGATTGCACCACTGCACTCAGCTTGGGCAACAGAGTGAGACTCTGTCTCCAAAAAATAAAAATGAAAAATAAGGTAGCACTGCATCTTCGCTTGCACCTCCTATCAAAAGAAAAAAGAAACAAAAATAAACACAAGTAGCACTGTACTCCAAATTTGATATCTAAATATATAATACTCAAAACCATATATATCTTACTCTGAATCACCTTCAACTACCAGCAATAAACGGTATTTTATAAAATATAACTGTAAGTAAAATATATACTGTTCCATTATCACCAAATGTAAACATGTAAATACTAAATCAAGGCCAGGCACAGTGGCTCACGCCTGTAATCTCAGCAGTTTGGGAGGCCTAGGCGGGTGGATCACCTGAGGTCAGGAGTTCAAGACCAACATGGCCAACATGTTAAAAATACAAAATCTCTATTAAAAATACAAAAAAATTAGCTGGGCATGGTGGCGGGTGCCTGTAATCCCAGCTATTCAGGAGGCTGAGGCAGGAGAATCACTTGAACCTGGAGGCGGAGGTTGCAGTGAGCCAAGATTGTGCCACTGCTCACCAGCCTGGGTAACAAGAGTGAGACTGTCTGAAAATTTTTTTTAAAAAGTACATCAAGTTCATTGCTGCTAAATCTAAAAACTGTTAAATTTGCAAAAAGAAGTTAGACACAAAAGGGCAAATATTGTATAATTCCACTTACATCAGATACAACAGTCAAATTCATAGAGATTTAGAGTAGAGAGGTTACTAGGGCTGTGGGAGCGGAGATGGGGAGATTAATGAGTACTGAGTTTGTTTGAAATGATGAAAAAATTCTAGAGATAATGGTAATGCGTATACAACAATGTGGAATATACTTAATGCCAATAAACTGTACACTGTAAAATATTTAAGAGTTTTGTTATGTATGCTCTACAATAATAAATACATCACAGATGCCCGTCAAAGGCTTAAATAATTTTAGTTTACAAAAATGGCCAATAGCGATTCGCTAACTAGTCTTTCTAGCCCACTATTTTCAGTCTGTCATATACATTAAAAAATACCTCAACTGTAAATTGAACCTAAATAACCTCTTCTGGTTGAAGATAGGGTTCTTATTCAAAGCCTAGGAAAGCCAAACGTATATTAATCCAGAATCAAATCAGGAGGAAAAATAGTGCAGAATTTGCACTTGTTGCAAAAGCAGCATGGAAGAAGAAAAAGTAAAGATCCACAGGTACACCTTTAGAACCCTATGAGCAGCAGGGCTGCTTCATTACAGAGGCTGACTTGAAACCCAGGAGGTGGAGGTTGCAGTAAGCTAAGATAGCGCCATTGCCCTCCAGACCAGCAACAGAGCAAGACTCTGTCTCAAAAAAAAAAAAAAAAAAAAGTGTATGTAAAAAAAAATGCACACCTTGGCCGGGTGCGGTGGCTCACATCTGTAATCCCAGCACTTTGGGCGGCCAAGCTGGGAGGATCACGAGGTCAGGAGTTCGAGACCAACCTGGCCAACATGGTGAAACCCCTGTCTCTACTAAAAATACAAAAATTAGCCAGGTGAGGTGACGGGCGCCTGTAATCCCAGCTACTTGGGAGGCTGAGGCATGAGAATTGCTTGAAACTGGGAGCTGGAGGTTGCAGTGAGCCGAGATCAGGCCACCTGCACTCCACCTTGGGTGACAGAGCAAGACGCCGTCTGGATGGGGGAGGAAGCACACCTTGAACATATATAAACTTTGTCCCCCAATCTATATCTTAATATTAGGCAATAACACTAGCAAATCATAAGCTTATATTCTCTTCAGAATGCCCAATTTCATATCTCAGACATGACTATTCAATTTATACACTCTTACACACAGGTATATATGTGTATGTATCATTAACGGCAGGATGTAACTAACCCATTTGAGGATGGCTGTCTGGGCACAGTGGCTCACACCTATGATCCCAGCACTTTGGGAGGCTGAGGCGGGGAAAGACTGCTTGAGCTCACGAGTTCGAGACTAGCCTGGCAATATACTGACATTCTGTCTCTACAAAAACTGAAAAAATTAGCAAGTGCGGTGGCATGTGCCTGTAGTCCCGACTACCCAGGAGGCTGAAGTGGGAGAATCGCTTGAGCCCAGGAGGTGAAGTTGTAGTGAGCTGAAACTGTGCCACTACACTCCAGCCTGGGCGACAGTGAGACCCTGTCTCAAACAACAACAAAACTCAGAATGGCTGAATAAATAGCAGCTTAGTGTAAAAGCCAAAATTTATGACCTTCAGTTCCTCCTAAGATCTGCACCCTGATCTCTTCTGACCATAGCTTGATCATGGGCTCTAACCACAATGGACTCTGCTCTTTCTGAAACGTTAGGCATGCTCCTTACAGCCTTTGTAGTGGCTGTTCCCACACTGGGAAGACTCTTCCCCCAGGTATCTGCGTAACTAGTCCCCTTGCAGGTCTCTAAATATCATTTCTTCAATGAGGCCTACCTTGGGCCCCTATATAAACCTGTATCTTCCCCTCATCCTACACACAGATACTCTCCCAACACTGCCCTTTATCCTGCTCTACTTTTCCCTTTATCCACAGCACGTGACACTATCTAGGAATTTACAAGAGGTACTTATTTCATTTCTCACTTACTGTTTTGTCTAAAATGTAAGATCCACTGGAAGGATCCTGTTTTGTTCACTGATGAATTACAAGCACCCAGAATAGCATGTGACCCATGGTAAGCACTTGATGAAAATTTGTTGAATAGTTTGGGTGCCGTGGCTCACCCCTGTAATCCTAGCACTTTGGGAGGCCAAGGTGGGTGGATCACCCAAGGTCAGGAGTTCGAGACCAGTCTGGCCAACATGGCAAAACCCCATCTCTACTAAAAATACAAAAATTAGCCAGGCATGGTGGCATACGCCTGTAGTCCCAGTTATTTGGGAGGCTAAGGCAGGAGGACAACTTGAGTCCGAGGGGCAGACGTTGCAGTGAGACGAGATCGCACCACTGCATTCCAACCTGCGTGACAGAGCGAGACTTTATCTTAAAAAAAAAAATTAAAAATAAAAAAAATCTGTTGAATACATGAATAGTAGGGCTCTTAAATGCTTAGCCAACATGAACTAAAAATATAATTAGACACAATCTAGAAAACCTAGTTTTCTTTGAGATGGAGTCTCACTCTATCGCCTGGGCTAGAGTACAATGGCACAATCTCGACTCACTGCAACCTCTGCCTCCCAGGTTCAAGCGATTCTCCTGCCTCAGCCTCCCGAGTAGCTGGGATTACAGGTGCCTGCCACTATGCTAATTTTTTTTATTTTTAATTTTTTTTGTATTTTTAGTAGAGATAGGGTTTCAGGATGTTGACCAGGCTGGTCTCAAACTCCTGACCTTTTTTTTGTATTTTTAGTAGCGATAGGGTTTCACCATGTTGACCAGGCTGGTCTCGAACTCCTGACCTCGTGATTCACCCACCTCGGCCTCCCAAAGTGGTGGGGTTACAGGCGTGAGCTACCACAACCAGCTGCTGAAAATCTAGTTTTCTGGATTTATCAACTGCAACTATACAACGGATACACAAAACTTACAAATAAATTTCCCCTAAAGTTGGCCTCACATTAGGTACTTTCAAGTGGCTGAAGTTACTTACTTGCTTACTGGTGCTGATTATACAAAGTAACTTTCTACTAAAAAACCTGACTTATTGGGAGGATCGAAAAGGAGAACAGGCCGGGCACGGTGGCTCACGCCTGTAATCCCAGCACTTTAGGAGGCCAAGGCGGGTGGATCACCTGAGGTCAGGAGTTCGAGACCAGCCTGACCAACATGGAGAAACCCCCATCTCTACTAAAAATACAAAATTAGCCGGGCGTGGTGGTGCATGCCTGCAATCCCAGCTACTCGGGAGGCTGAAGCAGGAGAATCGCTTGAACCCGGGAGGCGGAGGTTGCAGTGAGCCAAGATTGTGCCATTGCACTCCAGCCTGGGCAACAAGAGCGAAACTCTGTCTCAAAAAAAGAAGAAAAAAAAAAAAATTTATGTGGACACCTTAGGTAAGCTAGCTTGTGAGCCAATGATTTTCTGTGCTATCCAGCCTCCAAAATAGCCACCAGTGATTGCTGCCTCCTGGTATTCAGGCCTTTTTACAGTCTCCTCCAACAATGAATCAGGGTTAATCTATGTGACTGTTGTATAATAAAGACTTTGACTGCCCTTTGTTCCTGGAAAGGATACTCTAAATCCTTAGAATTTGGAGTAAATAAGCCAGTGGAAATTAAATAATACACTCCTAAACGAGTCAAAAAATAAATCAAAAAGGAAATTACAAAGTACCTTGAGACAAATGAAAACTTAACAAAAACTTATGGGATGTGGTGAAAGCAATGCTAAGAGGGAAATTTATAGCTGTAAATGCTCACATCAAAATAGACCTCAGCCAGCAGTGGTGGCACATGCCTGTAGTCCCAGCTGCTCAGGAGGCTAAGGTGGGAGAATCACTTGAGGCCAGGAGTGCGAGGCTGCAGTGTGCCATGATCACACCTGAGAAAAGCCACTGAACTCCAGCCTGGGTAACAGAGCAAGACCTTGTTTCTAAAAAGTTGGCCAGGCACAGTGTCTCACACCTGTAATCCCAGCACTTTGGGAGGCCAAGGCAATTGGATCACTTGAAGTCAGGAGTTTGAGACCAACCTGATCAACATGGGGAAAACCCACCTCTACTAAAAATACAAAAATTATCTGGGCATGGTGGCGCATACCTGTAATTCCAGCTACTCGGGAGGCTGAGGCAGGAGAATTGCTTGAACCCGGGAGGCAGAGGTTGCAGTGATCTGAGATTGTGCCACTGCACTCTGGCCTGAGCAACAGAGTGAAACTCCGTCTCAAAAAAAAAGTAAAAAGACCTCAAATCAACCAACCTAACTTTAAAGGAACTAAAAACAATAAGAAAACCAACGAAATCAAAAGCTGGTTCTAAGAGGGTCATGGGACTCTCCAAATCTGTAGCCACTTGGTCGAAAATGCAGGTGGCTGGGGGTACCTCCGAAGTACAGCTGGCATCTGAAGTGAGGACAGTCTTGTTGAGGACCATGCCCTTTGACCTGTGAGGTCTATGCTAATTCTTGGGTGGTGTCAGAAATGTATTGCCATGGCCAGGCTCAGTGGCTCATGCCTGTAATCCCAGCACTTTGGGAGGCCAAGACGGGCAGATCACGAGGTCAGGAGGTCGAGACCATCCCAGCTAACACCGTGAAACCCTGTCTCTACTAAAAATACAAAAAATTAGCTGGGCGTGGTGGCAGACGCCTGTAGTCCCAGCTACCTGGGAGGGTGAGGCAGGAGAATGATGTGAACCCAGGAGGCAGAGCTTGCAAGTGAGATTGCGCCACTGCACTCCAGCCTGGGGAACAAAGCGAGACTACGTGTCAAAAAAAAAAAAAAAAGAAATGTATTGCCATGTACCACTTGATGTCAGAATACTGACCAACAGAACAAGGAGGAAGTGACAGTGAGTGACTTCTGCGGCAAAGTCATAGAGTAGACTATGGCTTTTGCCTTATTCTCTTAGATTGCTTGTTTAGGGAGAAGCCAGCCACCGTATAAGAGTACTCAGACAGCCCTGAAAGAGGCCTACATTGGGAGGAAATGAAACTTCCCCCTAAACAGCATGAATGTGCCAGCCATGTAAATGTGTCACCACAGAACTCCATCAGACTTCAAGCTTTTTTTTTTTTGAGACGGAGTCTTGCTCTGTTGCCCAGGCTGGAGTACAGTAGCGTGCCATCTCTGCTCACTGCAAGCTCCGCCTCCCAGGTTCATGCCATTCTCCTGCCTCAGCCTCCCCAGTAGCTGGGATTACAGGTGCCCAACACCACACCCGACTAATTTGTGTGTGTTTTTAGTAGAGACAGGGTTTCACCGTGTTAGCCAGGATGGTCTCGATCTCCTGACCTCGTGATCCGACTGCCTTGGCCTCCCAAAGTGCTGGGATTACAGGCATGAGCCACCGTGCCTAGCCAGATTTCAAGCTTTTAAGAGACCCTAAGCCAGAACCTCCCCAGAGCTAAGCTATTACCAAATTCTTGAGAGACGTAATACATATTTGTTGTTGTTTTAATCTACTGAGTTTTGGGTTATTTGTTATACAGCAATAACTAATATACTTTGCTTCCTCTAAGGACAGAGAGAATGATGTATCCCGGGAGTTAGTGCACCTTTTTTACTTCACTATGTAAATAGGGAATTTAGAATATATTTCACAAAACACAATGAATACTATTATCACTATCAATCAAATTAAGTTTATAAGTGTCATATTAAAAAAAAAACCTTCCTAGCTGGGCGTGGTGGCAGGCCTGTAATCCTAACTACTCAGGAGGATGAAGCAGGAGAATCACTTGAACCCCGGAGGCGGAGGTTGCAGCAAGCACCAATGTACTCTAGCCTGGGCAACAGAGTGAGACTCTGTCTCAAAAAAATAAATAATTAAAAAAAAAAAAAAACTTACCAGGCGCGGTGGCCCAAGCCTGTAATCCTAGCACTTTGGGAGGCTGAGGGGGGTGGATCACCTGAGGTCAGGAGTTGGAGACCAGCCTGGCCAACATGGCAAAACTCCATCTCTAATAAAAATACAAAAATTAGCTGGGTGTGGTGGCAGACACCTATAATCCCAGGTACAAGAGAGGCTGAGGCAGGAGAATAGCTTGAACCTGGGGGGTGGAAGTTGCAGCAAGCTGAGATTGTGCCACTTCACTCCAGCCAGGGCAAAAAACCAAAACAAACAAACAACAACAAAAAAACTTGCTGGGCTAGGTGCTCAATTTCTGCCCCCTAGATAGGGATATACTATATCGATGTAAAACTGTTGCTTGAGCAAAAATTTAAGTTGTCATTTATCAAATATTTATTCAGTGCTTCCTTTCTTTGAAAATTCTAAATTATTTATTTGAATAAATATATGCACGAGATAAGGTAAAATAGGGTAAACAGTGTTTCTTGCATATCCTTTTAGGAATATTCTATGGCTACAAAACATCTCTAGAGACATTTCCCACAAATGAAAGCACACTATATATTGTTCTGTACCTTGCTTTTTCTGTTAATGTATCTTAGAGATCATTCCATATCAGGACAAAGTACCAGTCTGTAAGTAAAGTACTACCTTTGATGTACTTTATTTACATCAGTTCTCTACACCATATATATATATATATATATATATATATATATATATATATATATATATATATATTTTTTTTTTTTTTCCCCCTGAGACAGTGTTGCTTTGTTGCCCAGGCAGTGGTGCAATCTCAGCTCACTGCAACCTCTATCTCCCAGGTTCAAGCAATTCTCCTGCCTCAGCCTCCAGAGTAGCTGAGACTACAGGCACTTACCACTATGCCCGACTAATTTTTGTATTTTTAGTAAAGACACAGTTTCACCATGTTGGCCAGGCTCATCTCTAACTCCTGACCTCAAAGAACCCACCCGCCTTGGCTTCCCAAAGTGCTGGGATTACAGGTGTGAGCTAACACACCCAGCCTACAGATGGATATTTAGATTACTATAAATATTGTGCTATACCAATGTCAAGTTTCTATTATTGTCTACTTGGACTTAAAGTTGTAAATCCAAGTGGTAAGGCCTTCTTCACTCTAAAGGGCATTTTGCCTCATCAGTTTTTATTCCCTTTCTTACTACTGATATATATATATCAATCATATATATCATATATACACACACATATATACATATACATACAAAGATTGTTTTATTTTTCAATGTTTTTATTGTGATAAAATACACATAAAATTCACCATATTAACCCTTTCGAGTATACAATTCAGTAGTATTAAGTACATTCATACTGCTGTGCAACCATCACCGTAATCCATCTCCAGGACTCATTTCTTCTTCCCAAACTGAAACCTTGTACACATTACACAGTAATTCCCTCTCGCTGCCCTTCCTGCAACCCCTGGCAACCATCATTCTACTTTCTGTCTCTATAATTCTGATGCTGCCCAAGCTGGGGTGCAGTGGCTATTCACAGGCACAATCAGCATACTGCAGCCTTGAACTTCAGGCCTCAAGCAATCCTACTACCTCAGTTTCCAGAGTAGCTGGGACTACATACAAGGTTTCAATCCTTGAAGCAGTTGTACACTGAATGGTTTTCATATAATTAATCAAGGTATAAGTAGGTGTTAATGGGTTGAACTGTGTCCTCCCAATATTCGTATGTTAAAAGTCCTAGCCCCTACTACCTCATACTGTGACCTTATTTGGTAATAGAGTCATTACAGATGTCAGCAGCTAAGATGAGGTCATTAACAGAGCAGGATGGACCCCAATCCAATATGACTAGTCTCCTTATATTAGGACTCAGATACACACACAGGAAGAACTTCATGTGAAGACTGGAGTTATGCTGCCACAAGTTAAGGAACCACAAGAAATTAGAAGGACTGGAAATTTTTTTTTCAGTGCCTTCAGAGGGACGGCCCTGCCAACACTTTGGTTTTAGACATCTGACCTTTATTTATAACTATCAAACAATTTCTGTTATTCTAAGCTACCCAATTTGTGGTGCTTTGTTACAGCAGGCCTAGGAAACTAAAACTAACACAGTAGGTATGAAGCCTATTTTGCAGATATAATGTCACTGTCAATTAAGAAAGGACACACTGGCCAGGCGCGGTGGCTCACACCTCCAATCTCAGCATTTTGGGAGGCTAAGGTGGGCGGATCACGAGGTCAGGAGTTCAAGACGAGCCTGCCCAATATGGTGAAACCCCATCTCTACTAAAAATACAAAAATTAGCTGGGCGTGGTGGCAGGTGCCTATAATGTCAGCTACTCAGGAGGCTGAGGCAGGAGAATCGCTTGAACCCGGGAGGCGGAGGTTGCAGTGAGCTGAGATTGCGCCATTGCACTTCAGCCTGGGCGACAAGAGCAAAACTCTGTCTCAAAAAAAAAATTAAATAAATATATTCCAAAATTTGCCTCGTTTAAGAGAAGAATGAATTATTATTAACTGTTCGCGGGAGTGTAGATCAGAACAGCCACTATGGAAAAACAGTATGGAAATTTTTTTTTGAGACGGAATCTCACTCTGTAGCCCAGGCTGGAGTGCAGTGGCGCGATCTTGGCTCATGGCAACCTCCGCCTCCCAGGTTCAAGCGATACTCCTGCCACAGCCTCCTGAGTAGCCAGGATTACAGGCATGAGCCACCGCGCCCAGCTGGGAGGTTTCTAAAGAAATTAAAAATGGAACCACCACATAACCCAGCACTCCCTCTTCTGGGCATATAACCAAAAAACATGAAATCACTTCATAAAGATGTCTGCACTCCTATGTTCAGTGGAACATTATTCACAATAGCCAAGATACAGAAAAAACCTAACTGTCCATCATCAATGGATGAATGGATAAACTGTAGAAACTACAGTGCATATATATGATGGCATATGTTACTCAGCCCTAAAAAAGAATGAGATCTTGGCCAGGCGCAGTGGCATATGCCTGTAATCCCAGCACTTTGGGATTAAGTCAAGAGTTTGAGACCAGCCTGGCCAAAATGGTGAAATCCTGTCTCTACTAAAAAAATATAAAAATTAACCAGGCGTGGTGGCGCACACCTGTAATCCTGGCTACTTGGGAGGCAGAGGCAAAAGAATCGCTTGAATTAGGGAGGCAGAGGTTGCAGTGAGCTGAGATAGCACCACTGCACTCCAGCCTGAGTGCAGTGACAGAGCAAGTGCTAAGACAGCAAGACTGTCTCAAAAAAAAAAAAAAACAAAATATTTTGCCATTTGTCACAGCATAGATGAGTCAGGAGGACTGAAAGAAAAACATTGCACAATCTCATTTACATGTGAAATTTTTTTAAAAAATCAAATATACAGAGTTAGAGAACAAAACAGTGATGTGGGAGTTAGTAAAGGAAGAGATATAGGTCAGAGAATATAAAGGAACAGGTACGTAGGCTGAACAAGTCTAACGATCTAATGTACAACATGACAACTATAGGTAATAAAATTATACTGTAAACAGGATCCATGCTAAATGAGATTTTAGCTGTTGCCACAAAAACAAAATAGCTATGTGAGACAATGGATGTTAATTTACTTCACTGTAGAAACCTTTTTACTATCTATATGCATCCCAAAACATCATGTTGTATACCTGAAATATACACAAAATTTATTTAAATAAAACCACCCAGTAACATTTTTTTTTAATCGTTATTTTTGGGTGAGATGGAGTCTGTCTCTGTGGCCCAGGATGGAGCGCAGTGGCGCAATCTCGGCTCGCTGCAGCCTCCGCCTCCCAAGTTCAAGCAATTCTCCTGCCTCAGTCTCCCAAGTAGCTGGGATTACAGGCGCGTGCCACCACACCTGCTTAATTTTTGTATTTTTTGTAGAGATAGGGTTCCCCCATGTTGCCCAGGCTGGTCTCAAACTCCTGACCTCAAGTATCTGCCCACCTCGGCCTCCCAAACTGCTGGGATTACAGGCGTGAGCCACCGGGCCAGGCCTATTTTTTAATCATTTGATTTCCTTCAATCTAATTAAATATGTGTCTGTTTTCTTTAGACAGTGAAAATTATTGGTAGTTTGAGCAAATGATCAAGATTACTCCTTTTTATTTAATACATTTCTTTTGTTGAAAAATAAAAGATTTAACTTAAATTTCAATAGCTTACAGTCATTTTTCATGTTCGTCTTCTGCTGAAGCTAACGGCTTATTGTTCCACTTCTATGTACCTGTTTTCAAGCTACTTAAACAGTATTTGGAACGATTAGCCCACAATTACTTACTTGCCAAGTCCTGAGTTCAGAATTTTGTTTTTGAGATGAATATAAAAGCACCTAAAGGTCAAGGAAAATTTTCTTCCTGTGATAAGGAACCTAAAAAGAAAAAGAACATTAAGGATATGGCCCTCACTGGTGCTAGTAATTTTAGTATACAATATTACTCAAACAGACAAGCTATTGTTAAAAAAAAATCAATATCATAAACTATTCAAAAGGAACAGTAAGAAAGCAGTTACTCTCTACCTGCACTGGCATTAATTTTAAAAAGATGTCAAGTCTTGGAGCAGTGGTTCTCAAGCTTTTATGAAACAGTGTCCTCTTTGAGAATCTGATACTATGGACCTTCTTCTTCCCACAAAAATGTATAATTGTGCATAAAATTTCCAGTAGTTTATGGACCCCTACTTAAGACCTTTGTGTCAGGCCTCTGAGCCCAAGCCTGCACGTATATATCCAGATGGTCTGAAGCAACAGAAGAATCACAAAAGAAGTGAAAATGGCCAGTTCCTGCCTTGACTGATGACATTACCTTGTGAAATTCCATCTCCTGGCTCAGAAGCACCCCCACTGAGCACCTTGTGACCCCCACCCCTGCCCGCAAGAACACAACCCCCTTTGACTGTAATTTTCCACTACCTACCCAAATCCTATAAAACTGCCCACCCCTAACTCCCTTTGCTGACTCCTTTTTGGACTCAGCCCGCCTGCACCCAGGTGAAATAAATAGCTTTATTACTCACACAAAGCCTGTTTGGTGGTCTCTTCGCACGGACGCGCCTAACACTTTGCTTTAGTGTAGATGACCACTCCCCTCTATAAGGTAGGGAGGAAGAATGTTCGGTTAGTTCCTCTCCTCTGGCCGATATTTTTTTTCTTCTCCTGGATGAGACAAAGACAAAAAAACAAAAAATAAACTGACAGAGCGACAAAAAAGGTCTCATATAAAAGTCCTTCTGTATTATTTTTCAGCTCTAGCAAATCCAGGGCCAACAAAGAGCATACCCAAAAACATTCATTTGTCTAATGGTGTGTCCGTTGGAACTTAACTAATGTGCCAGTTTTAAACAGGCCACACCAATTCAGAAACCTAGTAACAGGAACTTTCCTAGAATCTTACCTGAGAGACCGGATGAGGGTAAGGTTACAACAATCCAAATTACCAAAAGAGACAACCCGTTCGGTTAAAGGAGAACAGAATACCAAATGCCTCAGTGTTGACACTGTGCAACCCCACCACTTTACACAAACTACGTTCTAATAACATTTCCCTATCATTCTGTCTCTATAAAAACAATATTGTACACTGAACTCCTGTACTTCTGGGTCGGAAACCAAAAACGGTGAATTCTATCAAGACCCTGGCATCAGCCAAAATTAATGCGCCATTAGAACGTTATCAGGACATCAGTGCCAGAACCGCTTACTCAGATCATAAAAGTTTGGGAGGTGGGAGTGGGAGCGGACGGCTTTAGTAAAAGTTGCACCAGGGTGTCCGCGATAAACACACCCGAATGCAATTCCCAAGGGAAACCTGTTACAAGTCTCAAGGTCAACGGGCTGGGGACACAAAATACTCAGAGCCACAACAGGCCTCAACTGATACCGCTGACGGGCAAAGAGGGGGAACGAAGTCCTAAGGCGAGGGGTATAAGTAAATCAATAAAACAAAGATATTCTTCGAAAAATAAATCGATGGCAGAAGCAGCGGCTGCCAGATACAGCCCCGTGTGGGTGCAAGCAGAAAGCACAAAGGTGGCTAAAGGCACGGCACTGGGAAGGACCGAGACGGGCTGAGGGGTGGGCCGTGCAACACACCCAGAAGGCGGGTGACGGCTGCCCTGGAGCCGCCGAGGTTGGAACCCCCGCCCAGCCGAGGCCGAGGCCGGCTGCCCGCAACTCGCAGGTTCCTGCGCGCTTCCGTACCCGGCCCGTCTGGGCCACGCCACCTCCTCGGCGCCTGCTCGTCCCACCGTCACTGGCCTTCTCGGCTCACCTCGCACGGTCCAACAGATGCACTCGGCCTCCCGGGGGCTGCTCGCCCCCGGCCCAGAGGCCAGTTTGCAGCGGCACGCCTTACTCCGCCATCTTCGCAGCTTCTCAAGGTGGCCAACCCTGCGGTGGGCCGTTCCCACAAGCCCCGCCCCCGCCGCTGGGGCTGAGTGTTTATTGGGCATCGTCTTGCTCGCGCGCGCTCTCCTTGCGTCGTAGGTTGGTTGGAATGCACGTCAATCAATAGCACTCGCCCCACTCTTTCGATCCGGATTGGGTCCCAGAATTGAGGTAACAGGGAGAAATGCTTTTGTAATTCAATTATTAAGAATGTAAAATTTCCGCCGTAGAAGCTGTACCACGTGGTAAGATAGTGTGGCTAGGCCGCGTGACTATTTTAAGCCACTGTTAGGTTAAACTGTAGTACTAATAATTTCATTCTCAGGCCCGAGGGTTTTTGTTTTGTTTTGTTTTTTGAGACAGAGTCTCTCACTGTCGCCCAAGCTGGAGTGCAGTGGCGCGATCTTGACTCACTGCAACCTCCGCCTCCCGGGTTTAAACGATTCTCCTGCCTCAGCCCCTCAAGTAGCTGGGACTACAGGCGCATGCCACCACACCCAGCTAATTTTTGTATTTTTAGTAGAGACGAGATTTCACTACGTTGGCCAGACTGGTGTCGAACTCCTGACCTCAGGTGATCCACCCGCCTCGGTCTCCCGAAGTGCTGGGATTACAGGCATGAGCCACCGCGCCCAGGCTTTTAATCCAGGGGTAGCACAACACCTAGGGAAAAAATTTAATGCTTCCAGTTTGTCTCTGTCTTTGACTCTTAAAGGGCCCAAACGTTGTCCGGCTGTTTACAGCTTTGGTCAATACAGGAGAGAAGGATTCGTCACTTTTCTGAAGGCCCTCCTGCATAGAGGAAACCTGCTGTAACTGGCAGTTTTGTTGTTTGCTACACCCAACTGTAGGGCATCCTTTCTTCTGCATCATTTCCCAGAGGGGCAGGTGTCAGGCCTCTGAGCCCAAGCTAAGCCATCATATCCCCTGTGACCTGCACGTATACATCCAGATGGCCTGAAGCAACTGAAGATCCACAAAGAAGTGAAAATAGCCTTAACTGATGACATTCACCATTGTGATTTGTTTCTGCCCCACCCTAACTGATCAATGTACTTTGTAATCTCCCCACCCTTAAGAAGGTTCTTTGTAATTCTCCCCACCCTTGAGAATGTACTTTGTGAGATCCACCCCCTGCCCACAAAACATTGCTCCTAACTCCACCGCCTATCCCAAAACCTGTAAGAACTAATGATAATCCACCACCCTTTGCTGAACTCTCTTTTCCGACTCATCCCACCTGCACCCAGGTGAAATAAACAGGCTTGTTGTTCACACAAAGCCTGTTTGGTGGTCTCTTCACACGGACACGTGACAGCAGGGAGGGTATACGTGGGGTGGCTCCTCTTCGGGGTTATGACAAGCGAGGCCCAGCGTAGGCAGTGTAGGTCCACTGTGCTTGCCAAACACCAAGAGGGCTGTCATCTGGGTGGATTCTTAGAAATGCAGATTCCTGGCCTGGCACGGTGGCTGTAATCCCAGCACTTTGGGAGGCTGAGGCGGGTGGATCAGCTGAGGTCAGGAGTTCAAGACCAGCCTGGCCAACATGGTGAAACCCCAATCTCTACCAAAAATACAAAAATTAGCCAGGTGTGGTGGCACGTGCCTGTAATCCCAGCTACTCAGGAGGCTGAGGCAGGAGAATTGCTTGAACCTGGGAGGCGGAGGTTGCAGTGAGCCAAGACTGTGCCATTACACTCCAGCCTGGGCAAGAGTGAGACTCCATCTCAAAAAAGAAATGCAAAGAAAAAGCCATGTAAAACCAGAGTATGTCACCGCTGAGGCTGCACATGAATGAGGAGGTGGGCAATTTAAGGAATGGACATATACTGGATTTTTAGGCTTTTTCTACATTTAAGGAGTCAGGGAGTCAAGAATAGAAATTGCGTCTTAGCTGGAATGAATGGGAAGTGGCCACGGCTGACAAAACCATGTCGAAGCCAAAAGTGCTGGCCCCTCGATGAATGTTTCCACTTCATATATCCAGGCAGCAGCAGAGTAGACTGCAGCTGACCGTACAGACATAAACTTGAGTAAGGGAGACACTGTGATTTCAAACTTGAAGGGACTAAGTTACATAAAATTCTTGTAAAATGGACAAAAGTTATTTTGTTTCAACCACAAGTATTTATTGATGGATCGAAGATACAATTTTAATGGAACAATAAGGCACAACCGTGGATTAAAACACTTTGCTATACAGCCAAAAGGGGGGAAAATCTATAACCTTAGGAACTTTATGCCAATCAAGAAGCCTCTAAAGTACCTCTCTAATAGATCAGTATCAGACATTCTTCCCTTTTACATAATTCCTATATTACATCACTTAATCATAAAATCTGACTGATACTTCATAAAGAATTCCTCATTCATTTATATTTGAGCCATCCAGCCTGGCTACTCCCCTGTTCTCCACCCTTTTCCATCACTTTGCAGTGGTATTTTTTAGCAATCTTCAATAGTTTTCCAAAGCAAGGAAACAAGCAAGCAAGCAATGAGTCAGAAAGTCAACCAAGGGCAGATGTGTGGCTAAATACACTCATAGAGACATACATTAGGATAGCAATAGCCTGATTCACTGAAGTCTAAACTAAGCTGACTTGGCAGAAAAGTTGCTGTGGCTCGCTCAAAGATCTGTAATGCCACCTTAGGTTGTGCTACTAGTGCCAGACCTCTTGTTTTTAAGGGATTAGCAGTGGTCTAAACAAGAAGCCAGGGAGCTAATGTAACCAGGCAGCTAATGACACAACAGTCAATGCTTTGGACATGTATTAGGAGCAGACTATGGCTTCCGTCATTAACATTTGCCAAGTGTAAAATTCATAAAGAATTTTGCGGCTGAGCACGGTGGCTCATGCCTGTAATCCCAGCACTTTGGGAGGCCGAGGCAGGAGGATCACCTGAGGTCAGGAGTTCAAGACCAACCTGGCCAACATGGTGAAACTCCCTCTCCACTAAAAATGCAAAAATTACCCAGGTATGGTGGCACACGTCTGTAATCCCAGCTACTTGGGAGGCTGAGGTGGGAGAATTGCTTGAACCCAGGAGGCAGAGGTTGCAGTGAGCCAAGATCACGCCACTGCACTCCAGCCTGGGTGACAGAGTGAGACTCCATCTCAAAAAAAAGAATTTTGTGCAAAACTTCAAGACACTAAGGAAACAATCTTTAAATATTTTGGACTGGGGCCAGGCGTGGTGGCTCACACCTGTAATCCCAGCACTTTGGGAGGCTGAGGCAGGCGGATCACGAGGTCAGGAGTTCGAGACCAGCCTGGCCAACATGGTGAAACCCTGTCTCCACTAAAAATACAAAAAATTAGCCGGGCATGGTGGTGCACACCTGTAATCCCAGCTACTTGGGAGGCTGAGGCAGGAGAATCACTTAAATCCAGGAGGCTGAGGTTGCAGTGAGCGATCGCACCACTGCACTCCAGCCTGGGTGACAGAGCAAGACTCTGTCTCAAAAAAAAAAAAAAAAAAAAAAAAAAATTTGGACTGGGATATTAGGCACTTCCGTAACACTAATATTTCTACTTGGAAATGTGAAGTGGAAAACATTCCAGTGCACATAACACTGAGGCATAAACCATGCTGCAAAGGTGTGAATGCATGAGGCTTTATAGGGTGCCCAGCCTCCTTATTAAATAAAAGCCATGAGAAAGTCCCTAGGCATATTGTCAGAGCAGCCATTCTGGTGGTAACGGTGTCCCCAAACTAAGCAAACCTGTAAGCATACTGCTGCTTTTTCAACAGTCAACATTGCACTAACAAGAGGAGCCACACAGGTACAAAGTTGAGAATCAGAGGCCAGAGATAGAGTGATGTGGGCAAGCAACCTAGAAGACTTGGCTCCATACCTCTCACCAAGGCCACCTTTCAAAAAGGGTATCTCCACCCAGCAGCCTTTGATGACAGAGCAGAGTGCAGAGGATGGTCTCATACTTCTGAGAGAAGTATTGATTACCAAAAAGCTCCTGAAGAGGCAACATCCCAGAGGCCCATTTAATAATGAAGGTAAATAAAAACTGCCAGACCCCTGAACTATCCTGCCAAGTCAGAAATACATATATAGGACATAGCTTGTGGTGCCAAGTAGAACAGAGGAGATTTTGAGGCTTAATGAAAAGCAGAAAGACTGCCAGAGTAAGTGAACAGTATGTTGGAAGACAGGGAAGTAGGAAGCAAAGAACATATAAAAAGGATGAAGAAGCATGCTGGCAGACTCGCTGGAGGGAAGGCAGCAGGGCTACAGTCTACATCTGGTGAAAGAGCTTTGCTGGCTTGTTCTTGGCATGATTGCCTCTCTCACTTTCTCAGACTGGATGGATGTGTGGCATTCAGCAGCAGAATGGGGAAGATGATATTTATAAATGAAGAACTAGTGAATGGATACTGAACAGAAATATATAGGGTGTACCATTCTGTAATGCCCTGTTTATACACCAAAGGCAGGTTTGTGTTGACAGAACATATTTGGGGTTGTCATGCAACAGCAGTAGTACTTTGGGAGAAGGGGAATGAGGGGGTGGAGGTGGAGTTGGTAGAAGGAGGACTTTCAAGTTCCAGTTCTTAAATACTAGACCGCAAGGAACAGTTTGGTCTCCTTTAGTGAAGAAATCGGATGCTCATTTTCTGTTCTACATCCACCTTCTCCAAAACCTGGGGGAGAAAACCAGTAACAGTTACAAAGGTTATGAAGATTACAACACTCCCAAGCTCTTATCTGAGTAATGTTTTCCCCCCTTCCTCCTGTGCAGTAAAACGTAACTTTTTTTTTTTTTTTTGGAGGCAGAGTCTCACTCTGTTGCCAGGCTGGAGTGCAGTGGTGTGGTCTCGGCTCACTGCAACCTTGGCCTCCTGGGTTCAAGCGATTCTCCTGCCTCAGCCTCCCAAGTAGCTGGGATTACAGGCACGCGCCACCACGCCTGGCTAATTTTTGTATTTTTAGTACAGATGAGGTTTCACCATGTTAGCCAGGCTGGTCTTGAACTCCTGACCTCGTGATCCGCCCACCTTGGCCTCCTAAAGTGCTGGGATTACAGGCGTAAGCCACCGCGCCCAGCCACTAAAACGTAACTTTTTCAAACAAGAAGTAAGTGACCAACCTTAACAAATTCTGTGAAAGATATGGCACTGTCCCCATCCTGATCAGCCTCCTGAATGGTCCTGTCTGCGATGCTGCCCAGCTGCTCATCTGAGATATTTACTCCGACCATCATGCGTAGCACCTGGAAGACCAAGAGCCAGGAATTACAAGGGCCTTGGGAATCAGAGGGACTCTTTACTAAGATTAAAAATAAAGCTATCACCATCCTCCTTTTCCTTTGATGCCCTCAAATACAGTCATGCACTGCATAATAATGTTTTGGTTAATGACCGACTGCATATATAATGGTGGTGCTATAAGATTATAATACTGTATTTTGATGAGAACACATAGACACAAAAAGGGGAACCACAGACACTGGGGCCTACCAGAGGGTGGAGTAGGAGGTGAGAGAGAAACAGAAAAAATAACTACTGGGTACTAGGCTTAGTACATGGGTGGCGAAATAATCTGTACATCAAACCCCCATGACAAGAGTTTACCTACATAACTAACCTGCATATGTAGCCCTGAACCTAAAAGTTAAATTTTTTTTCCTTTTTTTTTTTTTTTTTTGAGACGGAGTCTCACTCTGTTGCCCAGGCTGGAGGGCAGTGGCACGATCTCAGCTCACTGCAAGCTCTGCCTCCCGGGTTCACGCCGTTCTCCTGCCTCAGCCTCCTGCGTAGCTAGGATTACAGGCGCCTGCCACCGTGCCCGGCTAGGCTAATTTTTTGTATTTTTAGTAGAGATGGGGTTTCAGCATGTTAGACAGGATGGTCTCGATCTCCTGACCTCGTGATCCGCTCACCTCGGCCTCCCAAAGTGCTGGGATTACAGGCATGAGCCACTGCGCCCGGCCAAAAAATTTGTTAAAAAAGATTACAATACCATATTTTTACTGTACCTTTTCCATGTTTAGATGTAAGTATTTGTTTTTGGGTTTTTTTTTTGAGACAGGGTCTCGCTCTGTTGCCCAAGCTGGAGTGCTGGGTTGCGAATGTGGCTCACTGCAGCCTCACCTCCGAAGCTCAAGTGATCCTCTCACCTCAGCCTCCCCCAAGGAACTGGTACTACACTACAGGTGTGTGCAACCATGCCTTTTTTTTTTTTTTTTCCTGAGGCGGAGTTTCACTCTTGTTGCCCAGGCTGGAGTGCAATGGCACGATCTCGGCTCACTGCAACCTCTGCCTCCCCAGTTCAAGCGATTCCCCTGCCTCGGCCTCCCGAGTAGCTGGGATTACAGGGATGTGACACCACACCCAGCTAATTTTTGTATTTTTAGTAGAGATGGGGTTTCGCCATGTTGGCCAGGCTGGTCTCGAACTCCTGACCTCATGATCTGCCCGCCTCCGCCTCCCAAAGTGCTGAGATTACAAGTGTGAGCCACTGCGCCCAGCCACTTGGCTAATTTTTCAAAATTTTTTTGTAGGAATGAGGTCTCACTGTGTTGCCCAGGCAGGCCTTCAACTCCTGGGCTCAAGCAATTCTCCCTCTGCCACCTCCCAAAGTGCCGAGATTATAGGCGTGAGCCACCATGCCCAGCCACAGATATGTTTAGATACACAAATACTTACCATTATGTTACAACTGCATATAGTAGTCAGAACAGTAACTTGCTGCACGGGTTTGTAGTCTAGGAACAATAGGCCACACCACATAGCCTAGGTGTGTAGTAGGCTATACCATCTAGGTTCATGTAGGTACATTCTATGATGTTCCTACAACTACAAAATTGCCTAACATTGCATATCTCAGAATGTATCCCCATCTTTACCATCATGTGACTAAGTAACAGCTAAAAGGCTGAAACCTTTATCTTCTCATCTAGGCAATGATGTAAGCAGAACTTATCTAGGTGACTGGATAAGAAGACAAAGACTAAGGGAGAGTCCTTTGCATTTTGCCCTTCCTCATTCTTCTTACCTCATTCTGTCTGGTGGCACTGCAGCCACCCTGGAGCCATGAGGTGAGTAATATGAGCTATGGATGCCAGGGCAGGAACACAGAATAAGCCTGGTTCCTGGACATCAGTTAGGTACTGTACCAGCCTGGACAATCTATGCCAAACATTCTTGTTGCGTGAGCCTAACTAGTTCCTTATTGATTTAAATCAGTTTGGTGGGGCTTTCTGAAATCCCACCCAAAATGTCGTCCTCTTCGAAGTGCTGCATTAAGCCAACTATTCCTAAAGTATGGCCCAAGAAAACATAAAAATCCTTGAAGAGTTAAATGCTAAATCCCCTTCTGAGAAAAATAACAAGCACAATTAAAAGGCTGCGAGAATTGAGTAAGAGAATTTAACACTGTTTCACCAAATCTGTCTTAAACTTAACCAATCCTTGGGCCCCTGGGAATTCTATTAACACCTTTAGGGTGTGAACATACTTTGAAAATTGCTTCCTTAAACAAAATAAGCAACTTTAACAATTTGACTGTCAGGCAATATGGAAAGGCTGGTTCTTAGGCAATATGAAATGGGAGACAGGGTACCTTTCTGACTCCTTATATTATTATTGCAGTCAGCCACCTCTGTCTTCAGATGGCAAGAACTGAGCTTTTCCACAGAAAGGAAAGGGCCTCTAGCCCAGTGGCTCATAGACTTCCTTTCCTCCACTCCTTTACTCCCTTCTACAATCTCATGAAATAGATTCTTTTTTTTTTTTTTGAGATGGAGTCTCACTCTGTTGCCCAGGCTGGAATGCAATGGCACGATCTTGGCTTACTGCAACCTCTACCTCCCAGGTTCAGGCGATTCTCCTGCCTCAGCCTCTCGAGTAGCTGGGATTACAGGTGCCCAACAGCATGCCTGGCTAATTTTTGTATTTTTAGTAGAGACGGGATTTTGCCATGTTGGTCAGGCTGGTCTCGAACTCCCGACCTCAGGTGATCCGCCTGCCTCGGCCTCCCAAAGTGCTGGGATTACAGGCGTGAGCCACTGCGCCCGGCCTGTAATTTACTTTTTAAAAATCGATTTCATGGGCCGGGCATGGTGGAGAAACCCCATCTCTACTAAAAATACAAAATTAGCTGGGCGTGGTGGTGCATACCTGTAATCCCAGCTACTCGGGAGGCTGAGGCATGAGAATCGCTTCAACCCGGGAGGCAGAGGTTGTGGTGAGCCAAAATTGCACCATTGCACTCCAGGCTGGGCAACAAGAGCGAAATTACAAGCCAGGTGTGGTAGTGCATGCCTATAGTACCAGCTACTCAGGCGGCTGAGGCAGGAGGATGGTCTGAGCCCAGGAGTTCAAGGCTGCAGTGTGCTATGATCATGCCTGTGAATAGTTGCTGCACTCCAGAGTAGGCAGCAGAGGGAGACCCTATCAGTCAATCAACCAATCCATCAATAGTAAATTACATGATTTTCTAAAAAGAAAAAAAGCTGAAATACTGATTTGTATCCAAACTGATTATTTTTTAAATAAACCAATTCTTGAAAATCAGAAGTTTTGGCCGGGGGTGGTGGCTCACACCTGTAATCCCAAAGCTTTGGGAGGCCGAGGTAGGCAGATCATCTGAGATCAGGAGTTTGACACCAGCCTAGCCAACATGGTGAAACCCCATCTCTACTACAAATACAAAAATTAGCTAGGCATGGTGGCGGGCACCTGTAATCCCAGCTACTTGGGAGGCTGAGGCAGAATCGCTTGAACCCAGAAGGTGGAGGTTGCAGTGAGCCGAGATTACTCCATTGCATTCCAGCCTGGGCGACAAGAAAGACACTCCCTCTCAAACGAAAAAAAAGAAAAGAAAATTGGAAGTTGTACATTTTAGGTACAAATGTACCCCAATAGAAGAATTAATAAAAAGAGACAATGCACCGGATGTGGTGGCTCACGCCTGTAATCCCAGGACTTTGGGAGGCTGAGGCAGGTGGATGACGAGGTCAGGAGTTGGAGACCAGCCTGACCAACATGGTGAAACCCGTCTCGACTAAGAATACAAAAATTAGCCGGGCATGGTAGTGCGCGCCTATAATCCCAGCTACTCAGGAGGCTATGGGAGGACAGTCACTTGAACCCGGGAGGTGGAGGTCGCAGTGAGCTGAGATCATGCCACTGCACTCTAGCCTGGGCAACAGAGCGAGACTCCATCTCAAAAAAAAAAAAAAAAAACAAAGACAATGCTAGCAAAGATAATCAATAGACAACCCATTTGCCACATTCCCTGTGTGTTGCCAAGCAGATGAATCCAACCTCAGACAGCAGCTTCTTCAGATCCCAGACCAAATTTTTCTGAGGTGTTTTATTTGTAGAATTAGAAAACTGGATTATGTATGGGTATCTATAGTGTGAGTCGGAGGGTCGGGATAAAAGTAGTGGTGTCTTTAACATCATTTCACCAGGTGCAGTGACACATGCATGTAGTCCCAGCTACTGGACCCACCTACTTGGAAGGCTAAGGCCAGAGGATCACTTGAGCCTAAGCATTCAAGCCAGCCTGGGAAATGTAGTGA
Organism: Homo sapiens; assembly: GCF_000001405.40. Lineage (NCBI taxonomy): Eukaryota > Metazoa > Chordata > Mammalia > Primates > Hominidae > Homo > Homo sapiens. The sequence continues at coordinate 41,274,449 of NC_000015.10, read as the reverse complement.
GACTGTCTCAAAAAAGAAAAAAAAGGTTATCTCATCCGATCTGTTAATAAGGACATGAAACAGCCCAGAGGTGGCTTGACTCAGGTCCCAGGAACCAGTGGCATGAGCTATCTGCCCAGGCCTCCATTCCCAGCTCAGTGCTCCCTCTACCTGTCCATGTTGCCACTTATTGTTCCAGTCAAAAGTTATTAGGCCAGGTGCGGTGGCTCATGCCTGTAATCCCAGCACTTTGGGAGGCCAAGGTGGGCTGATCACAAGGTCAGGAGTTCAAGACCAGCCTGGCCAATACGGTGAAACCCCGTCTCTACTAAAAATACAAAAATTAGCCAGGCGTGGTGGCAGGTGCCTATAGTCCCAGCTACTCAGGAGGCTGAGGCGGGAGAATCACTTGAACCCGGGAGGCGGAGGTTGCAGTGAGTTGAGATCGCGCCATTGCACTCCAGCCCGAGCGACAGAGCGAGACTCCGTCTCAAAAAAATAAAAAAAAAGAAGTTTATTAGTGAATTATTAAGACAGAGTTTTGCTCTGTCGCCCAGGCTGGAGAGCAGTGGCATGATCTCAGCTCACTGCAACCTCCTCCTCCTGGTTTCAAGCGATTCTCCTACTTCAGCCTCCCGAGTAGCTGGAATTACAGGAGTGAAACACCACACCCAGCCTACTATTATTTTTAATGTTTGGTGAGGGTTTATATATATATTCTTTATCGATTTAAGAAAGGTTCCCTCTACTTCTGATTTTCTAAGACTTCTTTTTTTTTTTTTTAAATCATGAATGGATGGTGAGGCCAGGCAAGCTGGCTCACACACTTTGGGAGGCCGAGGCAGGTGGATCACCTGAAGTCAGGAGATCGACACCACCCTGACCAACATGGTGAAACCCCGTCTCTACTAAAAATACAAAATTAGCTGTGTGTGGTGGCGCATGCCTATAATCCCAGCTACACTGGAGGCTGAGTCAGGAGAATCGCTTGAACTTGGGAGGCGGATGTTACAGTGAGCTGAGATCACGCCACTGCTCTCCAGCCTGGGCGACAGAGTGAAACACCGTCTCCAGAAAAAAAGATAAATAAGTAAATAAAATAAAATGAATGGATGGTGAATTTTATCAATTACATTTTTCTATGGAAAAGACCACTCAGTTTTTCTTCTTTAAAGTGTTGGTGTGGGTGAAATATATTGGTTGATTTTCTAATGTTAAACCAACTTTGAATTTCTAGTATAATTGCACCTTGGCTATAATACATCCTTGGCTTTAATACATCTTTGGCTTTAAATATATATATATTATATTTTATATTGCTGGATTCAGTGTGTTAATATTTTGTTTAGGATTTTTACAACTATGTGAGTAAAAGAGATTGGGCTATAATTTTCTTTTCTTTTCTTTTTTTTTTGAGACGGAGTCTCGCCCTGTTGCCCAGGCTGGAGTGCAGTAGCGTGATCTCGGCTCACTGCAAGCTCCGCCTCCTAGGTTCACACCATTCTCCTGCCTCAGCCTCCCGAGTAACTGGGACTACAGGTGTCCACCACCATGCCCGGCTAATTTTTTGTATTTTTAGTAGAGACAGGGGAGACGGGGTTTCACCATGTTAGCCAGGATGGTCTCGATCTCCTGACCTCGGGATCCACCTGCCTCGGCCTCCAAAAGTGCTGGGATTACAGGCATGAGCCACTGCGCCTGGCCCCTAATTTTCTTTTCTTACGCTGTCTTCTATAAGATTGACAGGTGTGGCTGGGTACGGTGGCTCACGCCTGTAATCCCAGCACTTTGGGAGGCTGAAGTGGGCGAACTGCTTGAGCCCAAGAGTTCGAGACCAGCCTGGTCAACATGGCGAAACCCCATCTCTACTAAAAACACAAAAATTAGCTGGGTATGGTGGTGCATGTCTGCAATCCCAGTTACTCAGGAGGCTGAGGCACGAGAATCGCTTGAACCTGGGTGGCGGAGGGTGCAGTGAGCTGAGATGGTGATATTCACTCCAGCCCAGGCGACAAAGTGAGACTCTCTCAAAAAACAAAACAAAACAAAACAAAAAAATTCTCAGGCAAAAGTTACGCTAGCCTCATAAAATGAGTTGGGGAGAAGAGTAACTATCTTTATTGAAGTATAAATAATATACAATAAGCTGTACATATTTAAAATGGACAGTTGGGGCCAGGCATGATGGCTCGTGCTTGTACTCCCAGCACTTTGGGAGGCCGAGGTGGGTGGATCACTTGAGGTTAGGAGTTCGAGACCAGCCTGGCCAATATGCTGAAACCCCGTCTCTACTAAAAATACAAAATAAATAAATAAATAAATAAAATGTACAATTGGATAAGGTTTAACATATGTACCCACCCATGGCACCATCCTCACAATCAAGATAATGACCTCCAAAAGTTCAACCAGGACTTTCACAAGAATCATATTAAGAAAACATGGGCCGGGCGTGGTGGCTCACGCCTGTAATCCCAACACTTTGAGAGGCCGAGGCGGGTGGATAACCTGAGGTCAGATCTGGGCCAGAGCATAAACACATGCAACTATAGAGTGACTGCTACTGTCTTTTTTTCTTCAGAACACAGAAGCCCATATGTGGCAACTTTCAAGAAAATAAACGCTTCTCGCTGAAGAAATTCCCAACTCAAAAGCAAGGGACGCTAACACTGACCTGAAGACTGTTTTGGTTTTTGCTGATAGAAATGTAAGAATACGTTGGGTTGCTCCTGAATCTGCCCTGAGTAATTTCATCCTAGGATGAAATGCCAGTCACTGCTAGTAGGAAAACAGGGAATTATCCCTAGGAGCAACAAAGAACAGTGGCAGTTAGCTCAGGGTACACCAGCACAGCAGCAGCTCCTTGACTCTTAGTCAACCCTAAGGACAGACTAAATAACAGCATTTAACTAAGTGTCATCAGAATTACCTGGCTGCCAATAATCTGATTTGGCAATAACTGAATTATCTGATGTAAATCTCAGACAGTACCTAAAAGCCATTTAGTTAGCTTTTATTTATTTACTTATTTTTTTCTTTTTTGGGATGGAGTTTCACTCTTGTCGCTCAGGCTGGAGTGCAGTGGCACGATCTTGGCTCACTGCAACCTCCACCTCCTGGGTTCAAGCGATTCTACTGCTTCAGCCTCCCGAGCAGCTGGGATTACAGGCACCCACCACCACAGACGGCTAATTTTTTTTTTTTTTTTTTTTTTTTGAGACGGAATCTTGCTCTGTCGCCCAGGCTGGAGTGCAGTGGAGTGAGCTCTGCTCACTGCAAGCTCCGCCTCCCAGGTTCATGCCATTCTCCTGCCTCAGTCTCCGGAGTAGCTGGGACTACAGGTGCCCGCCACCACACCCGGCTAATTTTTTGTATTTTTAGTAGAGACAGGGTTTCACCATGTTAGCCAGGATGGTCTCGATCTCCTGACCTCGTGATCCACCTGCCTCGGCCTTCCAAAGTGCTGGGATTACAGGTGTGAGCCAAAGCGCCCGGCCGATGGCTAATTTTTGTATTTTTACTAGAAATGGGTTTTTACCATGTTGGCCAGGCTGCCCTTGAACTCCTGACCTCAGGTGATCTGCCTGCCTTGGCATCCCAAAATGCTGGGATTACAGGCGTGAGCCACCATGCCCAGCCTAGTTAGCTTTTAAATAGTGGAGACATCTGTCTATGAAAACACAATGAGCCATTTCAAGTTTTCCCAGGTCATCTCCTTTGTCTTATAACCAGGACAGGACTCTGCACATAGCAGGTATTAAATAAATGCTTACTAAAGGAAAGAATAGTTCCTGCCCACACTAATAAGCAGGCAGAGTCCAAGCACAAGTTCTCGAGGAGCTCTCCACATACCTGTAACAGCTCATCACGGGAGATCTTTTCATCTTTATCCAAATCATATAGTCGAAAAGCAACTGTAAGGGAAAAACACAAAGTTAGTCAAAATTCTGTAGTGTGTTGCCCCTTCTCAAGGAACTAAATATATAAGACACTAGACAGAAAACTGACAGCCAATTAATCGATTTTCCAAGAACAATTGCCATTACTTGTAGGGCTTTTAAAAAGTTGTAACACTGAAGAATTGAGAATTGATGAGTTCTTAGATTAGATGAAGTATGGTCCCTCTTCCAACAAATCAGAAAACTTCATACAAAGAAAGCCAAATGTCCTTTTTCTTAACCTAGAATGTTAAACGCCCCCCCCCAAAACACTCCTTACGTGGTTCTGTAAATTAGGTCACCTCACACAAACATCAAATCTACCAGGTACCACTCAGGGAAAACCAACAATAGGCACCACACAGGCACCATGAGAGCTGACCACAGCTTTGGGAATAGAGCCTCCTGGGCAAAATTGTCTCAAATTTCAAGTAATTCTCTACCACTTGGGAGTCCTGGAGGTAAAGAAATTGAGTTTCAAATAAATATGATGGCTCAGATGGTCTCCTGGCTTTATCATGTTTCTTTCTCTTTAAGCCTTCTAGAAACTAGGAGATAGGAGAACTTTGCTTGGGTCCATGAGATAGGAATCAGAAAGCAAAATCATTAGATTTCTGCCATGTTGCTGAAGGGCTACCAAGAGAATAGGGTGATAACACTGGGTGATTTTATAGGTGCCGTGACAAATCGCCAGCCTGAGGATGTGAATGTCTTGTCCCACAACTGAATTTAGCTTGGTTTTTAGGTTTTGAATCACTTCAAGAATGCCACTAAGATTAAGGGTCTTAAATAGAGTGCTGCAAATACTAAAAGGCCCGAATCCACTGCTCTAGAGCTATTAAGATCCATGGATTTAGACTCTGTCCTTAGGAACTCACTATCTAGTAGAGGAGGGCAAGACACACGACTCTCGAGTACATCCTAAGCACTACAACATATCCAAAATGCTGGGGGAACAAAGTGTATGGCAGACGTGGCTTTCTGGTGCAGCTGGGGAAATATCAAGGAGAGGTAACATTTGAACAAGGCCTTGAAAGACAAACAGAAATGAGACAAGGGGTGGTCATTCCAGGCAGAGCGATTATTAGGCACAAAGGCATAAGAACATGGATTAATATCTACAGGTTTAAATATCACTCCCCTCCAAAATAAAATGGTGAGTCCACTAAGATGACATAAAAGTAATTTTAAAATCTAATTTACTCCTTGTAAGGTATATATCAGAATTCCAGAGAAAGGAAGTAGCTAGGAGAGACTTCATATATATGTATTTTTTTTTCTGCTCTGTTTAATTTGGTTGGTTTATTTTATTTTATTTATTTATTTTTTTCAGACAGGGTCCTGCTCTGTCTCCCAGGCTGGAGTGCAGTAGCACAATCATGACTCACTACAGCCTCAACCTCCCAGGCTCAAAGGATCCTCTCACCTCAGCCTCCAGAGTAGTTGGGACCACAGACACCACACCTGGCTAATTTTTAAAAATTTTTGTAGAGCTAGGGTCTCACTGTGTTGCCCAGGCTGGTGAAAGGTGCAAGGTCTTTGTCTAGATAAATTGTTTTTTGTTGTTGTTGTTGAGACAGAGTCTTGCTCTGTTGCCCAGGCTGGAGTGCAGTGGTGGGATCTCAGCTCACGGCAAGCTCCGCCTCCTGGGTTCACGCCATTCTCCTGCCTCAGCCTCCCGAGTAGCTGGGACTACAGGCGCCCACCACCACGCCTGGCTAATTTTTTGTGTGTGTGTTTTTAGTACAGACAGGGTTTCACCGTGTTAGCCAGGATGGTCTCGATCTCCTAACCTCATGATCTAACCGCATGATCTAACCACCTCGGCCTCCCAAAGTGCTGGGATTACAGGCGTGAGCCATCGCGCCTGGCCTGAATTTTTTTTTTTTTTGAGATGGAGTCTTGCTCTGTCGCCCAGGCTGGAGTGCAGTGGCATGATCTCGGTTCACTGTAACCTCCGCCTCCCGGGTTCAAGCAATTCTGCCTCAGACTCCCGAGTAGCTGGGATTATAGGCATGTGCCACCACGCCCAGCTAATTTTTGTATTTTTAGTAGAGATGGGGTTTCACCATGTTGGCCAGGATGGTCTCGATCTCTTGACCTTGTGATCTACCTGCCTCAGCCTGCCAAAGCCCTGGGATTACAGGCATGAGCCACTGCGCCCAGACAGCTGGTCTTGAACACCTGGGCTCAAGCAATCCTCCTGCCTCAGCCTCCCAAAGTGCTGGGATTATAGGTGTAAGCCACTGTGCCTGGGCCTTCAGCTCAAATTTCAACTCCTCAGAGAGGTTTTCACTGACCACTCTTTCTATAGTGACATCTCCCTATGCCTTTCTCATCTCATGTATTCACTTCCTTCACAGACCTTGTCACCACAATAAATCTTGTTTATTCACCCGTCTTCTCTATAGTCTGTCTCTCTTATTAGATCATAAGTTCTAAGAAAGCAAGGGCCTTACCTGATTTATTCATCACTGTATCCTGGGCCTAAAATAGTACCTGGCATGTAGTAGGTGCTCAAACATTTGTTTAATGAAAAACCAAAGGAATGATCTCAGTCAAACCTTTACCTTCCTTTTTTATGCTTTTTTTTTTTTTTTTTTAAGAGATAGGGCCTCACTCTGTCACTGGAGTGCAGTGGTGCAATCATGGCTCACTGCAGACCCAAACTTCTGGGCTCAAGTGATCCTCCTGCCTCAGCCTCCTGAGCAGCTAGGAATACAGGCATGTGCCACCATGCCCAGCTCAATTTTTTTTTTTTTTGTAGATACTGTTGCCCAGGTTCTGTTGCCCAGGCTCTGTTGCCCAGGCTACAAACCTTTACCTTTACTTCAATCAATGCTATTGCTTCTTTTTTTTTTTTCTTTTTGGGAGACGGAGTCTTGCTCTGTCACCCAGGCTGGAGTGCAGTGGCGCGATCTCAGGTCACTGAAACCTCTGCCTCCCGGGTTCAAGCAATTTTCCTGTCTCAGCCTCCTGAGTAGCTGGGACTACAGGTATGTGCCACCACACCCAGCTAATTTTTGTATTTTTAGTAGAGACAGGGTTTCACCATGTTAGCCAAGCTGGTCTCAAACTCCTGACCTCAAGCAATCTGCCTACTTTGGCCTCCCAAAGTGTTGGGATTACAGGAATAAGCCACCATGCCCGGCTGCTTCTTTTTTTTTTATTGTGGTAAAATATACATAAAATGTATCATTTAAACCTTTTCTACAGGTACAGTTCCGTGGCATTAAGTACTTTCACACTGTTGTGCAAGCATCACCACCATCCATCTCCCCATAACTTCTGCATCTTCACTAGCGGAAAATGTACCCTTTTAACAATAACTCCATTACCATCACCACCACCATCCCCCAGCCCTGGGCAACCACCGTTCTACTTTCTGTCTCTACAAATTTGACCACTCTGGAAACCTCACATAAGAGGAATCATACAATATTTGTCCTTTATATCCACTTTATTTCACTCAGCATAATGTCTTCAAGATTCATCCATGTTGTACCATTTGCCAGAATTTCCTTTTTTTTTTCGAGATGGAGTCTTGCTCTGTCGCCCAAGCTAGAGTGCAGTGGCGCAATCTCAGCTCACTGCAACCTCCGCCTCCTGGGTTCAAGCAATTCTCCTGCCTCAGCCTCCCGACTAGCTGGGATTACAGGTATCCACCACCATGCCAGGCTAATTTTTGTATTTTTAGTAGAGATGGGATTTCACCACATTGGCCAGGCTGGTCTCGAACTTCTGATCTCATGATTCACCCACCTTGGCCTCCCAAAATGCTGGGATTACAGGTGTGAGCCACCGCTCCCGGCCTCAGAATTTTCTTTTTTAATACAGACTAATATTTCATTGTATGTGTACACAACATTTTATTTATCCATTCATCTGTCGATGGACACTAGGATTGCTTCTACCTTTTGGATTCTTTGAATAATGCTGCTATTTCTTCCTGGCTACTCTCCCAAGCTCTACTCCGCCTATACTCCTCAACACCCAAGAAAAATATTCTAATGTAGACTCTTTACTTTCCACATCATTATGTGTTATAAAAACTTAAACCATTTAAGAAGACAATTAGAATGTGGGAAGGAAAACCTGTAGACCTCTAGACTTCTCTCTTACTTACCATGCCCTGGGCCTAAGATGAATTATACCTTTCACTTTTTTTTTTTTAAACACTATCCACCTGTAGATAGGGTTGTACCTTTTACACAAAGCACTATTATTACTATTATTATTATTATTCTTTGAGATGGAGTTTCACTCTTATTGCCCAGTCTGGAGTGCAATAGCGTGATCTCGGCTCACTGTAATATCAGCCTCCCAGGTTCAAGCAATTCTCCTGCCTCAGTCTCCTGAGTAGCTGGAATTACAGGCATGCACCACCATGCCTGGCTAATTTTGTATTTTTAGAAGAGACATGGTTTCACCATGTTGGTCAGGCTGGTCTCGAACTCCTGACCTCAGGTGATCCACCCACCTCGGCCTCCCAAAGTGCTGGGATTACAGGCATGAGCCACCGCGCCTGGCCTACAGAAAGCATTATTATAACCTCACCAATCCAAAGAGGAAAGCAATAAGGTACCACTTCCAGGAGACAAACAGAAGAGCAGAGTGGCACTATGTGTGCTTGGGCCTGTGCCTACATGGGCATAGTTCAGCCTTGCTGATCGTGATTAAAATTCTCTCACCGTGGCTTAGAAAAGAAATAGAACAAAGTGTGTTCTCAGAGTTCCTGAAGACAGTATTCTATGCAAAGTATAACCCATAATAAAATTTGGTTCCACTCCTCTGTAAACCCACATTTCTTTTTTTTTTTTTTGAGATGGAGTTTTGCTCTGTTGCCCAGGCTGGAGAGTAATGGTGCAATCTCGGCTAACTGCAACCTCTGCCCCCCAGGTTCAAAGTATTCTCCTGTCTCAGCCTCCCGAGTACCTGAGATTACAGGCGCCCGCCACCACGCCCAGCTAATTTTTTGTATTTTTAGTACAGACAGGGTTTCACCATGTTGGCCAGGCTGGTCTTGAACCCCTGATCTCAAGTGATCCACCCGCCTTGGCCTCCCAAAGTGCTGGGATTACAGGCGTGAGCCATCATGCCTGGCCTGTAAACCCAGATTTCTAAGTAACACATCTCCTTTTTTTTTTTTTTTTTTTTTTTTTTTTTTTTGAGACAGAGTCTCGCTCTATCACCCAGGCTGGAGTGCAATGGCATGATCTCGGCTCACTGTAGCCTCCACCTCCCAGGTTCAAGCAATTCTCCCGCCTCAGCCTCCTGAGTAGCTGGGATTACAGGCATCCACCATTATGCCTGGCTAATTTTTTTTGTATTTTTGTAGAAATGGGGTTTCACTATGTTGGCCAGACTTGTCTCGAACTCCTGACCTCAGGTGATCCGCCTGCCTCAGCCTCCCAAAGTGCTGGGATTACAGGCGTGAGCCACCGCACCTGGCCCACATCCCCTTTCTCTAAGGTAAATGTGTCTCAGTGGCAAATGTATTGCTAGGTATATGACATTCAATTGCTCTCAGTCTACAGTAAGAGGCACCATGCTACAGCTTATACAGCCCTGTGGGAACTTCAAAGAGAAGCAACACATTTAGACAGAAATTGAGGACTTCTCGGACTCTTCTAGTCTTTTCTTTGGCATTAGAATAGCTTCGGTTTTACTGGTCTAATTACATGAATGTGATCCCTATACATAGACTGCAACAGAATTCTAATTAATTTTTAGCTTCCTATAAAAGTTAATCCAACAGCCAAGACTAAAGTATGTAATGAAAAAAACAGGCTGGGTATGGAGGCTCATGCCTGTAATCCCAGCACTTTGGGAGGCCAAGGTGGGATGACTGCTTGCGTCCAAGATTTCGAGACCAGTCTGGGCAACATAGTGAGACCCTGTCCCTACAAAAAATTAGAAAATAAAAAATTAGCTGGGTGTAGTGCACACGCCTGTGGTCCCAGCAACTTGAGAGGCTGAGGCAAAAAGATCACTTGAGCCAGGAAAGTCAAGGCCATAGTGAGCTGTGATCACGCCACTGCACTCAGCCTGGGTGACAGAGTGAGACCCTATCTCAAAAAATTAAGCAAAAACAAAATAAAACCAAGCATAACCTGCATAGCACTTTGTTATTATTCTATCTCATCCTGAAGTCTGCCATTTCTGTGGCATTCCAACCTTTTTCCTTAGCAGAACCCCAATCACAGCATCAGGAGGGGAATCTCATTAGCCTAATCTCCTCGGCACTCGCACTCTCCTGACCTGAACTGACTTATCAAAGTGAGGGGAAGGACTTACATTCCATGCTTGGGAGGAGTGTTGCTCAATTTCAGTCTCGATCTCTCTCTATATATATCTCTCTTCCTCTACTGCCAGATGTGAACAAGAAAAAAAAAAGCCCTGTTAACAACTGAGAGCTGCCATGTGACCATAATACTTTAGGATAAAACAGACTATGAGGATGGCAGAGTAAAGAGAAAAATCCCTAGTTCTTGAAACAGAATCAACCCTCCTGCCGGCCTAATCTGACTTGTAAAGTGAGCTAATATAGTTCCCTATTGTTTAAGCCAGCTGAGTCAGCTAAAGGTATCCTAAGACACCATGTAACGCCCAAATCCACTAGTGCTATTTCGAAGATTTTGTTTTGTTTTCTTTTCTTTGTTGAGACAGAGTTTCTGTCACCTGGGCTGAAGTGCAGTGGTGCCATCAAGGTTCATTGCAGCCTCAACCTCTCAGGCTCAAGCAATTCTCCCACCTCAGCCTCCCAAGTACCTGGGAGCACAGGTGCCTGCCACCACACCTGGCTAATTTTTGTATTTTTATTAGAGACAATGTTTCACCATGTTGCCCAGGCTGGTCTCAAACTCCTGGGCTCAAGTGATCTACCTACCTTGGCCTCCCAAAGTGCTGGGATTACAGGCATGAGCCACTGCGCCCAGCCTTCAGTCAGTTTTAATACAACTGTAATTTCAACTTGTACTGAATAAAAAGATAAATTTAATTTCAATTTCCTGGAGAAGTGTTGTAAGGGATTGGGCAATATTGTACATGAACCAATAAGGGCAGAAGGGAAGGCAAACAAGTATTAAAGGAAAAGAGGCATGAGACACGGGTATAAAAATTAAATCTTGCACTGTATCCAGCTGTCCCCCATTACTTAAGTCACATCCAGTGTCTATCAAATTCTAAGATGAGCTGAGGATTGCCATTATTCCTTAAAGGTGGGGCCTGGGTCTTGTTCACTATTGCCATGCTAGCACTTAACACAGTGCCTGGCACACGGTAGGTGCTCAATGAATTATAATGATACTAGGTAACACTTATTAAGTACCTAGTATATGCCAGGCACTATGTGAAGCACTTGACATTTATTAACTCATTTAATCCTCACAACAATCCAATGTGGAACCCCTTAGTATCCTATTTTACAGAAGAGAAAACTGAAGCCCAAAGAGGTTAAGTACCTTGCCCAAAGTCACACGACCAAAAAAGGGTAGACTAGTATTTAATCTTGGCCAGTTTAGCTCCAGAGTCTGAGGTCTTAACCAGTATGCTCTTGTAGATGCTTGTTCAAATAATGAGTGAGTAAATACATGACTTTTAAGAAATGAAAAGCAAGTATTTTAAGCCAGAAGACTTTAGCTCCTTACAGTGCAGTTTGTTGCTTCGGCTGTTGAGTGGTTCGGGTCCATTCACATCTTTGCTCTTTTCATTATCCTCAATGGGGCGGAAATGAGCCAAAGTTCGCATGAATCCACGGAAGTTTACCTGGTCCTCTCTGATTGTGAAATATAACAAACACAACACCATGTCAATCACGGTGATTATTTCTTATGAATTAAATATACTGGCAACAGCTTTAGCTACGGTAGCCTGAAAGGTCATTTAATGAGGTTTCTTTCCATACGCATGGTACTTTGGGACTCACAGTACCATATCATTTAAGCCTCACCCCAACCTTGTAAGGCAGGTGCTATTACTCCCACTTTATAAATGATTTAACCAGATTTAGGTAACAGGACTTACCAGGGATAAAGTTATCTATTGAATTTACTTGCATCTGTTTTCCAAAAAATGAATGTAGAGTAGTGCCAGCACTATACAAGACAGCCAGAACTTGAACTCATTGCTTTGAACTCTGCAGCGAGCCACAGGCAGCCCAATGACTCCTCAGCCACCTCCCACATCTCCCCCATCTCCCCTGCAGTAATGTATACCAAGGGATATTTTAAAATTAAGGCACATTATGGAAAGGCCGCTTTTAAAATAAAGTTTATTTAATTTTTAATTTTTCTTATTTATTTATTTATTTTGAGACAGAGTCTTGCTCTGCTTATAAATAAATAAAGTCTTGCTTTATTTATTTATTTTGAGACAGAGTCTTGCATCCAGGCTGGAATGCAGTGGCACTACCTCGGCTCACTGCAACCTCCGCCTCCCGGGTTCAAGCAATTCTCCTGCCTTAGCCTCCTGACTAGCTGGAACTACAGACGCCCGCCACCATGCCCGGCTAATTTTTTGTATTTTTTTTTTTTTTTTTTGAGATGGAGTTTTGCTCTTGTTGCCCAGGCTGGAATGCAATGGCGCGATCTCAGCTCACTGCAACCTCCGCCTCCCTGGTTCAAGCGATTCTCCTGCCCCAGCCTCTGGAGTAGCTGGGATTACAGGCATGCGCCACCACGCTCAGCTAATTTTATATTTTTAGTAGAGACGGGGTTTCTCCATGTTGGTCAGGCTAGTCTCGAACTCCCGACCTCAGGTGATCTGCCCGCCTCAGCCTCCCAAGTGGTGGGATTACAGGTGTGAGCTGCTGCACCCAGCCTAATTTTTTGTATTTTTAGTACAGACAGGGTTTCACCGTGTTAGCTAGGATCGTCTCAATCTCCTGACCTCATGATCTGCCCACCTCGGCCTCCCAAAGTGCTGGGATTACAGGCATGAGCCACCATGCCCAGCCAAGTTTATTTAATTATAAAAGCAAACATAAATTTGAAAATGTGGAAAAAAGAAAAGTAGATAGAAAAATACTGATCCGAGTTCTACCAATTACAACCACAGTTAATATAAATATATTTTCTGGCTGGGCACGGTGGTCCATGCCCATCATCCTAATACTTTGGGAGGCTGAGGCAGGCAGATCACTTGAGGCCAGGAGTTGAGACCAGCCTGACCAACATGGTAAAACCCTGTCTCTACTAAAAATACAAAAAAATTAGCTGGACGTGGTAGTGGGCACCTGTAATCCCAGCTACTCGGGAGGGTGAGGCAGGAGAATCGCTTGAAACTGGGAGGCAGAGGCTGCAGTGAGCCTAGATTGCACCACTGCACTCCAGCCTGGGTGACACAGCAAGACTATGTCAAAAAAAAAGAAAAGGAAAGGAAAGGGAAAGGAAAGGAAAAGGAAGGAAAAGGAAAGGAAAAGGAAGGAAGGGAGGGAGGAAAGGAAGGAAGGAAGGAATCAATCAATTAATCAATCAATCAATCAGCCAGGCATGGTGGCTCACGCTTATACTGCCAGTTATTTGGGAGGCTGAGGTGGGAGAATCACTTGAACACACAGGAGGCAGAAGTTGCGTGAGCCGAGACTGCGCCACTGCACTCCAGCCCAGGTGACGGTGCAAGACTCCCTCATATATATATGAATGCATTTTCTTCTAGTAACTTTTCTATGCTTTTCAGATAACTGTATTAGTATCCTGCCTTTTTTTTTAACTTTTAAGCATTTCTCCAATCAATATAAATACTTTGAAACATTTAAAACATATGCATAATTCTGTGGACACATCATGATTTTATTATTCCCTCATAATTGGATAATTTTTCTCTAAATAATCTTTTAGGCCAGGCACAGTGGCTCACGTCTATAATCCCAGCACTTCAAGAGGCCAAGGTGGGTGGATCACCTGAGGTCAGGAGTTCAAGACCAGCCTGGCCAACATGGTGAAACCCCGTCTCTACTAAAAATACAAAAATTAGCTGGGCCTGGTGGTGCATGCCTGTAATCCCAGCTACTTGAGAGCCTGAGGCAGGAGAATCACTTGAACCCCAAAGATGGAGGGTGCAATGAGTCGAGACTGCACCACTGCACTCCAGCCTGGGTGACAGAGGGAGACTCCATCTCAAAAAAAAAAAAAAAAAAGTTTTGAAAGACCTCTTGTGTATAAAGCCTTTTTGGTACTTAAGCTTGGAGAAAATCTTTTCATTGTGCCACAGGCTAATCAATAACCCTGTAAGAAATAATTCTCAAAACTTGAATGAAGAATGTTCTTTAATATTAAAAAAGAATGCCCCATGTAACATAATATAATTTATTTATCTAAGGCAGATGGCCTGGTTCCTGTGGTTACCTAAAAAAAAAAAAAACCCCAGCCTTTCTGTGCCCCACCGAATAGCTGAGGTATGTAGGTTCTCTTCTGTGCTCTATAGACATGCAGTTCATAGCCCTTCTAAAGGCAGAGTTCAAAGGCTAGCCTGTGAGCCATCTGTACTCAAAAGAATGACCTTGGCTGGGTGCAGTGGCTCACGCCCATAATCCCAGCACTCTGGGAGGCCGGGGCGGGCGGATCACCTGAGGTCAAGAGTTCAAAACCAGCCTGGCCAACGTGGTGAAACCTTAGCCAGGCGTGGTGGCGTGAGCCTGTAGTCCCAGCTACTTGGGGAGGCTGAGGCAGGAGAATCACTCGAACCCAGGAGGCAGAGGTTGCGGTGAGCCAAGATCACACCACTGCATGCCAGCCTGGGAGACAGAGGGAGACTCCGTCTCAAAAAAACAAAAAACAAAACAAAAGAATGACCTTTTAGTTCTTCGATGTATCTATACTGCTAATGGACCAGTATCTGGTCAAAAATGTCAGATCTGAGGAATCAAGTAATGTGGAGTAAAGTTTAAAACATATGCTAGAAAAAACACATTAATGATTATTGCTAGCATAAAGTTTCTGGGTAAAAGGGAATTGAATAACCATGGTCCACTTTCAAATCTCATTCTTTAAAAAAAAAAAAAAAAAAGCCCCAATGTGCATATGCCTAGGGAAGAAAGAAAAACCCAGAAGCCAAATATATCTATCTGATTAGAGCAAGAAGCAGAGTCGCAGCTTGCTAAGAGCTAAGCAGTGCAGCCCAGTAGAGCCCTCCACTTCCTCATATGCACTCTGTCCCATTTCCTTAGCAGTAGATTGGTGGACAGAATGACAGGTGATATTGTAGTCACAGCAAATGTAGTTTAGTCTTACAAAACAGCTTCCCACAAGCTGCTTCTTCAAGTAATCAATGGTGACTAAGGAATTCTGAAAAAAAGTTGGCAAAGTGACTCTCCTGGGTTTACTTTTCATTGCAAAAGGTTTGGATACAAAGCATAGCTGTGAAAGTTATCTCTGGATAGGGTTCAATGCTTTGCAGGGGTAAAAGAGGAATTAGAAAAAAGGAAGAATTCAGCATAAAAACCACACCTGAAACAAACAGGGCAGTTCAAGGAGAGAGAAAGGAAAAAATGAAAGAGGGCATAAGATTCCTCATAGTCAACGTGATTTGATTCCCATCTTTACATGAACTAACTGCCCGACCTAATTCCCCTTCTGACTTTCACTCACATTTCCTGAATGCCCAACCCTCTCAACTAGCAAATTCCTTTGCTCTCAATTTAGAGTTCTAAAATTTCCTCTCCAGGCATTTTATCTGACAGTGTCCTCATTGACAGTCTCATTATTAAAAACTGGCACCCATATAATATTTTGAAGTCCTGTGGGTCATAGACTATCCATATAAACCAGGAATAGATTGTTTAGGAAATTACTTAAAACAAGCTTATATGTAAGTTTTATTGTTGAAAAGGTACCTAATCAAATCAGTAAATATTTACTCACTACTGTGAAGGCAGTGTATTAGGTAGTAAAGCATATCAAAAGACTAGTTTCATGTTAGAAAAACCCACATTAAGAACAATCTACTTGACAAAGCATATGTGGTGAGAACTATGTTTATTCAATATCACGAAAGTAAAATAAAGGCTGGGGAAATGTTCCAGATTAAAGGAGGCTAAAGAGACATGACAACTGACCCAGACTAGATCCTGTACTGGAGGCGGGGAAGTGCTATAAAACAGATTATTGGATGACAAAATTGGAATATGAATATAAATTAGAATAAACTGGATAATATGTTAATAAAACAGAGTAATAGATTAGATAAGAGGATTGTATCAATGTTAAGTTTACTGAAGTAGATAACTATACTATGGATATGTAAAAGAATGTCCCTATTCTTAGCAAACACACACTGGTGCATTCAGAGGTAAAGGGTCATTACTATGCAACTTACCCTGAAATAGTTCAGAAATACAATTATGTGAACACACATACACAAAAAAATTACATAAGTATGTGTATATACATACATGTATGTATGTGTATGTATGTACGTACATGTAGGCATGTATGTATGTATATACACACACACGTAGAGTATGTGTAGGTAGAGAGAGGGGAAAGAGAGAGGGAAAAAGTGTCTGCAAGAGAGGGTATGTAGAGTAAGCACGGGTGTACAAGCTGCGCTGTTCAATACTGCAGTCACTTGTCACATCTGGTTATGTGCACTGAAAACATGGTCAGTCTGACTTGATATGTGTTTAAGTGTAAATTACACACTGGATTTCAAGGACTTATTATGAAAAAATGTAGGCTGGGCATGGTGGCTCACGCCAGTAATCCCAGTACTTTGGGAGGCTGAGGCAGGCGGATCACCTGAGGTCAGGAGCTCAAGACCAGCCTGGCCAACATGGTGAAACCCTGTCTCTACTAAAAATACAAAAATTAGCCAGGTATGGTGGCATGTGGCTGTAATCCCAACTATCTCGGAGGCTGAGGCAGGAGAATCGCTTGAACCCGGGAGGCAGAGGTTGCAGTGAGCCGAGATGGCACCACTGTACTCCAGCCTGAGCGACCGAGCAAGACTCTGTCTTAAAACAAACAAACAAACGAAAAAAGGATCTCAGTTATTTTTAATATTGATTATATATGGAAATAATATTTTAAATATATTAAATAAAATATATATTACCAAAGTTAACTTATTTTTACTTTTTAAATGTGGTTACTAGAAAATGTAAAATTACGTATGTGGCTTGCATTATATTTTTATTGGCTACTACTAAGAAGAGAGCACACAAATGAGGCAAAATGTTAACAATATAACAGTAGATGCATCAGGGCAATAAATATACAAGTATTCTCCGAATTACTTTTAACTTTTGCAACTTTTTTGTAAATTTGAAATTATTTCCAAATAAACATTTTTTAAAAGTCTAGTTTTACATCAATGATAAACATAAGAATTTTGAAGATAGGCTCATATATCTATTTGAAGTTTAAAACACACAGGAGGGTAGAACAGAAGAGATATTCTAGAAATGACAAAATTAGAATTGCTCAATATAATCAGGGGGTATCACAGTCTGAGATGGCACAACCAATATCATTATTCCAGATTAGCAAATAATTTAGGTTGTGATAGCCTCAGGAAGGAAGTCCAACAACTGTACTGACTCACCCCTCTGGAAAGAAGGCATTGATGATCCGGTCCCCCAGTGGGTTGATGGCAAGTTCTGGAATCCTCTGGAAATCTTCCCGGCTGCCAAGAGAATCACCTTGAGTTAGATAGAGATCATTGCCCTTAGCATGAACTCCTTAAGTCAGGAGGTAACAGGGTGTAACCTAGCAAGAATATTACCTCCTGGAATTTACTTCTGTGGCAAATTATACCAAATAACTGCAAAGAATAGCACTTTAATAGCTGCCAAGTGTTTCTTGCACCAACTCAGAAGTGGAAGGAGCCAGATTTGATTACGCCACATTCCAGTGAATTTAGCACACAGGTTACGTCAATAAGCCAACTGATGGACAAATACTAAGCTGTCCCTTAGTAAATGATTTCTTGAACATTAGCATTGCGTACCTAGTTATTAAGTTTGGAAAGTGAACAGCAAATGGAAAGTATCAAATACTGCAGAACTTGAATATGGGGACAAACACTTAGAGGGGTCTCCATATCCTTGTTAAGATTTTTAGGCACTTACAAAATGCAAGGAATTCTTAGGTGCTATTTACATGCAAGGAAATAATGTGACAACCAATTGATTTCCTTGTTCTGACTCTGGCTTTTTCTCCATTTCCATGTTCTGTGGACTAGGGCTACAGAAGTATTTAACCCTCAAACATGACAAGAGCAGTCATCCTCACATGACTTAGGCGAGGTTATACCAAAGCGAATATTGTCAGTTACCATTCATCACATATATATCATGTGCTGCTCTGTTTACATACATTATTCTCATTTCTTCACGCCAATGTTTTATGTATACCCTTTTAGAGCTGAGGAAATTGAGAGTCAGGAAGATAAAGTAACTTGCCCAAAGCCACACTACTCCTAAGTAGCAGAACTGTGATTTAAATCTAAGTCTGTAAGTCAAAGTATGTGTTCTTTTTCTAAAAACCATATTTCTTTCCTATATTGAACTTTTTTTTGAGACAGAGTCTTGCTCAGTCACCCAGGCTGGAATGCAATGGCATGGTCTTGGCTCACTGCCACCTCCACTTCCCAGGTTCAAGCGATTCTCCTGCCTCAGCCTCCCAAGTAGCTGGGATTACAGGCACTCTCCACCACGCCTGGCTAGTTTTTTGTACATTTAGTAGAGACGGAGTTTCACCATGTTGGCCAGGCTGGTCTTGAACTCCTGACCTCAGGTGATCTGCCGGCCTCGGCCTCCCAAAGTGCTGGGTGGGATTACAGGAGTGAGCCACGGTGCCCAGCCCTAATATTGAACCTTTTGAATGAAAGTTACTCTCCCCCAAATTCTTTATTTTTATTTTTTTGAGATGGAGTTTCGCTCCCAGGCTGGAGTGTAGTGGCTTGATCTCTGGGTTCACTGCAACCTCCTCCTCCCGGGTTCAAGCGATTCTACTGCTTCAGTCTCCCAAGTAGCTAGCATTACAAGCGGGTGCTACCATGCCCGGCCAATTTTTGTATTTTTAGTAGAGGTGGGGTTTTACCACATTGGCCAGGCTGGTCTTGAACTCCTGACCTCAGGTGATCCACCCACCTCAGCCTCCCAAAGTCCTGGGA
The DNA here is from genome assembly GCF_000001405.40 of Homo sapiens. NCBI lineage: Eukaryota > Metazoa > Chordata > Mammalia > Primates > Hominidae > Homo > Homo sapiens. The sequence goes on along the minus strand of NC_000015.10, from coordinate 41,255,418 downwards.
TTACAGGCGTGAGCCACCGCACCCAGTCCCCCAATTTTTCAATAAGTATTTTTTAAAAACTTTCTTTTGTTGGTTCCTGGGCCAAGAATACAAAGCTGTCTACAACTTATCTGTGCTGCAGTCTTCAAAAATATCAATGTCATGGAGGACAAAGAAAAGCAGAGGATTGTTCCAGATCAAGGGGGGGCTAAAGAGACACACAACAAAACCCAACACATGATCCCGGACTAGGAAAAAAACTGCTATAAGGACATTATTGGATAATATGTGAAAATGAAGCATGGACCATATAAAATATGGAATATTACATAATGGTACTGTTTCAAAATGCAACTTTCTTGATTTTGATCTGAGAATGTCCTTTCTATAGGAAATAAACAGTGAAGTATGTGACAAAATGTTAACAATTGGTGAATCTGGGTATCAGAATAAAAGTTATCTTGTATTGTTCTTGTAACTTCAAGTTTAAAATTATTTCCAGATAAAAAGTTAAAAAAAAGATTATAAACTAGATTTTACTCCTGCCTTCAAGAAGTTTACTTACAGACAGATAAAATGTATACCTCCACCCTCTTTGTAATATATGCTAGCAAAGACGGAAGATAATAAAATACTCCTACTGTACCCAGGAGACTTCACGCTCTTTTCCTCTTGTGGTTTAACGTTTACGTGGTGCTTAATTAACTCAGCAAGCTCTTCTCCACCACATTTGGTGACACAGGTAGAAACTGACCTAGTGGACTGAACACAAAGCTCTGGAACAATCATCCTGGATTCTAGTCCTTCTTGACCATTTAGTGTAATAATTTTATATCAATGCATGAACCAGAAGAAGTCATTCATAAGATAACTGGATTGCTTAAGATGATGAAAGAGAAAATTACCGAGGTCCTGATTATTTAATTCAACAAACATGTACTAAGCTTTTATTACATAATTTGTTCTGTAATACAAAGTCTACACTATCATCAAAATGTAGCTCCTCCTGTCTGACAGAGGTCAAGAAACAATAACTACTCACTTTTAAATTAAGACTAAGGCTGATTTGAATTGCATGGCTACATACTTCAGTTTAATGTCTAACAAGCTTAAGAAACTTTAGCTGAGAAAAGGCAGTTTAAATACCAAGTCTAGTATCAAGTGGTGATGCACAACCTAGCCTGAACTTCAGTCTCAATAAGGAGGTGTACACTTGGCCTTCCGATGGACCTGTCCTTTGATACTTTCTAACTCTACTCTTAGAATTTAGATTGTATATATAATGTAGTTCCAGTCACCCAGATCAAGGACAGTATTGCTAAAAGTATTAAAGTTAAAAAGAAAGAGGGCTGGGTATGGCAGCTCAGCCTATAATCCCAGCACTTTTGGAGGCCAAGGTGGAAGAACTGCTTCAGGCTAGGAGTTCGAGACCAGCCTGGGCAACAGAGCAAGACCACATCTCTAAAAAGTTTAAAAAAAAAAAAAAAATTAGCCAGGCATGGTGGCACGTGCCTGTAGTCCCAGCTACTTGGGAAGCTGAAGCGGGAGGATTGTTTGAGCCTAGAAGGTCAAGGCTGCAAGGAGCCATGGTAACATCACTGCCCTCGAGCCTGGGTGACAGAGTGAGACCCTGTTTCAAAACAGAAAAAACAAAACAAACAGAAAGAGTATAAAAAATAATTTGTCAGCCGGGCGCAGTGGCTCACACCTGTAATCCCAGCACTTTGGGAGGCCGAGGCGGGAGGATCATGAGGTCAAGAGATGAAGACCAACCTGGCTAACACGGTGAAACCCCGTCTCTACTAAAAAAACAAAAAATTAGCTAGGCGTGGTGACGGGCACCTGTAGTCCCAGCTACTCGGGAGACTGAGGCAGGAGAATGGCATGAACCTGGGAGGTGGAGGTTGCAGTGAGCCAAGATTGCGCCACTGCACTCCAGCCTGGTGACAGAGCAAGACTCCGTCTCAAAATAAATAAATAAATAAATAAATAAATAAATAAATAAATAAATAAATACTTTGTCAACTGTTAAATAAATAATATACGAACAAGTTATTATTACTGGTTGCTTTATAGTAGAATGTAGATCTGGGCAGTTTCTCTAAAACTTAGATTCTCAAATTTACCCATCAACATAAACCTAATAGAAAAAAATAAATACTCCAAAGTGGCCTAAACACCACAAGCATAAGATCCATCCGAAGGCCGGGCACAGTGGCTCACGCCTGTAATCCCAGCACTTTGGGAGGCTGAGGCAGGTGGATCACGAGGTCAAGAGATCAAGACCATCCTGGCCAACATGGTGAAACCCCGTCTCTACTAAAAACACAAAAATTAGCTGGGCATGGTGGCGCGAGCCTGTAGTCCCAGCTACTCTGGAGGCTGAGAAAGGAGAATCACTTGAACCTGGGAGGTGGAGGTTGCAGTGAGCCAAGATTGCGCCACTGCACTCCAGCCTGGTGACAGAGTGAGACTCCATCTCAAAAAAAAAAAAAAAAAAAAAAAAAAAAAACCATGTGAAATACAGATTTGTGTGGATTCACTGAAAAGCATACCAACATTATGTTCTGCCTCATGGTATACCTAGGAAAACCTTCCTTGAAGATTTTTTTAGAAAAAGACAGTATCACTGGTAGTAGTCAATTCTGAGAACAGAGCCATGTACGATGGCATTCTTTGTGGCCAAGAAATTTCCAATGGGGAGTGGTTTTCCAAACATTCAAGGGCACAGGGATGCTTAGAAAAACCAGGGTTTTTAGACTGTTAGTAACCAGACATGCCATCCCTCTATACTGCTCACCTTCACTGTGCAAGTCCCTTCTCTTACAGAGAGATTCAGCCTCACAGGTAACTTCTATCTCAAGCACCCACAGGTTGTTGCTTTAGTTGACTTGTACATAATGAGGAGATTAAAATCTGTTAATAGGACATACCCACTGGAACACACATTCAATTAGAAAACACAGCTTTCCAGGCCGGGCGTGGTGGCTCACTCCTGTAATTCCAGCACTTTGGGAGGCCGAGGTGGGTGGATCATGAGGTCAGGAGTTAGACACGAGCCTGGCCAAGATGGTAAAACCCCGTCTCTACTAAAAATACAAAAATCAGACGGGCGTGGTGGCGGGTGCCTGTAATCCCAGCTACTTGGGAGGCTGAGGCAGAGAACTGCTTGAACCCGGGAGGCGGAGGTTGCAGTCAGCCAAGATTGTACCACTCCAGCCTGGGCAACAGAGCGAGACTCTGTCTCAAAAAAAAAAAAGAAAAGAAAATACAGCTTTCCATTTTAAGTAGTATGAGAGGTTAAGCATATGGTACAACATATTTATTAACACTGAAATGACAAAAATTTCCATTAGCTAAAGCACTTAATCAGTATTTTTAAATTAAATGGATAAGATGGCCAGGCGTGGTGGTTGACGCCTATAATCCCAGCACTTTGGGAGGCCAAGGTGGGCAGATCGCCTGAGGTCAGGAGTTTGAGACCAGCCTGACCAATATGGAGAAACCCTGTCTCTATTAAAAATACAAAATAAGCCAGGCATAGTGGCATGTGCCTGTAATCCCAACCCAGGAGTCCGAGACCAGCCTGGGCAACATAGGGAAACCCTGTCTCTAATTAAAAAAAAAAAAAAAAAGGCAGCTGGCAGCGATCCCCAGCCTTTTTGGGACCAGGGACCAGTTTTATGGAAAATAATTTTTCTCCTGGGGGTAGACAGGATAGTTTCAGGATGACACTGTTCAACCTCAGATCAGCAGGCATTAGATTCTCATAAGGAGCACTCAGTCTAGATCCCTCACATGGGCAGTTCACAATAGGGTTTCTGTTCCTATGAGAATCTAGTGCCGCCACTGATCTGACCGGAGGCGGTGCTCAGGTGATAATGCTCACTTGCATTCTGTTCACCTCCTGCTGTGTAGCCCGGTTCCTAACTGGCCACAGACTGGTACTGGTCTGCAACCCAGAGGTTGGGGACCCCAGGGGTCCTAAAGTGGTCTTTTGCAGGTCAGGTTAAGGTAAGAGCCTGGTCAGTATCTGAACACAAAGATGGTTTCTCTTCTTTAAATATTCTTTGTTCTGATGTAATCTATGGAGTTACAAGGCAGGATAATGATTACCCTTTGGGGAGGGGAGCAGGTAAAGACAAAAGGAGCATAAGGGAAGCTTCTGGGTATTGGTAATAATCAGTTTCTTCATCTGGAGGCTGGATAGTCTTCCCTTGGTGAAAATTTATCATGTCCAATGCTTTTGATTTGTGCACTTTTCTGTATGTTATACTTCAATAAAGTTTGCTTTAAAAACATCCTCTGGGCCAGGCACAGTGGCTCACACCTGTAATCCTAGCACTTTGGGAGGCTGAGGTGGGTGGGTCACAAGGTCAAGAGATCGAGACCATCCTGGCCAACATGGTGAAACCCGTCTCTACTAAAAATAAAAAAATTCACTGGGCGTGGTAGTGCACGCCTATAATTGCAGCTACTCTGGAGGCTGAGGCAGGAGAATCACTTGAACCCGGAAGCGGTGAACTTGGCTGCAGTGAGCCGAGATTGTGCCTCTGCACTCCAGCCTGGTGACAGAGCGAGACTCTGTCTCAAAAAAAAAAAAAGAAAGAAAGAAAGAAAGTCTTAAATATCTCCTCTTGATATTCTGAAATTTCATCTATATATATCTTATTGTGAAGTATTCTTTATTATTCATTGTTCAGCATTAGGTGAACCTTCTTAGACTAAAAATGGGCCCTTTAGCTGGGAAGTTTGCTTCTGTTCCTTTTTTTTTTTTTTGGTAAGAAACCTCACCTGGATTTTGTTCCTATTTTAAAAATTATTTCTTCTCCTCCTCTTTATTATTTATTTATTTATTATTTATTTATTTTTGAGATGGAATTTCACTCTTACTGCCCAGGCTGGAGTGCAATGGCATGATCTTGGCTCACTGCAACCTCCGCCTCCCGGGTTCAAGCGATTCCCCTGCCTCGGCCTCCCAAAGTGCTGGGATTACAGGCATGAGCCACTGCGCCTGGCCTAAGCTGCCTTTTTAGAAAAAACAATCTCTATGGCAATGGTAGAAATATCTTACCCAAAATAATGGCATCTGAAGAAAGTAAGGTTTATAAGGTTACAGTGTATATTTATATTCCGTGAAATATCAATCTGAAGAGATGGTCCATGTAAAAAGGCAGACAGGGAAATTGCAAATCAATTTGGCAAACACTTCTCCCTTGAATGTTCCCAATTCACCCAGGTAAATTAAAGATGTGGTGAAATCTAGTAATTAGGTAGCCTATTTAACCTTGTTGACCAAGGTTTTCACAAATTTTAGTCAATAACTTTTTGCTTTTTTTTTTTTTTTTTAACATAACACCTATTGATAGACCAAGGAATGACTGTTCTATAAAGCATGCTTCGGAGTGAGTCTCTGAAAGCACTCTGAAGAAGCTCCATTCTAACCAAAGCCTTCCACAGTTCTGCCTTATGTTCCACTGGAGCTGATCACTACAAAGGAATGCAGAATGCCCCAGACTGTACACTGTAGCCTCTCACTCTGCAGAATTTGGCTTCAGGCCCAGACATGGAGCACCTTGAAAGAGGAAAGTAAAAAAAAAAAAAAAAAATTGTTGAAGTGAAAATCTTTCTCCTAATAACTACAACTGCCTTCTTAAGGTGAAGGCGAGGCCGGGCGCAGTGGCTTACGCCTGTAATCTTAGCACTTTGGGAGGCCAAGGCAGGTGGATCACAAGGTCAGGAGATCAAAACCATCCTGGCTAACACAGTGAAACCCCGTCTCTACTAAAAATACAAAAAATTAGCTGGGTGTGGTGGCGGGCACCTGTAGTCCCAGCTACTCGGTTGGCTGAGGCATGAGAATGGCATGAACCCGGGAGGCGGAGGTTGCAGTGAGCCGAGATCGTGCCACTGCACTCCAGCCTGGACGACAGAGCGAGACTCCATCTCAAAAAAAAAAAAAAAAAAAAAAAAAAAAGAAGGTGAAGGCCAGGCATGGTGGCACACATCTGTAGTCCCAGCACTTTGGGAGACTGAGGCAGGCAGATGGTTTGAGTTCAGGAGTTCGAGACCAGTCATGGGGAACATGGCGAGACCTCCTCTCTACAAAAAATACAAAAGTTAGCCAGGCAGTGACACGTGCCTGTAGTCCCAGCTACTCAGGAGGCTGAGGTGGGAGGCTACAGTGAGCCGTGATGGTGCCACTGCAATCAAGCCTGGGCAATAGAGTCAGACCCTGTCTCAAAAACAAAAACCAAAAAAAGAAGGTGGAAGCTGTTCCAGGTAACAAAAGATTGGAAGCCACTTGTATTCGGATGAGCACTCTGATGGGTCCTGGAAACATCAAGACAGGCCTTAAGCTGAGTTTGGCAACAAAGGCTGGAGAGAACTGGATCATTCTACTAGAGAAGAGTTCCCAGTTAGGCCAACTCATTTCTAAGGCTAGAGGGGGTAGAAGAGGAGAGGGCTGAGAGAAGGGGAAGACAATTTAATCGGATGGCCACAGGCTAAGAAGATAATTGTCAGGAGGCACAGCCAGAGTGAAATCCCAGTAGTGGGTGGGTCTGACAAAACGATTTACATAAAATATATTACTCGTTTACTATGTGGCACATTATGTGGTACAATTGGCTAATTTCTTCTAGGTATTCAAGGTAGCTTGGTGCTTCTCTCATTTATTTTTATTTTTTGTAGAGACGGGGTTTCACTATGTTGCTCAGGCTGGTCTTGAGACTCCGGGCCTCAAGGAATCCTCTCACCTCAGCCTCCCAAAGTGCTGGGATTACAGGCATGAGTCTCCTCGCCCAACCTTTCTTATATTTCAATCCACACCATGATAGAGATCAAAGAACAGGTTTAAGACCTAGAGCTTTCAGGCCAGGTACAGTGGCTTATGCCTATAATCCCAGTACTTTGGGAGGCCATGGCGGGAGGACTGATGGAGCCCAGGAGTTTGAGACCAGCATGGGCAACAAGGTGAGACTGTGTCTCCACAAAAAATGAAAATAAAATAAAAATAACAGGAGAAGCACCAAGCTACCTTGAATACCTAGAAGAAACTATTCCATTGTACCACATAATGTGCGCTTTTTTGCTTTTTTGCTAAAAGTAAAAAGAAAAAAAAATTAGCCAGGCATAGTGATGCATGCCTGTAGTCCTAGCTACTTGGGCAGCTGAGGTGGGAGAACTGTCTGAGCCCAGGAGGTTGAGGTTGCAGTGAGCTGTGATGGTGCCATTACACTCCAGCCTAGGAGACAGAGTGCGACCCTGTCTCTTACAAAAAAAAAAAAAATATTGCCAGCATGGAGAACAGTGTCTGGCACATCATAGATAGTCAGTAAATACCTACCAAATGAGTGAGCTAGTCTGCTGGTTTTCCACAGGCTGTGAAATGGTAACTTACAGATTGAGCAAATCTTACTTAGATACTTATTTATTTATTTATTTATTTTATTTATTTATTTTTTTATTTGAGACGGAGTCTTGCTCTGTCGCCCAGGCTGGAGTATGGTGGTGTGATCTCGGCTCACTGAAAGCTCCGCCTCCCGGGTTCACACCATTCTCCTGCCTCAGCCTCCCGAGTAGCTGGGACTACAGGTACCCACCACCACTCCCAGCTAATTTTTTGTATTTTTAGTAGAGACGGGGTTTCACTGTGTTAGCCAGGTTGGTCTTCTCTTGACCCCATGATCTGCCTGCCTCGGCCTCCCAAAGTGCTGGGATTACAGGCGTGAACCACCGCGCCCGGCCCTATTTATTTATTTATTTTAAGATGGAGTCTTGCTCTGCTGCCCAGGCTGGAGTGCAGTGGCACGATCTCGGCTCACTGCAACCTCCACCTCCCGGGTTCAAGTGATTCTCCTGCCTCAGCCTCCCAAGTAGCTGGGATTACAGGCGTGCGCCACCACACCTGGTTAATTTTTTTGTATTTTTAGTAGAGACGGGGTTTTACCATGTTGGCCAGCCTGGTCTCGAACTCCTGACCTCAGCTGATCCACCCATCTCGGCCTCCCAAAGTGCTGGGATTACAAGAGTGAGCCACCACAACCGGCCAGAATTTTTTTTTTTTTTAAAGGCAGGATCTCACTGTGTTGCCCAGGGTGCAGGGCAGTGCTGCAATCTTGGTTCACTACAACCTCCGCCTCCCGGGTTCAAGCAATTTTCCTGCCTCAACCTCCCAAGTACCTGGAATTCCAGGCATGCGCCACCACACCCAGCTAATTTTTGTATTTTTCGTAAAGATGGTGTTTCACCATGTCGGCCAGGCCGATCTCAAACTCCTGGCCTCAAGTGATCCACCTGCCTTGGCCTCCCAAAGTGCTGGATTACAGCCAGGTGTAAGCCACTGCGCTTGGCCCTTACTTAGATTTTAAGGAGCAGGCTACACTGACGCCTGGAAAGTTTTCAACATTTTTTTTTTTTTTTTGAGACAGAGTCTCGCTCTGTAGCCCATGGTCTCGACCTCCTGACCTTGTGATCCGCCCGTCTCAGCCTCCCAAAGTGCTGGGATTACAGGTGTGAGCCACCACACCCGGGCTTTTTTTTAATTTTTTGAGATGGAGTCTAGCTGTGTCTCCCAGGCTGGAGTGCAGTAGCGTGATCTCGCCTCCCAGGTTCAAGTGATTCTCCTACCTCAGCCTCTCGAGTAGCTGGGACTACAGGCGCCTGCCACCACGCCCAGCTAATTTTTTGTATTTTTAATAGAGACGGGGTTTCACTGCGTTAGCCAGGCAGGTGCATCACGAGGTCAGGATATCGAGACCATGGGCTACAGAGCGAGACTCTCTCTCAAAAAAAAAAAAAAAAAAAAAAAAAAGCTTTTTGGCCAGGCACGGTGGCTCGCACCTTTAATCCCAGCACTTTGGGAGGCCAAGGCGGGTGGATCACGAGGTCAGGAGTTTGAGACCAGCCTGGCCAAGATGGTGAAACCCCGTTTCTACTAAAAATACAGAAATTAGCAGGGCGTGGTGTCATGCGCCTGTAATCCTAGCTACTCAGGAAGCTGAGGCAGGAGAATCACTTGAACCCGGGAGGCAGAGGTTGCAGTGAGCCGAGATCACACCATTGCACTCCAGCCTGGCCAACAAGAGTGAAACTCCATCTTAAAAAAAAAAGAAACAGCTCATTAAAAAAAAAACTTTTCGATTATTTTCCAGCACACAGCAAACATGATAAAAACACACACATTTAGAAACCACCCACTTTCTACAAAGAAGAAAAGAACTCAGAATATAAATTTTAAGTCTTTACTGGGTGGTTAAGTCTGAATTTATGAGGCAAGTATAAACTCAAAGGAATTTTTAAGTATTGGAGCTAAAATTACAAATAGGGATTTCTAGTCTAGTTATTTTTCAAGTGTAAATTCACATAGTTTTAATAGCGTCTTCAACGAATGGTGCTGGTACAACTGGATATCCACATGCAAAAAAAAATGATGTTGGACTCTTCTCTGACACCATATACAAAACCAACTCAAAATAAATCAAAAGACCTTAATATAAGAACTAAAACCATAAAGCCCTTACAAGAAGATATAGGATAAGCCTTTGGGACACTGGATTTGGCAATGGTTTCTTATATATGATACCAAAAGCACAAGCACTGAAAGAAATATTAAAGAAACTGGACTTCATCAAAATTAAAAACTTTTGTGCTTTAAAGAACACTACAAAGAGAGTGAAAAGACAACTCATATGACCCACCATTCCACTCCTAGGTATACGTCCAAGAGAAATTAAAACATATGTGCACCCAAAAATGTTTAAAGCAACACTATTTGCAATACTCAAAAGGTGTAAACTCAAATGTTTACTAACTGCTGAATGGATACACAAATGTGGCATATCCATATGACAGACTATTTATTCAGCCATAAAAAGGAATGAAGTACTGGTATATGCTACATCATGGATGAACCTTAAAAACATCATGTTAAGTAGAAGAAGTCAGTTTGTTTGTTTGAGACAAAGTCTCTCTCTGTCGCCCAGGCTGGAATACAGCAGCACAATCTGGGCTCACTGCAACCTCCACCTCCCAAGTTCAAGCAATTCTCCTGCCTCAGCCTCCTGAGTAGCTTGGATTACAGGCGCCCACCACCACGCACAGGCGCCCACCACCACGCCACGCTAATTTTTGTATTTTTAATAGAGACGGGGTTTCCCCATGTTGGCCAGCCTGGTCTCGAACTCCTGATCTCAGGTGATCCGCCCGCCTTGGCCTCCCAAAGTGCTAGAATTACAGGCATGAGCCACCGTGTCCAGCCAGAAGAAGTCAGTTATGAGAGGGCCATATAATTCCATTTATATGAATTGTCCAGAGAGAAAAAGAAGGTAGATTTATGGTTGCCAGGGGATGAGAGAAGGGGGAAATACGTATGCTTAATAGGTATGCTTAACCCCATGCTTAATGAGTATGGGGTTTCCATTTGGGGTGATGATTACGTCCAAAGGCTTAGCAACTGTATTCCTTCCCCCTTTATGCTACATCCAACACCTGTGCTAGAAACTTTCTAAAGAAGTCCTAAGCTGCTTCATGCCAGCCAAAAGGAAGGGCAACAGCTTCATTACATGCCAATCAAAGATGAAGAACCACAGCATAAGAAAGGTTGCTACTGAGAGTTAGTGTGGGAGATAATGGTAAAGAATATTTCATTTGATTATGGTAAGACAATTACAAACATAAAACAATATAGCATTACATCACTCTGATATCATATACTTACCTAGACCAGAGTTTCTCAATTTTGGCACTACCGACATCTAGACCAGAATAATTATTTGTCATGGGGGCTGTCCTGTGCACTGTAGGATGTTTAGCAGCATCTCTGGCCACAACCCACTAGGCACTAGTAGCATTCTCCAGTCATGGCAATTAAAAATGTTTCCAGACATTTTGCCCCAGGTGGCAAAATGGCCCTCAGATGAGAACCACTGCTCTAGACTAACATACTGAACATTTTGTCCAACATTAATATACATAAAGTGATGTACCTCAGGGTTATGGGTTGGTAAATAAAAGAAGACAAAACAACCTAGACCACCTGGGATCGCTATGGGTCAACTTCCTAAAAGCCAATGTTTGGGAAAGGATTATGGGAAAATGTAAGCAGAGAGAGCTGAAATCTTAAAAATACATTCCTAGAATCAGAACAATGGCCACCTAAATTAAGGGGAGTTGGAATAAAGCAACACACATCTGTTAATGCATTTAATTGTCATAGTTCCGCTGTTTTTTTTTTTTTTTTTAGATGGAGTCTTGCTCTGTTGCCGAGGCTGGAGTGCAGTGGCGTGATCTTTGCTCACTGCGACCTCTGCCTCCCGGGTTCAAGCAATTCTCCTACCTCAGCCTCCTGAGTAGCTGGGATTACAGGCGCCTACCACCACACTGAGCTAATTTTTGTATTTTTAGTAGAGACGGGGTTTCACCATGTTGGTCAGGCTGGTCTGGACCTCCTGGCCTCATGATCCGCCCGCCTTGACCTCCCAAAGTGCTGGGATTAAGGCGTGAGCCACCGCGCCCAGCCTGTTCTGCTGATTTAATTCTCTTGTGGATCAATGATGCTCAAAGACCAGTAGAGAAATGGTCCTTGCTATCTGCATGCTGGATGTCTATCATGTCTACCCTAGGGATAAAGGCAGCTATTCAGACACTGCCAGAGGGTTTCTGGTTTCTGTGAGGAAAATAAAGAAAAACACTGCCTACCTGAGAGTCCCATTCTCTCCTTTGTCCAGGCTGGTGAACCGGCTGTAGAGGCGAGTGATTTGACTGTGGGAAACTAAAGAGCACAAAATTAGTCCCAGCTCGGGGGAAGTAGCCCTCATTCACACTGAACCCACCCCTCGCTGTCAAATGCTTCAAAATTCAGTAGGACTGGGATGTCGAAACTCTTATCTCTAGAATGTTAAAGCAGAAAGTTTAAAAGCTAAAGAATGAAAGGAGTTAGAGAATAAACTAAATCAAGGGCAATCAAAATTCAATCCCAGGAATGAAGTCTAGGCTTAATTAAGACTGTGATGAATATTAGATGGTTAAGATTTAACAAAACAAAGGCAAATTTTGTCCTGTCCTGTCCTGTCCTATCCTATCCCATCCTATTTTACTGAGACAAAGTTTTGCTCTTGTCACCCAGGCTGGAGTGCAGTGGCACGATCTCACTCACTGCCACCTCTGCCTCCCGGGTTCAAGCAACTCTCCTGCCTCAGCCTCCCGAGTAGCTGGGATTACAGGCTTCCGCCACCACACCCAGCTAATTTTTTGTATTTTTAGTAGAGACGGGGTTTCGCCATGTTGGCTAGGCTGGTCTTGAACTCCTGACCTCAGGTGATCCACTCGCCTCAGCCTCCCAAACTGCTGGGATTATAGGTGTGAGCCACCATGCCCAGCCCAAATTTAGTTTAAAAGGAAGCTGTGAAACTTTGAAGTTTCAATGCCCTGACTTAGAGGCTAAGAAAATGTATGTTTTTACTGTATTTATTTTTTTACTTTTTTCTTTTTTTCTGAGATGGGGTTTCACTCTCGTTGCCCAGGCTGGAGTGCAATGGCACAATCTTGGCTCACTGCAACCTCTGCCTCTCGTGTTCAAGCGATTCTCCTGCCTCAGCCTCCCAAGTAGCTGGGATTACAGGCGCCCACCACCATGCCCAGCTAATTTTGTATTTTTAGTAGAGACAGGGTTTTGCCATGTTGACCAGGATGGTCTTGAACTCCTGACCTCAGGTGATCCACCTGCCTCAGCCTCCCAAAGTGCTGGGATTACAGGCATGAGCCACCATGCCCGGCCTATTTTGCTTATTTTTTAAATTTTATTTTATTTTATTTTTGGGGGACAGAGCCTCAACTTTGTCGCCCAGGCTGGAGTGCAGTGGTACAATCTCAGCTCACTGTAACCTCCACCTCCTGGGTTCAAGCGATTCTCGTGCCTCAGTCTCCCAAGTAGCTGGGATTACAGGCATGAGCCACAGTTCCAGCTAAAAAATGCATGTTTTGATTGAAAAAATATCCATGATCAGTTTGCTGTTTCAGGCTGTACTGCTAGGTAGGTGTACGGCTAGGTAGGTGATGTGTACGGCTAGGTAGGTGTTGGGTGTACAATATTTGATTGGGGTACATCAAACAGATTCTATTTTAAAACTCTGGTTTACTCCTACACCAAGCATTAAAGGCTTTATCTTTTCCCTTGGAAAACATAAAGATCAACCTCTTTTCTGTGATGGCATGAGCTTCACTGAGTTCCCAGGAAGGGAACTGGCTCCAAGGAAGCAAATTAGGCAAATTCGTAAAATGGTCATGCTATCATCAGATGACATCTACCAGAAAGCTATTTTGCTCCTCATTTTGGATTTAGTCCATAAACTCAAGATACAAGTTGACAATTAAAATGAGGCAATAATGGCAGGTACATAATAATACTAAAAACTCAAAAAGGCCTTTCTGGGAAATAGTTTAGTCTCCTGATAGATTGGAAGTAAGAGAGGGGAAACAAACAGAGGAGAAAAGACAACAGCCAAAAAGGGTGTGACAAGTGTGGACTTTGTCCGAGGCTGTACCTTCAGAGGTTTAAAGGGGTGGCCAAAGTCATTCAGATAAGGTGTCCTCCTCCCTCAGCTCATGAAACAAAAATGTACTTGTAGTGTTGGGAACAATGGGACAAAGTGAACAGGGACAAGCAGGTAGTGAGTGGCCCAGAGCTGGGATAAGAGGACACACTATGTGTGGCTGTGAATTCTTCAGCATCAGGTTTCACCCTCGAAGCTGGGCTCTGTTCTGTCCTAGTGCTCTAAAGTGATCACTGAGCAGAGAAGGCAAAAGCATTTCCATCGGGGCAGAGCCAGCAGGGATCCAGCCACTAAGGAGACAGTTGTGGACTGTTTTGCCAGCCGGACAGGTATAAATGGCTCACTGTAAAGTGTACACACTTGTGAGGGTTAGGCAGACAGATTCTGATTCCATTGCTAGCACCATGGCTTACCAGAGAGAGGTAAGTGAATGGGATTGTAGAGCGAACTCACCAGTCAATGAAAGGAAAATGCTTGGCAAAGTGCCAGGCACATGGCAAGCACTCCAGATTAGCTATTATCAGCATCATGCTTACATCCTGAGCCTGAAGGCACAAGTATTACTGCTGCACTAATTACTCTCCATTTCCCTCCTGACTTTGCCAGTTACAACCGTTTTCTTTAAGAACTTGACCAGTCTATCCCAGTTCTGGCCTCAGGCCTCAAAGGCTATTCTTGTACTAAAGTTCCCTTTAGTTTAACAAAAATAAGTCAGTTAAAGAATTACTAAATTTCAGGCTGGGCGCAGTGGCTCACGCCTGTAATCTCAGCACTTTGGGAGGCCAAGGCGGGCGGATGCTGAGGAAAAGAGATCGAGACCATCCTGGCCAACATGGCGAAACCTCGTCTCTACTAAAAATACAAAAATCTGCTGGGTGTGGTGGCGTCTGCCTCTAGTCCCAGCTACTTGGGAAGCTGAGGCAGGAGAATCACTTGAACCAGGGAGGCGAAGGTTGCAGTGAGCGGAGATCACGTCACTGCACTCCAGACTGGTGACAGAACAAGACTCTGTTTCAAAAAAAAAAAGAATTACTAAGTTTCCCAAAAGATTTTTTGAAAAAAACAAAATTTGTTCACAATCCCAACACTGCCATTTTCATTTCTTCATAGATCTTTTTTTTTTTTTTTTTTTTGAGATAGAGTTTCGCTCTTCTTGCCCAGGCTGGAGCGCAATGGCACAATCTTGGCTCACCACAACCTCCGCCTTCTGGGTTCCCGTGATTCTCCAGCCTCAGCCTCCCAAGTAGCTGGAATTATAGGCATGCGCCACCACACCCAGCTAATTTTGTATTTTTAGTAGAGACAGGGTTTCTCCATGTTGGTCAGGCTGGTCTTAAACTCCCAACCTCGGGTGATCCACTCACCTCGGCCTCCCAAAGTGCTGGGATTACAGGCATGAGCCACCGCGCCCAGCTCTTCATATATCATCTAATATCAGTTACTCGTGTACTTTACAAAGTTGTAATAGCTTGCTTTTCATTTAGTAATTCATACTTTTTCTATATTGCTTTGGAGTCCTTCTTTATCCAATTTATATAATTTTAAAATTGGTAGAAATGTTATCTAATCCGACCCCTTCAATGAACAAATGAGAGCCAGGCATGATGGCTGGCGCCTATAATCCCAGCACTTCCAGAGGCAGAAGCAGGACAATGATTTGAGGCCAGGAGTTCAAGACCAGGCTGGGGAACAAAATAAAAATAAAAATAAAAAATAAAATTATTTTAAACCAAAAAAATCCACAAATGAGCCATTAAACATCTTTCTAATCTATATCATCTAAAATAACTGGGCACTGAGGCTGGGCGTGGTGGCTCACACCTGTAATCCCAGCTGTAATCCCAGCACTTTGGGAGGCCGAGGCGGGCGGATCACGAGGTCAGGAGATTGAGACCATCCTGGCTAACACGGTGAAACCCTGTCTCTACTACAAATACAAAAAATTAGACGGGCGTGGTGGCAGGCACCTGTAGTCCCAGCTACTCGGGAGGCTGAGGCAGGAGAATGGTTTGAACCTGGGAGGCGGAGCTTGCAGTGAGCTGAGATTGCGCCACTGCACTCCAGCCTGGGTGACAGAGAGGAGACTCTGTCTCGAAAAAATAAATAAATAAAAAAGAAATAAAATAACTGGGCACTGAAACCTCCTATAGTATGTTAAGACCAGTTTATGGCTGCTTAAATTCAAAATGTGGCAAGGCCTGGTGGCTCAAGCCTGCAATACCAGCACTTTGGGGGGCTGAGGGCGGGCAGATCACCTGTGGCCAAGAGTTCAAGACCAGCCTGGCCAACATGGTAAAACCCTGTCTCTACTAAAAATACAAAAATTAGCCAGGTGTGGTGGTATAATCCCAGCTACTTGGGAGGCTGAGGCAGGAGAATCGCTTGATCCTGGGAGATGGAGGTTGCAGTGAGCTGAAATCTCACCACTGCACTCCAGCCTGGGCGACAGAGTGAGACTCCGCCTCAAAACAAAACAAAACAAAACAAACGATAACAAAAAATAATGTACTAATATGTTAAAAATAAATAATGTAAATAAGTAGCCAAAACATTAAAAAAAAAAAAACTATCTTCCAGGACGAACTGGGTTATATGGGAGTCAGTGGAGAAACATACAACCAAATGTCAACTTTTAATACTAATCAATATGGTCATATCTAAACTTATCTCCAAAATTTTAGAACAAATTTTAGAACCATAACGATATGGTTACAAGTAATTTTGTTAACAAAAAGAAGGAGAGAAGGCTTTAATTTAGGTACTAAATTCACTGTGACAAAGAATATAAAGCAATCTCAGAACAATCCCAATCTACCTATAAAGGAGCTACACCATCCATGTGTAGAAAGGTACTGGAACTGGTGTGAATGAAGGCAGATCATGTTTCCAGTGAAGTATTTTCCCCAGAAGGCTCTAAGCTAGTCAGATAGGTGCCCAAAACCTGCACAATTCTTGGTAACCCAAAGGAAATAACAGGAGTTGACAGTTACTCTCAGAGAAGGCCGTGCATATAAACGTGTCTTTTTTCTTTTTTTGAGATGGAGGCTTGCTTTGTCACCCAGGATGGAGTGCAGTGGCGCGATCTTGGCTCACTGCAAACTCTGCCTCCCAGGTTCAGGCCATTCTCCTGCCTCAGCCTCCTGAGTAGCTGCGACTACAGGTACCTGCCACCACCATGCCTGGCTAATTTTTTTTTTTTTTTGTATTTTTAGTAGAGACCAGGTTTCACCGTGTTAGCCAGGATGATCTCGATCTCCCGACCTCGTGATCCACCCGCCTCAGCCGCCCTAAAGTGCTGGGATTACAGGCATGAGCCACCGTGCCCTGCTATAAACATGTCTTGAATGAAGCTGTATTTTTTCTCCACTGGTATGGGTATATAATCATTTTAAATTGTTAAAAGATTATTTAAAAGACCCTGTTTGGCTGAGGGCAGTGGCTCATGCCTGTAATCCTAGCACTTTGGGAGGCTAAAGTGGGAGGATCCCTTGACGAAAGGCCAGTTCAAAACTAGCCTGGGCAACAAAGCAAGACTTCATCTCTATAATCAATCAATCAATCATTAGCTGGGCATCGTGGTGCATTCCTGTACGCTGAGCTATTTAGGAGGCAGAGGCAGAAGGACTGTTTCAGCCCAGGAGTTCAAGGTTGTAGTGAGCTATGATCACACCCCTCCACTCCAACCTGGGTGACAGAGTGAGACCCTGTCTCAAAAAAAAAACACACGCCAAAAAAACAAAAAAAGACCCTGTTAACGTTGCTGAAATCTTTCTATCATCACTGCATTGTGCAAAGAGGAGGAAGGCATTTCACAGAAGTGCGAAGCAGAAGTGGCAGAGGAAAGAATAAAAACAAAAAGGGAGTAAGAAAAAGTTATTTTGGAGGGCCAGGCATGGTGGCTCATGCCTGTAATCCTAGCACTTTTGGGAGGTGGGTGGATTACGAGGTCAAGAGATCAAGATCATCCTGGCCAACATGGGGAAACCCCATCTCTACTAAAAATACAAAAATTAGCCGGGCATGGTGGCACGTGCCTATAGTCCCAGCTACTCAGGAGGCTGAGGCGGGAGAATCCCTTGAACCCGGGAGGCGGGATTGCACCACTGCACTCCAGCCTGGTGACAGAACGAGACTCCATCTCAAAAAAAAAGAAAAGAAAAAGTTATTTTGTCCTTGCCTTTATTCCAAATCTTAATGCAGAAGAACAGACTGATAACCTATGTAAAGATTACAAGTACAGCTAAAGGTAGCTCTAGATAAAGGAAAGTTGAAGCCTGCGCTTCCCGGAATAGACTACACCTTAACATTCCCCCTGACATGAAGACTTCAAGCCCTGGACTAGTCTCTTAGGGATTAAGAGAGATTTTAAAACATTATATAAAACAAACAAAATCTATCTTCTTATAATTGGAGAAATTTGAATAGGAAGTGAATGATAGATAATATTAAGGTGGCTCACGTCTATAATCCTAGCCCTTTGGGAGGCTGAGGCAGGCAGATCATCTGAGGTTAGGAGTTCGAGACCAGCCTGGCCAACATGGTAAAACCTCGTATCTACTAAAAATAAAAACAATTAGCCAGGCGTGGTGGCACATGCCTGTAATCCCAGCTACTTGGGAGGCTGAGGCAGGAGAATCATTTGAAGCCAGGAGGCGGAGGTTGCAGTGAGCTGAGATCGCGCCACTGCACTCCAGCCTGGGCGACAAAAGTGAAACTCCATCTCAATTAAAAAAAAAAAAAGAAAAAGAAAAAAAGGGGCCAGGTGCGGTGGCTCACGCCTGTAATCCCAGCACTTTGGGAGGCTGAAGTGGGTGGATCACCTGAGGTCAGGAGTTCGAGACCAGCCTGGCCAACGTGGCGAAACCCCATCTCTACTAAAAATACAAAAAATTAGCCAGGCCTGGTGGCAGGCACCTGTAATCCCAGCTACTTGGGAAGCTGAGGCAAGAGAATGGCTTGAACCCAGGAGGCAGAGGTTGCAGTGAGCTGAGATCGAGTCACTGCACTCCAGCCTGGGCAACAAGAGCAAGACTCTGTCTCAAAAAAAAAAAAAAGATAGTATTAAGAAGTATTATCAACTTTCTTAGGTGTGATAATAGTATTGTTGTTACGTAAAAACCATCCCAATACTTAAGGGATACATGCAGAAGTATGAAGGGGTAAAGAGTTCCAATACCTGCAACTTTCAAATGGTTTATCCAGAAATTTACAAAAATAAAGCTTATATCTTCGCAGCTGCTGCTGGGGTCAATTATCTTCTGAATGAATAAACCTCCAACTACTCTCTGGTCTGGACCACCATCCCCTCCTTGCCCCCGCAAAAAAGTTCCTGGCCAGTGGCTCACCTCTGTAATCGCAGCACTTTGGGGGACTGGGATGAGCGGACCACCTGAACTCAGGAGTTCAAGACCAGCCTGGGCAACATGGTGAAACCCTATCTCTACAAAAAATTAAAAAATTAGCCAGGCGTGGTGGCATGTGCCTGTAGTCCCAGCTACTCAGGAGGCTGAGCTGGGAGGATTGCTTGAGCCCAGAAGCTTGAGGCTGCAGTGAGCCGTGATCATGCCATTGCACTCCAGCCTGGATGACAGAGCAAGACCCTGTCTGAAAAAATAAATAAATAAAAATTAAAAATCAGGTAGTTGCCAGGCACAGTGGCTCACATCTATAATCCCAGTACTTTGAAAGTCTGGGGTGGAAGGATCATTTGAGGCCAGGAGTTTGAGGCTGCAATGAGCTATGATTGCACCACTGCACTCCAGCCTGGGCAACAGAGTGAGACCCTGTCTCAAAAAAAAAAAAAAAAAGTTCTTAGGGTCTCTTTCCCACAATGCCCTCTCTAATTGACAAATAGTTGCTTCTTACTCCTTTATGGCAACAAATGAGAATAAAACTTTGCACTAGAACTCAAAAAGTACAGAGCTTTACAAATCACTTAACCCAAAACCAGTTAAAGGTGTTAGTTATCCATGCATTTCCATTTCAATAGGAGGCAGAAGACAGCCTGGTTTTCTGAAGTGACAGAACCTTCAGGCTGGTGAGGGCTGTGAAGGGTCCTACATTTGGAGGCACGAGAAACCTGAAGTTGAATTTCTACTTACATTCTAGCCATGATATTGTTCTCAAGCAATTGCCTTTGCCAGGCTTGTACTCTGTTAGAACTCTATCATTACTACACTCTTTCAAACAAACAAAACCTTACCAACCTGTGCAACTTACTTCCTAAACCTGTTCAACACCCTTCCCGTACCACATGACATATACCAAAAGGTAGAGACTAAAAATAATCTGCATTCATTACTACTTGAATGGCATGAATTGTTTATCAAGGTGTTTTTGTGGTTGTTGTTTGTTTTTGTTTTTTTTTGAGACAGGGTCTGTTTCTCCCAGGCCAGAGTGCAGTGGCACGAACATGGCTCACTGCAGCCTTGACCTCCCGCCTAAGCAATCCTCCCACCTCAGCCTCCTGAGTAGCTGGGACTGCAGGCACGCTTCACCATGTCCAGCTAATTTTTTTTAAATTTATTTTTTTGTAGAGATGGGGTTTCCCTATGTTGCCCAGGCTGGTCTTGAACTCCTGGGCTCAAGCGATCTGCCACCTTGGCCTCCCAAAGTGCTGGAACTACAGGTGTGAGCCACTGCGCCTGGCCTCATAAAGTTTTAAGTAATTCACAGCCAGCTTATTGCTACAATTAAGTGAATTAAGGGTGATGATTACAGAAACTCCTAAGACATTTGTGGCTTTATCCCCGATTACACCTTTTTTTCAAATAAGCTTTATGAAAATGCAGAAGTCTGAAAGAAGGTAGTAGAACAAAGATAATTTAGCAAATATGCCAATAGAAAGCATTTCTTAGACAATTCCTGTTAAAACATCATAACAGTTTCATAAACTGTTAAAAACTCCTTTAAAAATTTTATTTCCTTATAATTGGCAAAACATCTGTACTTAATTCCTAATCAACTGTCCACTACAAAAAGAAGTATAAAATGCTGTCACCTCCCCAATGATATAGCCCTACACATAGTTTTTATAACTAGTACATGCAAATGGTATTTTCCCAATAAGACGATTGTTAACTATGGTTCAAAATAATAACACTCACATGAAGTTTATTATACCAGACACTATTCTAAGTAGTTTGCATAATTCATCTCATGTAATTGTCGTAAGAATCCTATAAAGTAGGCACTATTATTATTCTAATTTTACAGATGATGAAACTGAGGATCACAGGTAATTCTTATCCAGAATTACTTTTCCAAACACTTACTGTTATTCATTAAATATCAAATACCAGCTAATCTAGTCATGTAGAAATTCTAATCTTTTTAAATTTGCAAAAAATATGGTTAAATATAATCATCAAATTCCAATGCACAGCTTTTGCACTGAATATAAATTTAGTATTCCTCAATTATGTTACATTTTGTACTGGCAAAGGAAGTAGTAAAATGTCTTATAATTGTTCTTAAAGTGCTTCTGATAGATAGTTTTCCAAATTCTTCATAGAAGAAAAGGCAGATGAAAATGGGACAAATTCCACCTCTCTACCCACTCCAGATATCCGTTTTTATTCTTCAAAATCTTTTGCATCATACCAAATTACTCCTTGAAAAAACAACTCTGGGCTTGGCGCAGTGGCTCACACCTGTAATCCCCGTGCTTTGGGAGGTTGAAGTGGCCTAAGAATCACTTGAGGCCAGGAGTTTATGACCAGCCTCGACAAAATAACAAGACTCCATCTCTACAAAAGATAAAAATAAAAATCAGGTAAGCATGGTGGTATGCGCCTGTAGTCCTAGCTACTTGGGACGCTGAAGCGGGAGGATGGCTTAAGCCCAGGAGTTTAAGGCTTGCAGTGAGCTATGCTCAAGCCACTGCAGTCCGGCCTGGGAGACAGAGCAAAGACCCTGTCTCTAAAATAAAGAAAAAGAAAAAGAAAAAACAACTCTGATGATGGACACTATTTGGATAAACTGATGGTTCCCAGGGCAAAGGAATGACTTTGTAGCAGGCTTAGGGGGAGATCTCTCCTGGAAGTCACCCAAAATGCCCTAGGTTAATCTATCCAAATCTACTCCACCCATGTATCAAGGCCCAATTCCTGTCCTCCATGAGGACAGCCCACAAGGACTCTCTCTCTTGCCTGATTTCTGAAGGTGGATGACACACAATTCTCAGCTTTCTTATGTCATGATGCTAATCATAACTCTCTTGGGCTTATCTCCCCAACCAGGTTGGGGGCGTTTTTTGTCACCATCTGCTCTGAGTACCTAGCACAGTACTGAACAGACACTGTAAAAATTCAGTAAGCACTTGTTTCACTAAGCATTCTGGCTCAATACATACATTTGCACTGGTTGTGGAGAGAATCTCCCTCACAAGTGACTCACTCTTTGGCAATGGGGAAAACAGCTTTTCCATGAGCACTTAGTTGTTTGTCCACAAGCCACATGGTAAAAATATCCCATCCAGGTCATTTCCATTTGGTCAAATGTATATAAACCAGAATGGGATTACTGCTCCCTTCATTCTGAAGCAAAAATGGCTTTTTGCATCTTCACTATGGTTTACACTTTCTCATTATGTGACTCTATATTTATTTCTCTTTGATTCTGCTTATTTCTCCATGTGACTCTTTAACACAAATACTTTAATTCGGTGTCACCCTAGACCTAAAGTAGTACTAATTACAAATGTGGCCAGAAGTTATGGCCACAAAACGTAATAAAATGCTTGTTGAATCCAAACTGCTTGCGTCTCCACTCCGAGGGTCAGAGTAAGTCAGTGGCCAAACAAGTACTGCAAATTATAAAGAGCTAACTACTTTGGGTCATTCAAATCGTGAAAAGGACTGCCTTGGTAGGTGGAGAGGTTACCATCATTAAATGTCTTTACAGAGAGGCTTAAGGGCCATATTTTAGGGGAGGCTGAAAGAAGCAAACCAGTCCAGAAAGGGGTGGGGCTAGAAAACATCCCTTCCAACTTGAAAACTCCAGAAAGTTGAACTTGTCACAAAGCAGAGAACAGCACTTAAACAGGCCTGAAAAATTCTGTAGTTCCCCATAGCACTCCTCAGTACTATCTGCATATGGGCCGGAGTGAGTTACTGGTCATGTCATTATCAAAGACAAGTATGATGAAGAGACAGAGCTCAGGTGCTACATCCTTCATTAACTCAATAAGAATCATAAAGGTTTACTGAAAAGATAAAATATTGTATGCATCAATACAATTGTATCATACATTGCATTATCAAGGACTATTCAAAGTTATGATGGTATTTTACAGCGCTTCAGAATCCCGAGTCCTTTTGCTCCTTTGTTCAGACTAATGAGGAAGAGACTGGACTATAAAAAAAAAAATCAGTTCTGCAGGGCACGGTGGCTCACACCTGTAATCCCAGCACTTTGGGAGGCCGAGGTGGGTGGATCACTTGAGGTCAGGAGTTCGAGGCCAGCCGGGCCAACATAGTGAAACCCCATCTCTACCAAAAATACAAAAATTAGCCAAGCGTGGTGGCAGGCACCTGTACTCCCAGCTACCTGGGAGGCTGAGGCAGGAGAACTGCTTGAACCTGGGAGGCGGAAGTTGCAGTGTGCCGAGATCACGCCACTGCACTCCAGCCTGGTTGACAGAGGGAGACTCCGTTTCAAAAAAAAAAAAAAAAAAAATCAGTTCCTAGTACAAATTCACACGGAGATTTTTGGAGCACATCCAATTTCAATAGCGAATAAAAAAGTACACCAGCATAGTAGAAATCAATACATATATGAGATTAGGACAGCAAGTATCGTCGTGTAAGTAAAAAACTGGTGGTCACAGTATCCGTGTTTTTTCTCTAGAAGTTCAGATTGAAAGAAGTCTCACAATCCCAGACCCCTGATTGTTTAAAGGTCTCCAGGCATCGGGTCATGTCTCCCAAAGCCTTACTACACGGTCTTGCTTTCTGGGTGGTTTTCCCAATTTGTGACAAGAACTTGTTTGTAATTTCCCATAGTTGTCAGAGGTTTTAGGTCCTTACCCAGAAACGGATTTTCTACAGAATCCATCTCGAGTTCCTGAATTTGCTTCTCGGGCTTTACCTACTGTTCAGGATGCCTCTTCATAGGGAAGGGTGGTGCGAGGCAACAGAAAGGAAAGGAGTTCGGGGACTTTGATGGGCAGGGTGCAGAAAAGGGGGGCGTCGACGCTCTACGAGTGATCAAGAGTCCCGATTTTGAAGGGAAGGACAGCCCCACAGTAGCTAGAGCCCCGCTCCAGGAAGCTGCAGCTGGAAGAACAGGTCTTCCAGCTCTCGGTCCCCAAACCTGGAGGCTGCCCAGGACCCCCCAACCTCACAGGCACCCGAGCTCCAGACCTTAGCGACAGCCGCCCTTGGTTGTGAGGCCAGCCTGAGGCGCCCGGCGTTCCCACCCCCAACCCGAACTCACAGCCGGTCTCCTTCTTGATCTCCTCGAGCTCTTCGTCCCGCAGTAACGTGGAGGCCCGAGAACCCATCGCCGTGCCGGGAGCTCCTCCGGGAGCAGCGGCGCCAGAAGAGACGGCGACAGGAGGGAAGGAGGGAGGGAAGGAAGGGCTAGGGGTCAAGAAGGGAGAGGGCAGTGTTTCCACTGCGGACCCGGGAGGGAACCCAGGGGTGGTGCGCTGGGGAGGGCGGCCCCGAGGACCCGCCAATCAGGCGCGAGGCAGCGCCCGGCTCAGGAGCCAACGTCAGCGTTCGAGTTCCAGCCCCGAATGAATCAGCCCAGCTCCAGCCCAAGTCCTGCTGAAGACGGACCCCGCCCCCGGAACCGCAGCTGCCACCGGCCTTAAAGGGGCGATGCCACTCGGTCGCTAACGACGCAATTAAAAGGGCAACGTCATTGACCAACAGTTTTACAACAAACTAACCTGCGACAGGCAGCGTAGTCTACCTTTTCTCACAGGAATCGAACACTAGGAATCCTACTCGATAGGTGGCACGGATTGCGGAGAGAAACTTCGCGTGGGGGGGAACCCTAGGGTGTACCCTTCGGGGACTGCACGCGCTCTTCATCTTTCCTGGCTGCCGTCCTCCTCCCGGCCGCAGGGGGCGCTGGGGAGCCGGCCTCGGGGCCGCGTGCTGATTGGCTCCTCGGGAAACAGACGAGACTGGACGTTGGGCCGGGCGGGCGTCGCCTCTGCGGCGTGTGTCCCCGGCGTCGCGGACCTTTCTCCAGGTTTTCAGCCTGTGATTTGATAACCGCCGCCGGGTGGCGTGGAGCGTCCCGAGACTTCTTCCTTCATTGCAGCCCCTCTTCTTTTAGTTCTAGACTGAAGTTCGAGGAACGCACCACTTGGCTGAAATTAGGATCCAGATTTCCCAAACTTCCTTCGGAGGAAAAAGCCCTAACGATGGAGGACAGTGAATTCCTAGCTTATGGTCCGCCATTTATTTGAAGTTCCTTATTTTGTCTTAAAAATGAGAAATTTTGCATTTTATTCTCATGGTGTATTGTTTGTTTTGATTAAAAAGGTAGGCCTGGCACGGTGGCTCACGCCTGTAATCCCAGCACTTTGGGAGGCCGAGGTGGGCAGAACACCTGAGGTCGTGAGTTCGAGACCAGCCTGACCAATATGGAGAAACCCCATCTCTAATAAAAATACAAAATTATCCGGGTGTGGTGCCGCGTGCCTGTAATCCCAGCTACTCGGGAGGCTGAGGCAGGAGAATCGCTTGAACCCGGGAGGCGGAGGTTGCAGTGAGCCGAGATCGCGGCATTGCTCTCCAGCCTGGGTGACAGAGCAAGACTCCGTCTCAAAAAAAAAAAAAAAAAAAGGTAAAAGCCACCCGTTAAATTAGTGCCTACTCTCAGGTGAACCAGTTCTTACTGCTTCACCTGCCTTACCCCTTCACACCTGTTTGGTTAGAACACGTATAAGATAAGGAAGAACCGAATTCTGACTGCTGTTAGTACCCAAGTACCAGGATATTTTTGTCGTAGCAGGCTTTCCCAGGTCAACTTAAGTTACTAGTTTTAAGTGTTACCTAAGGCTTTACAGCTTAGCCTGAGGCCCCACACGTTCCCTGCAAGCTGAGGTTCTAGTTTGAAGAACTAGAGTTTTGTTTGTTTGTTGTTGTTGTTGTTGTTTGAGACGGAGTTTTTGCTCTTCTGCCCAGGCTGAAGTGCAAAGGCGCCATCTCAGCTCACCGAAACTTCCGCCTCCCGGGTTCAAGCGATTCTCCTGCCTCAGACTCCCTAGTAGCTGGGGTTACAGGCATGCGCCACCGTGTCCAGCTAATTTTGTATTTTTAGTAGAGACAGGGCTTCTCCATGTTGGTCAGGCTGGTCTCGAACTCCGTATCTCAGGTGATCTGCCCGCTTCAGCCTCCCAAAGTGCTGTGATTACAGGCGTGAGCCACCGCACCTGGCTTGTTTTGTTTTTTTGCGACAGAGTCCGGGCTGGAGTGCAATGGCCTGATCACTGTGCATTTTCGGCTCACTGCAACCTCCAGGCGGGTTCAAGGGATTATCATGCCTCAGCCTCCTGAGTAGCTGGGATTACAGGCGCGTGCCACCACGCCCAGCTAATTTTTGTATTTTTAGTAGAGACAGGGTTTCACCATATTGTCTAGGCGGGTCTCAAACTCCAGAACTCAGGTGATCCACCCGCCTCGGCCTCCCAAAGTGTTGGGATTACAGGCGTGAGTCCCCGTGCCCGGCCTTAGAGTTATTTTTATGATTGTCGTGCACTTGTCTAACCTAGTGATGTTGTCCTTTGTACTCAGTAACATTTTGGATATGCCCGTCTAAGAGCTAAATCACTGGAGCTGCTTTGTATGTTGGAATATGGCTGTGATAGGAAAATTTTGTCAGCCCCATGAATGTCCCTTTTCTCAGTCAGCCTTGAAGCCCATCTCTTGATGCTGACCTTACTTTTTTCCTTCCTAATCTTGAATCTTAGTGTTTGCAGCTGTCTCCAGTCAAAGCTTTCTTTGCTTCATGTTAGTATTTTTTTCTGACTTTAATTTTTTTTTCTTTAATGTTTCTCTAATTCTCTTATTTTCCAGGTGTTTCACAAACTTTCCTTTCTTGGGTACCTTTTAAAAGTATAAATTGCTTGAACCCGGGAGGCAGAGGTTGCAGTGAGCCAAGATAGCGGTACTGCACTCCAGCCTGGCGACAGAGTGAGACTCCATCTCAAAAATAAAATAAAAATAATGTTTGCCTCTATTAAGGGCTGTTTTCTTTTTCCAGTTTTATGTATTTTTCTTTAAAAATTCTCCTTTTGCCTGTTGGATTAACTTAAAGAATGGTTTTTCTTAGACTCTCTGATGACTTGTTTTATGTTCTGTTTGGATGCATAAGACTTGGTCTTGCACTAAACTACAAACATCCTACCCTAGAGGCCTGGTCTTAGTTCAGATTGCATTACCTTCTAGCTGTGTGACTTTGGGCAGGTGTCTTAACCTTCTAAACTTCAGTTTCTTCATTTGTAAATTAGGTTATGGTTGTTATATCAAGTAATATTTGTATAAGCACTTGATAGACCTTAAAATGTAAAAATATAGGTTATTTATTTGACCGAAAATTGTATGTAACATCTCACCTTCTTCCTAGTTGACTTAGGCTCTAGTTATTTCATCAATGTTTTTATGGTTAAATTGCAAAATTCACTGGTTGAATTTTCCTAGTGTGGCAAAAGTATACAGCTTTTAAATTTAAAAAACTATAGAAGAATACTTATCTAAGTTTCTAAATACAAGGACATCTAAATAACAGAATAGTTCTAAATTAACTTTTAAAAAATTACTGTATTATGGTAAAGAATGTAAGAGTACCGCCTTCTTTTGTTTTGTTTTGTTTTTTGAGACAGAGTTTCACTCTTGTCTCCCAGGCTGGAGTGCAATGGCGCGATCTTGGCTCACTGCAACCTCCACCTCCTGGGTTCAAGTGATTCTCCTGCCTCAGCCTCCTGAGTAGCTAGGATTACAGGTGTGCGTCACTACAGCTGGCTAATTTTTGTGTTTTTAGTAGAGACGGGGTTTCACCATGTTGGTCAGGCTGGTCTCGAACTCCTGACCTCAGGTGATCTGCCTGTCTTGGCCTCCTAAAGTGCTAGGATTACTGGCATAAGCCACTGCACCCAGTGGTGAGTACCCACTATGAATAATATTTCTTAGTACATTTTTTCTTTACTTTGTACATTTCTATATGGTTGTAATTCTTTTTTTTTTTTTTTTTGAGACAGTGTTGCTCTGTCGCACAGGCTGGAGTACAGTGGCGCGATCTCTAAATCTCGGCTCACTGCAACCTCTGCCTCCCGGGTTCAAGTGATTCTCCTGCCTCAGCCTTCCTGAATAGCTGGGATTACAGGCATACGCCACCACACCCGGCTAATTTTGTATTTTTAGTAAAGACAGGGTTTCTCCATGTTGGTCAGGCTGGTCTGGAACTCCCGACCTCAGATTATCTGCCCACCTCGGCCTCCCAAAGTGGTGGGATTACAGGCATGAGCCACTGCGCCCGGCCAATTTGGCTTTTATTTTAAAATACCTTTAGCGTAGAACTGTCATAGGACAGAAAATAAAAAAATACACAGAAATGGAACATTTCAAGTACCTAGACATAAAAATTAATAGGATAGCATAGACCCAAGTTATGGGAAACTGTCTCTAAAATTCAATTCATTAAACACAAGTTGAAAGAAAAGTTCTTTTCCCAATGTACCACTATTGTCCTACTTGCCTTGATTTCCTTTAATTCCTAAGTAAAGGGTAAATTTAGTTGCTTTACTTAAAATTATCAGCTTCAGTTTTAGCAAAAATTACCATGCCCTTAAATTCTCAACCAGAGTTATAAAAAATAGCAGCTCAGGTAGTTATGCTGCCCTAAACAATTTATTGCAACATGTATTGGCAAATATTTCTATGTATGTCAATTTTTTTCATTTGCTCTTTTCATTTTTTTGTTATAATGATGTATAAATGTGCCATTAAAAAGCCTCTAAATGTTCTGCTTCTTCCATTTAGCTAAGGAAGGAAAGATGATATCATGCCCATTTTATAAACAAAGAAGCCAAGCCTAACTTGCCCAATTTCTTATAGTTTTCAGTTTCCTATGTATGAGAGTTGGTGCTTGCAATGATCCTTTTCTCATCATTCCAAAAAGATGAACAAAACTGAATTATTCAGATTTTATTCTTGTCCATTACAGATATGGGGAAAGGGAAAATAACTTTACTCCCAAAAAATCTTTTAAAATTCATAGATCTCTTTATTAATTTTCAAGTGTTTGGATGCTTAAAGAAGATTATTTGAAGACGGCTTTTGGAATCAATTAGCATGGACCCCAGCAGTGACTACCATTTCCTCAGCCAGATTTTGTGGAAGAGGGTGAAACTCACATTGGTCTGTGGTGTCTTCGAGGGTGTGCTTCAGCATGTTGACCCTAATAAGATTGTTGTCCTGAAGAAAGGTCTTGTTCTATTTCTTATAATGTTCTGCCTTTTAAGAGATTAGTGATTGACTTTCAGTGGGCTCCATTAGTGATTGGGAGGGTGGCATTATTCCTATTTTAGGTAAAGTGTGGGAGGAAGGTTAGAATATTGTTTTCCCAAACAGAACAATGTGACTGAATATGCTGGTTTGTCCCTACTTTTTTTTTTTGAGATGGAGTCTCGCTCTGTTGCCCAGGCTGGAGTGCAGTGGCGTGATCATGGCTCACTGCAAGCTCTGCCTCCCGGGTTCACACCATTCTCCTGCCTCAGCCTCCCGAGTAGCTGGGACTACAGACACCCGCCACCACTCCCAGCAAATTTTTTGTATTTTTAGTAGAGACAGGGTTTCACCGTGTTAGCCAGGATGGTCTCGATCTCCTGACCTCGTGATCCGCCTGCCTTGGCCTCCCAAAGTTCTGCGATTACAGGTGTGAGCCACCATGCCGAGCCTGGTGTGTCCCTGCTTTTGATATGATAGCAGGAATTTTCAATATAAAAAGGTTTTTTTTGTTTTGTTTTGTTTTGTTTTGTTTTTTGAGATGTTGTCTTGCTCCATCCCCCAGGCTGGAGTGCAGTGGCGTGATAGCTCACCGCAACCTCCGCCTCCCAAGTTCAAGTGATTCTCCTGCCTCAGCCTCCCGAGTGGCTGGAATTACGGGCACACACCACCATGCCTATCTAATTTTTGTATTTTTAGTACAAAAAATACAAAAACACAGCCTGTTGGCCAGGCTGGTCTCAAACTCCGGACCTCAGGTGATCCACCCACCTCGGTCCCCCAAAGTGCTGGGATTATAGGCATGAGCCACCGCTCCCGGCCTTTTTTTTTTTTTCTGAGAATGAGTCTCGTTCTTGTTGCCCAGGCTAGAGTGCAGTGGCGCGATCTTGGCTCACTGCAACCTCTGCCTCCCAGGTTCAAGCAAGTCTCCTGCCTCAGCCTCCCAAGTAGCTGGGGTTACAGGCACCCATCACCAAGTCTGGCTAATTTTTGTATTTTTAGTAGTGGCAGAGTTTCACTGTGTTGGCCAGGCCGGTCTCAAAGTCCTGACTTCAGTTGATCCGCCCACCTTGGCCTCCCAAAGTGCTGGGATTACAGGCTTGAGCCACTATGCTGGCCCTTTAATTTCTTTCCATATGCATTTGAAATTAAAAATAACCACCACATTAGTTAGAATTGTTTTTGACTTCAGCAGTTGAGTTCATACAGTAAGGGGTTAAATTTTTTCTTACAAAAAGTAAAGAGGTAGGCAGCTGAAGAACAGTGCAATGGCTGAAAGACACCAGCAGGAACCAGGTGCCTTTTGCCCCTGCTCTGCCATGTCAGTGATCATCTGTTATCCTCATGGTCACCAGGTAGCCTCTACAACTCTCAGCTTCAATTCCAGTTATCATAAAGGATAAAGCTCAAGAACAGGCAAATGCAAAAGAAACATAGGGCTATCCTTTTTTTTTTAAGACAAAGTCATGCTCTGTTATCCAGGCTGGATTGCAATGGTATGGTGTGATCACGGCTCGCTGCAGCCTTAACTTCCCAGGGTCAAGTGATCCTCCCACCTCAGCCTCCTGAGTAGCTGGGACTACACTTATGTAACACCTCACCTGGCTAGTTTTTTTAATCTTTATTTTTTTGTAGAAATGGGGTCTCCCTGTGTTGCCCAGGCTGGTCTTAAATTCCAGGGCTTAAGTGATCCTACTTGGCCTCCCAAAATGCTAGGTTTATAGGTGTGAGCCACCATGCCCAGCCAGGACAACCTTAAATCTTACAACTTGCAGCTGCATCCAATGAAATAGCTTCGTGTTAATATTTTTTTTCTGATTTAATGTTTCTTTTTTTTATGGGGGAAGGGAAACAGAATTTCCATGTCATCTTTGGTTGTGCTACCCTGCCAGTACCTCCATATCTGCCAATCTGGAAGCTTCAATATATAGAGTTTCCTGGCATGATAAGTTTCAAGTTCATCATTGAAACATGTATAAATGGCATTTGAGAGATTAATGTTATGAAACCAAATTTTGAGTTAAAACAGACTTTTATGGGCTAGGATGGGATTGTAACAGGTTTCTGCAACATTAATTCATTTAGTAATCATGTATTGATTGTTTTATATCTCAGGAACTACGCTTGGTACCACGGACACATACAGAAATAAGGTGGTTCCTGTTCTCAAAAAACTTAGTCTAGGGGCTGGGCGCAGTGGCTCACGCCTGTAATCCCAGCACTTTAGGAGGCTGAGGCTGGTGGATCACCTGAGGTCAGGAGTTTGAAACCAGCCTGGGCAACATGGTAAACCCTGTCTCTACTAAAAATACAAAATTAGCCGGGCATGGTGGCGGGCACCTGTAATCCCAGCTACTTGGGAGACTGAGGCAGGAGAATGGCTTGAACCTGGGAGGCGGAGGTTGCAGTGAGAACTTAGTCTAACCTATAGTCCCAGCTACCTGGGAGGGTAAGGCAGTATTGCTTGAGGCCAGGAGTTTAAGGCCAGCCGAGGCAGCATAGCAAAACCACATCTGTAGAAAAATTATTTTTAATTAATTAATTTTTTCTTTTTTTTTGAAACAGAGTCTCGCTGTGTCACCCAGGCTGGAGTGCAGTGGTGCAATCTTGGCTCACTGGAACCTTTGCCTCCCGGGTTCAAGCCATTCTCCTGCCTCAGACTCCCAAGTAGCTGGGACTACAGGCGCCCGCCACCACGCCCGGCTGATTTTTCTTTTGTATTTTTAGTAGAGACGTGGTTTCACTATGTTGGCCAGGGTGGTCTTGAACTCCTGACCTCGTGATCCTCCTGCCTCGGCCTCCCAAAGTGCTGGGATTACAGACATGAGCCAATGTGCCAGGCCTATTTTTTCTTATTTTTTTAAAATTGAGATGGGGTCTCACTATGTTGCCTGGGCTTGTCTCCAGCTTCTGGGCTCAAGTGATCCTCCCACCTCAGCCTCCCAAAGTGCTGGGATTATAGGCATGAGCCACCACACCCAGCCCCGAAAAAAAATTTTTTTTGACACAGAGTCTTGCTCTGTCATTCAGCCTGGAGTGCAGTGGGACTATCATGGCTCATTGCAACCTTGACCTCCTGGGCACAAGTGATTTTCCTGCTTCAGCCTCCCAAATAGCTGGGACTACAGGCATGTGCCACCAAGACCAGCTAATTTTTTAAATATTTTGTAGAGATGGGGTCTCCCTGTGTTGCTCAGGCTGGTCTTGAACTCCTGGGCTCAAGCAGTTCTCCCACTCAGCCTCCAAAGTGCTGGAATTAGAAGTGTGAGCCACCACATCCAGCCTAAAAAACAATTTTATTTTTAATTAGCCAGTCGTGGTGGCTCACACCTGTAGTCTCAGCTATTCGGAGGCTGTAGTGGGTGGATCACTTAAGCCCAGGAGTTCGAGGCTGCAGTGAGCTATGATTGTGCTCCTGCACTCCAGCCTGGGCAACAGCACAAGACCCCACCTCTAAAAAAAATTTTTTTTTTTTTTTTTTTTTTTTTGAGACAGAGTCTCAGTCTGTCCTCACGCTGGAGTGCAGTGGCTCAATCTTGATTCACTGGAACCTCTGCCTCCCGAGTTCAAGCAATTCTCCTGCCTCAGCCTCCCGAGTAGCTGGGACTACAGGCGTGTGCCACCACACCCAGCTAATTTTTGTATTTTATTAGAGACAGGGTTTCACCATGTTGGCCAGGATGGTCTCAATCTCTTGACCTTGTGATCCTTCCGCCTCAGCCTCCCAAAGTGCTGAGATTATAGCCGTGAGTCACCGCGTCCAGCAAAAAAAAAAAAAAAAAAATTTAAATAAAAACTTACTATAATAAATAGACAAATAGGTAGACAGGTATAATGGAGTGTGAGATCCTCTCTGATAGAAAGATGCAAAGGATGCTATAAAAACATAAAAGATTCAACTAATTCGTACCTAGAAGTGCTTGAATTAGGAAAGTGGAGTGATCTCCTAAAGGAGGAATTGGTGATGGAACTCCATCTGGTTGAGTAGGAGTTAACAATGGGAAAGCGGCTGGGCGCTGTGGCTCATGCCTATAATCTCAGCACTTTGGGAGGGATCTCGACTCACTGCAACCTCCGCCTCCCAGGTTGAAGTGATTCTCCGGCCTTGGCCTCTGAACAGCTGGGATTACAGGTGCATGCCACCGCACCCAGCTAATTTTTGTATTTTTTAGTAGAGATGGGGTTTCACCATGTTGACCAGGCTGGTCTTGAACTCCTGACCTCAGGTGATCTGCCTGCCTCGGCCTCCCAAAATGCTGGGATTACAGGCATGAGCCACCGTGCCTGGCCCCGTTTGAAAATTCTTTTTTTGTTTTTTTTTCCGAGACGGAGTCTCACTCTGTCGCCCAGTCTGGAGTGTAGTGGCGTGATCTTGGCTCACTGGAACCTCTGACGCCTGGGTTCAAGCAATTCTTCTACCTCAGCCTCCCACGTAGTTGGGATTACAGGCACCTGCCACCGCGCCTGGCTAATTTTTGATGTTTTAGTAGAGACAGGGTTTCATGCTCTTGGCCAGGCTGGTCTTGAACTCCTGACCTCATGATCCACCCGCCTCAGCCTCTCAAGTGCTGGAATTACAGGCGTGAACCACCGCGCTTGGCCTTAGTAAGTCTGTTCTTAGTTGAAAATATGAGGGGAGCTGAGAAGAATAGTCCATGCTGGAGAAAAAATGAATGTCAGGACAACTAAGAAGTGGGTATGATCATTCAAAGAGAAGGAAAAAGGATGAGGGACAAAACTCTGGGGACCATCAATGTATGAGGGGCAAGCAGAAGTGTAGAGACAGCTAGGGAGACTGGAAGGAGCAAATCAGGGAGCCACTGTAACAGCAGTTATAAGAAAATGTATTGCCAGGCAGGGTGGCTCACACCTGTAATCCCACGACTTTTGGGAGGCTGAGGTGGAAGGATGGCTTGAGCCCAGGAGTTCGAGACCAGCCTGGGCAACATAGTGAGACCCAGTCTCTACCAAAAAAAAAAGAAAAATAGCCAGGCATGCTGGCACAAGCCTGCAGTCCCAACCACTTGGAAGGCTAAGGCAGGAGGATTGCTTAAACCCAGGTGTTCAAGGCTGCAGTGAGCTAGGATTGTGCCACTGCACTCTAGCCTGTGCAACAGAGTAAGACCCTATCTCAATTAAAAAAATAAAAAAGCATATTAAAATCACTGAGGCCTGAATTTAAATCCTGACTGTTTTTTGCTGGCAGTGGAAACTTGATCTAGTTATTCAAACTTTCTGAGCCTCAGAGTCCTCCATAATTGAGATAATAAAATACTTATTATGTTACTGGAAATTTGAGTATAGGGAAATAGCATGATGCCTGGCTCAGAGTGGGTACTCAATATGGTAGCTCTAGGTAGTTAATAGGAAAAGAACTAAACATGATGTCCTGTAACTAAAGAAGAAAGAAGAGGAGGCTGGGCACGGTGGCTTACACCTGTAATCCCAGTACTTTGGGAGGCTGAGGTGGGAGGATCACTTGAGGCCAGGAGTTAAAAAGAAATGAGAGAACAGTA
This sequence comes from Homo sapiens, assembly GCF_000001405.40. Lineage (NCBI taxonomy): Eukaryota > Metazoa > Chordata > Mammalia > Primates > Hominidae > Homo > Homo sapiens. Next base: position 41,220,906 of record NC_000015.10, on the reverse strand, counting down.
TTGTCGAAGGTTGCAGGAAAGTCAAGGAAGATAAGGTTGCAAAACATTTTTTTGGATGTGACAAATAAGTTGTTGGTGATCTTTGATCCTAGTAGGAATATATTCAGTGGAATAGTGAGGGTGGAACTCAATTATTTGGACTGCTGAGAGGTGTGGAAAAAGACAGCTGCTATGAACACTTCCATCTAGGAAAATGACAGCACATTGTGGACATGGCATCTAACCTTCTCCTAACTTCCTTATCTCCTCATAGGAGAGCCAGGATTTGGATCGTTGTCCTTGATAGTACTTTTGAGTGTGTAGCATAACATGAAGCAGGGTGTGGACACTAGAAGTTGTGGGCTGCCTTGGCCGGGTGCGGTGGCTCACACCTGTAATCCCAGCACTTTGGGAGGCTGAGGCAAGCGGATCACAAGGTCAGGAGATCGAGCCAATCCTGGCTAACACGGTGAAACCCCGTCTCTACTAAAATATAAAACGTGGTGGCTCGTGCCTGTAGTCCGAGCTACTCGGGAGGCTGAGGCAGGAGAATTGCTTGAACCTGGGAAGCGGAAGTTGCAGTGAGCCGAGATTGCGCTACTGCACTGCAGCCTACGTGACAGAACGAGACTCCATCTCAAAAAAAAAAAAAAGTTGCAGGCTGCCCTTAAATTTTTTTTCTGGAGTTAAGTGGAGTAAAAATAAATAGAAATATAATTAATAGATAGTTCTTAACCCCAAAGGCCTTAGAATATTCTCAGGAGAATTTTAAATTCAGTGTACTATCCTTTTTAGTTTCTCCTGGACCTTAATGGGGTTTCCCTTGTTTTTTTATACTACTTGTTTAAAGGTCGTAGCTTTGTCATTTATTATTGACTCTTCATTCCTTGGGGGAAGATTTGGATATTTTTTTGGAGTTTTTTTTTTTTTAAATACAACTCAGACTTGGGAAATTTTGAGAGGCATCATATTTTCTTAGAGTTTTAGGAAAATATTTTAATTAACTGAATGAATTGTTTTCTGTAACAGTGAAGAATGTGGAGACAGGTCGAAGTGTCCCAGGAGTGAAGTTGTTTTTTGGGCATGAGATTGTGAATGGTGAGACCCCCATGTTCCTTGAAAATGCTAGTACTGAGATTTCATTCCAATATTTGAAATTGTCTTGTCTTAATGTTGTGCTTATGGATTCTTAAAGTTGGTATTTGAGAATTGATCCTTCTTACTGCTTCTGTGGGTACTCTATGAGTAAAATAGTCTTATAGAATTATAATCATTTTGGTTTTATAATGTCAGGTGTGCTGGTGCTTATCACTACGGACTCGGACCAGCAGGCAGTTAGGAATGTGAACAGGAAGGGATTGTCTTGCTAAGCAAGCTACTTAAAATTCACAGTCCATTCACAATTCCTCATCCAAAACCTTGGGGCCAAATGTCTCAGAATCAAGAATTTTTCTGGAATTTTGGAAAAGGTAACGGAGTATATAGTGTTCATATTACATAACACCTCCAGAAAGTCTGGGCAGTCCTCTATATAATACAACACATTTCTCCAGAGAAATGGGTGGACAGTCATACTAAGTGGAATAAAATCGGACTATAAATAGCATATCTGGTCAAGTTTTGCCACCAAGAGTTACAACAAAATTTTGGTTTTCAGAGATTTTCGGATTTTGGAATGGCAGGAAGCAGCCTTATTCTTTATTTTTGCTAGCACAAACCATTTAGCAAGAGTAAGTACAATTGTTTGCCTGAAAGAGTAGCTGTAGAAGCTCATCAGTGTGCTTCATACATGTCAAGTAGGATAAGAGAAAGCAAGAAATGTTCTTGCTTTCAAGGACTCAGGAGGTTTCTGCTTCTGCCCTTTAAGGAGGAGTACAGATCAGGAGCTGGATAGAAGGGGTGGAGGAATGAGAGCTCTGGGACCTCTTAGGACTGTGCATCTCTCACTCTGGGGCAGATCTGAAGAAAGGAAAGGACTCCTGTAAATGAGAGTTTACTACTGCTTGAAAGATTGCTTTGGTTTGTGAGAAAACAAGCGTTTAGGAGGAAATGAAAATCTTACCAAATTAATGACTGCCAATCCAGAGCCACTTCAGGGAATACAAGTCTGGACAGCTACATATTTCTTTCTCATTGAGTATGCTGTCATGAACACTCTGTCCCTTGAATATTCTTTTATAATGGCAGGGATAGTAGTGGTAGTTGGAGTTCTTAATTGTGTTTTCACTATCAGCCTTTGAAGTGAAACAGAGCTCTGGATTGGAGAAAGCTAGGCTGTGAATGGGTTTGTAGAGAGAAGTGAAGGAATCACTGCTATCACCTCCCCAACTCAGGAGGCTGATGGCTGACCGGCTTTGTGATCTGTATGCACGGAATTCATTGCCTCCTAAATTCTTCTCCAGGGTTTGGCCTTCGTTCATACTTTTTTTTTTTTTTTTTTTGAGACGGATTCTTACTTTGTCGCTAAGGCTGGAGTGCAGTGGTATGATCTTGTCTCACTGCAACCTTTGCCTCTGGGTTTCAAGCAATTCTCCTGCATCATCCTCCCCAGGAGCTGGGATTACAGGTGTGTGCCACCACACCCAGCTAATTTTTTTGTATTTTTAGTAGAAACGGGGTTTCACCATGTTGTCTAGGTTGGTCTCAAACTCCTGACCTCAAATGATTCACCCCCCTCACCCTCCCAAAGTGCTGGGATTACAGGCGTGAGCCACTGCACCCAGCCCAATTGTTGTATTTTTTTAGTAGAGACACAGGGTTTCGCCATGTTGGCCAGGCTGGTCTCGAACTCCTGACCTCAGGTGATCTGCCTGCCTCAGCTTCCCAGAGTGCTGGGATTATAGGCTTTGCTCATAATTTTTAAGCTCAAAGGATAGTCATTTCTGTCTTTGTCCTGTGGCCCAATCAACCATGGAGGAGTTGTCCCCAAAAGTACCTTGGATAAGAATTGTCAAGATGAAGGATAATAATGGCTAATCAGCATTTTTCAGTCAATTTTACCTTTTCTCTGCTCCAGATTCAATACTTCTAGATAGTACAGAGAAAAGAGACTTTTGAAACATAGAGGCTTTTTGCTTGAAAAGTACCTAAACGAGGCCAGATGTGGTGGCTCACGCCTGTAATCCCAGCACTTAGGGAGGCTGAGGCGAGCGGATCAAGAGGTCAAGAGATTGAGACCAGCCTGGCCACAATGGTGAAACCCCGTCTCTACTAAAAATACAAAAGTTAGCTGTGTGTGGTGGCGCATGCCTGTAGTCCCAGGCATGGGACTTGGGAGGCTGAGGCAGGAGTATCACCTGAACCTGGGAGGCGGAGGTTACAGTGAGCTGAGGTCGCACCTCTGCACTCCAGCCTAGGCAACAGTGCGAGACTTCATCTCAAAAAAAAAAAAAAAAAAAGGAAAACCCTCAAACAGCACCCATGTGAAGGAAGGTGCATTAGGATTGGGATGGTGGGAAAGAAATCTCTAGAACTAACTTGAATGACCACAAAGGTACCCTAGAACAAAAAGGGTGAAGGGGATGTATAGAAATGTTCCTAATCCTTCTAAATAACCAAGAAGCTTTGTAGGGATAGAATACTGAGAGTCTTTGGTACTTTAGATGGTCTCTTCTGTTGTATTTATTGCTGGCCAGTAAAAGCCTCCGTGGACTAACATGTCATTTCCAATTATTGTTTGCAGTACATGGTTAAACTAGGGGTGTGTGGGTAGTGGAGTAGTTAATTGATTTCTGATTGGAAACTCTGTTGGAAGCCATTTGGTTATTTTACAGTGGAACTACTAGATGAAGTGGAACAAGGCTCAGTGAGAGCAAAAGCATCTTCTGTTAGGTAAGAAGGAATAATTTTCTTAATTATGATATTTTCCAAATGTGCACATTAGGGTAGAAAGCCTTAACTCTAATTCACCAGCTGCTTAATTCCTTGGCATAAGGAAATAGAAATGAGAAGAAATATATAGGTGTTTTCTTCCATTGTTAGATAGCGCCCTCAAGTCAATGTAAGCAGTGGATGAATGGGTCCTCTAGTTAATGAAGGACCACTGTCCTTAACGTTAATGTGTGGCAAAATCTGTTTTTGGTGTCAACAACAAAGAACAAGTTCACCCAAATATTGTTTCTTGTAAGGATAGTCTACATGCAGAAAGAACCTGGATGGAGAAAATGAAAGTTGAAGACCTAAATGTATGTGAGCCTGCTTCTCCTGCCCCTGAAGCACCAGCTACCTCTCTGCTGAATGACCTCAAGTACAGCCCATCAGGTGAATATAGGGGCTCTGAATTTTCTTTTTTTTTTTGAGATGGAGTTTCGCTCTTGTTGCCCAGGCTGCAGTGCAATGGCGTGATCTCGGCTCACTGCAACCTCCACCTCCTGGATTCAAGCAATTATCCTGCCTCTGCCTCCATAGTAGCTGTGATTACAGGCATGTGCCACCACGCCCAGCTAATTTTGTATTTTTAGTAGAGACGGGGTTTCTCCATGTTGATCAGGCTAGTCTCGAACTCCCGACCTCAGGTGATCCGCCCGCCTTGGCCTCCTAAAGTGTTGTGATTAAAGGCATGAGCCACTGTGCCCAGCCGAGGCTCTGAATTTTCTAGGCTCTCTCTCTCTTTTTTTTTTTTTTAACCAGGTCAGTCAAATTCAACTAGGCTCTCTTTACTGTTTAGAGTTGATGTAACCCTGAATCAAGATTCTCTATGGAATCCTAAGCTGAGCCATTGCTTCTGGGTTCTGAATTAAGATAAAATATTGTGATTCATTTGTTTATTTAATAACTGAGTACATACTGTGTGTGTACTCATAATTATTGGGGTACACTTATTCATTGGGGATTCTGAAATATGGTATCCCTCCCCTTACTGAGCAGCAAACAGATGCTAAATTAGATAAATAAGTAAAATATATACTGTAATAGTGCCAAATGCTAAGGAGGAAAAAAAAGGAAGAGAAGTAGTACGTAGGGAGGGTGGTTTTGCAATTTTAGGGTATTTGAGTTGCAATACAGTAGGAATATATGAGTGTGGCCAAAATTATTGAGAAAGCTATTCTGTTGCTGAGGAAGAGAAATATATCTAATGCAATCCTTGTCTTGTAGAGGAAGAGGAGGTGACATACACAGTCATTAATCAATTCCAGCAGAAGTTTGGTGCTGCGGTAAGTATTGTCCTCAATCATTACTAGTATTGCCTGTATGTAGGTATCATGTCTGTGTGTCATAAATTTCTTTCTTTCTTTTTTTTTTTGAGACGGAGTCTTGCTCTATCGCCCAGGTTGGAGTGCAGTGGACCAATCTTGGCTCACTGCAAGCTCCGCCTCCCAGGTTCACACCCTTCTCCTGCCTCAGCCTCCCGTGTAGCTGGGACTACAGGTGCCCGCCACCACGCCTGGCTAATTTTTTGTATTTTTAGTAAAGACAGTGTTTCACCGTGTTAGCCAGGATGGTCTCGATCTCCTGACCTCGTGATCCACCCGCCTCGGCCTCCCAAAGTGCTGGGATTACAGGCATGAGCCACCACGCTCGGCTGTAAATTTCTTTATTATAAGATTTTTGATTTTTTTTCCTATTAATTCAACAACATATTTGGTGGCTGCTATATGCCTATATGCCAGGCACTGTTCTGAGCTCTTGGGTAAAACCATAATCAAGACAAAGTTCCCGCCCTCAAGGAGCTTATATTCTAATGCAAGACAATAAACAAGTGCTTTTATTTTAGATGGCAGTAAGTGCTGGGAATAAAAATAAAGCATGGTATGGGGACTAGAGTGACAAGGAGGTCCTATTTTATGTGGGATAGACAGAGAAAACATCTCTAGGGAGGTGACATTAGAACAAAGACCTGAGTAAGTAAGGGAGCCATGTAGATATCAAAGTGGAGAACTTAAAGGCTGGGTGCAGTGGCTCACGCCTGTAATCCCAGCACTTTGGGAGGCTGAGGCGGGTGGATCACGAGGTCAGGAGATTGAGACCATCCTGGCTAACACGGTGAAAACCCGTCTCTACTAAAAATACAAAAAAATAGCCGGGCATGCTGGCAGGCGCCTGTAGTCCCAGCTACTCACCAGGCTGGGTCAGGAGAATGGTGTGAACTCGGGAGGCGGAGCTTGCAGTGAGCCGAGATCGTGCCACTGCACTCCAGCCTGGGTGACAGAGCGAGACTCCATCTCAAAAAAAAAAAAGTGAAGAACTTAAAAGTGGAATTAGCAAGTGCAAAGGCCCTGAGGCTGAAATATTCCTGGCTTGTGTGGAGGAACAGCAGGGAGGTCAGTGTGACAGGACCACAGTGAAGAAGAATGGTAGGAGATGGAAGGGGGCAGGAGGCAGTTCACTTAGGGCTTTCTAGACATTGTAAAGATTTTGAGTTTGACTTAAAGCCATTGGCAGTTTCAGAGAAGAGTCAGAATTTTTTTTTTTTTTTGAGATGGAGTCTCGCCTTGTGGCCCAGGCTGGAGTTCGGTGGGGTGATCTTGGCTCACCTCAACCTCCGCCTCCTGGGTTCAAGCGATTCTCCTGGCTCAGCCTCCTGAGTAGCTGGTATTACAGGCATGCACCACCACGCCAGCTAATTTTTGTATTTTTAGTAGTAGAGATGGGGTTTTGCCATGTTGGCCAGGCTGGTCTCAAACTCCTGACCTCAGGTGATCTGCCTATCTCCGCCTCCCAAAGTGCTGGGATTACAGGTGTAAGCCACTGTCCCTGGCCCATGGATGCATTTTTAAAAGGACAGTTAGCTATCAAAAGGTTTTTGTTTTGTTTTGTTTTGTTTTTGAGATGGAGTCTCTTTCGCCCAGGCTGGAGTGCAGTGGCACTATCTCGGCTCACTGCAAGCTCCACCTCCCGGGTTCACGCCATTCTCCTGCCTCAGCCTCCCGAGTAGCTGGGACTACAGGCGCCTGCCACTGCACCCGGCTAATTTTTTGTATTTTTAGTAGAGACGGGGTTTCACCGTGTTAGCCAGGATGGTCAACAACAGGTTGTTTTTTAAGTCTGAACTGAACAGAAGATTTTTATTAAAAAATAGCATTATTGAGATATAATCCACATGCCATACAATTTATTTAGTTAAAATGTACAGCTCATTTTCTTTTAGTGTAGTCACAGAGTTGTAAGTAAAGCAACATAATAAATTTTAGAATATTTTCAGTATACCAGAAAGAAACCCCACACCCCTTATCCATCACTCCTAATCACTCCTCAGCCCTTGGCAACCACTAAAACAGCCTGACCAACATGGCAAAACCCCATCTCTACTAAAAATACAAAAATTAGCCAGGTGTGGTGGTGGGCACTTGTAATCCCAGTTACTGGGGAGGCTGAGTGGGAGGAGGTGGAGGGTACAGTGAGCCGAGATCATGCCACTATACTCCAGCCTGGGAAAGAGTGAGACTCTGTCTCAAAAAACAACAAAACAAAACAAAACAAAACAAAAACTGGCTGGACACGGTGGCTCATGCCTGTAATCCCAGCACTTTGCGAGGCCGAGATGGGTGAATCACAAGGTCAGGAGTTTGAGACCAGCCCGACCAACATGGTGAACACCGTCTCTACTAAAAATACAAAAATTAGCTGGGTGTGGTGGTGCGTGTCTGTAATCCCAGCTACTCAGGAGGCTGAGGCAGGAGAATTGCTTGAACCCAGGAGGCAGAGGTTGCAGTGAGCCAAGATCGTGCCACTGCACTCCAGCCTGGGTGACAGAGTGAGACTCTATCTCAAAAAAAATAAAAATAAAAACAAGTAAATAAATAAAATAATAAAATATGTAGTTTTTTTGACAGGCTTTGTTTACTTAGCATAATGTTTTCAAGGTTCATCCACATTACAGCTTATATCAGTATTTCACTTATTTTTATTGCCAAATAATATTCCTTATAAATTAAAAAAAATTTTTTTGAGACGGGGTCTTGCTCTGTCACCCAGGTTGGAGTGCAGTGGCACAATCAGAGTTCACTGCAGCCTGGACCTCCTGGGCTCAAGCAATCCTCCCACCTTAGCCTCCCAAGTAGGTGGGACTACAGGCATGTGCCACAACACCTAGCTAATTCTTTTATATTTTTTGTAGAGACAACGTCTCGTTATGTTGCCTAAGCTGGTCTCAAACTACTGGGCTCAAGCAATCCACCTGCCTCGGCTTCCCAAAGTGCTGGGATTAGAGGTGTAAGCCACCACAGTCAGCCACCAAATCATATTCTATTGTATGGATATACTACATTTTATTTATCCATTCACCATTTGATGGACATTTGGGTTGTTTCTTCTTTGTGGTTATTGTGAATAATGCTACTATGAACATTCATGGACAAGTTTTTGTGTGGATGATTTTATTTCTCTTAGATAGTTACCTAGGAGTGAAATTGCTAGATCATATGGTAACTCTGTGTTTAACTTTTTTGAGGAACGGCCAGACTTTTTTCCAAAGCTGTTGCACTATTTTACATTTCTACCAGCAGTCTGTGAGGGTTCCAATTTCTTTTTTTTTGAGACGGAGTCTTGCTCTGTCGCCCAGGCTGGAGTGCAGTGGCACCATCTCGGCTCACTGCAAGCTCTGCCTCCCGGGTTCACACCATTCTCCTGCCTCAGCCTCCTGAGTAGCTGGGACTACAGGTGCCCGCCACCACGCCCGGCTTATTTTTTTTTTTTACATTTTTAGTAGAGACGGGGTTTCACCGTGTTAGCCAGGGTGTTCTCGATCTCCTTACCTCGTGATCTGCCCGCCTCAGCCTCCCAAAGTGCTGGGACTACAGGCGTGAGCCACTGTGCCCAGCCGTTCCAATTTCTTTAAATCCTTGCCAACACTTATCTGTAATTTTGAGTATAGCCATCCTAGTGGGTATGAAGTGGTATCTTATTGTGGTTTTGATTTGCATTTCTGTGATGGCTAATGATGTTGAATGTTTCCATGAGCTTACTAGCCGTTTGTATAACTTCTTTGGAGAAATGTCTATTTAGATCCTTTGCCTTTTATTTTTTGAGACAGAGTCTCGCTTAGTAGCCCAGGCTGGAGTGCAGTGGCATGATCTTGGCTCACTGCAACCTCCACCTCCTAGGATCTCTAGCAATCCTCCCACCTCAGCCTCCTGAGTAACTTGGACTATAGGTGTGTACCACCATGCCCAGCTCTTTTTTTTTTTTTTTTTTAAGAAATGAGGTCTTGTTGTGTTCCCCAAGCTGGTCTTGAACTCCTGGACTCAAGCAGTCTGTCTTCCTCGGCCTCCCAAAGTACTGGGATTACAGGCGTGAGCCACTGCGCCCAGCCTTAATTTTTGTATTTTGTGTAGAGACAATTTCTCACTATGTTGCCCTGGCTGGTCTCGAACTCCTGGGCTCAAGCAATCTGTCCTCCTCAGCCTCCTTCACTGCTAGGAATACAGGCATGAGCCACCCTGCCCAAACCTTTTGCTGTTTTTTAATTGAGTTGAAATAATTATTTTTATCATTGAGTTGTAAGTATTATTTATGTATCAACAGATTCTTTAAAGTGTCCGTGACAACAATAAAAAAAAAAATGAGGGTAAGAACTTGTGGCCAGGCGTGGTGGCTCAGTCTTGTAATACCAGCACTTTTGGAGGCCAAGGCAGGCAGATCACTTGAGCCCAGGAGTTACAGACCAGCCTGGGCAACAAGGCAAACCCACCCCTACAAAAAATACAAAAAATTAGCTGGGCATGGTGGCACAGGTCTGTAGTTTCAGCTACCCGGGAGGCTGAGATGAGAGGATCAGCTAAGCCCCGGAGGTCGAAGCTGCAGGAAGCTAAAGTAGGAGGATAGCTTGAGCCCAGGAGTTCATGCCACAGTGAGCTATGATCTGCACTCCAGCCTGGAGGACAGCATGAGACTGTCTCAAAAACAAAACAAAACAAAACAAAAAACAAAAAAAGAAGCTTTTGCTCTGGAAGTTTGAAGAGGTAATTAGGAATTCTCATCAGTAGAGAATGCAGCTTTTGTTGCCGGTTCTGCAGCCATCTGATTGGGAATGAAGCTGAAATTCAGTGCCATTTTCTCATCATTGATGAGAGATACTCAGAATTGAGAACACTTTATGCTCTCTAAAGGGAGATATGTTGCTAGTGTAAATTACTATGCCTTTCTGTTATTGAATAATTGAACTACCTATAAAATGGGGAGAATCTTTTATCATGCAAATATTTTTATGAATTATGGATTAAGGATTATAGAATTGTATAATGAAATAGGGTAAGATTATAGATAATCAAAGGACAAGAGTGTGTACCTGGGGTACCACTATTTCAGTGTTTTGTGTTTTTTTTTTTACACAGGCTGAAGTGCATCATCATGGCTCACTGCAGCCTCAGCCTCCCAGGCTCAAGTGATCCTCCCACTTTAGCCTCCTGAGTAGCTGGGGCTACACTGCAGGTGTGCACCACCATGCCTGGATAATTTTTTGTATTTTTTGTACAGACACTGTTTTGCCCAGTCTGGTCTGAAACCCTTGGGCTCAAACGATCCTCCTTCCTCAGCCTCCCAAAGTGCTGGGATTATAGGCATGAGCCACTGCGCCCAGCCACTATTTCAGTTTTGAGTAATTCAGTGAATCCGAGGCTTTAAGGGACCTGAAGAGTCCTTGTTTCTGTCTTTCTGAGCAGTGGATACTCTGAGACTTAGCCACCACCTATATTCCTTTCAGTTGTGGTAAATTGCCCTGTGTTAGGGCATGCCATAGTTTGCATGAGGAATCTTGTCTTAAAGATTATAATTCAGGGCCAGGCTTGGTAGCTCACACCTGTAATCCCAGCACTTTGGGAGGCCGAGGCAGGTAGATCACTTGAGGTCAGGAGTTTGAGACCAGCCTGACCAACATAGTGACACCCTGTCATTACTAAAAATACAAAATTAGCTGGGCGTGGTGGTGCATGCCTGTAATCCCAGCTACTTGGGAGGTTGAGGGAAGAGAATCACTTGATTCTCTTGATCCACTGAGAGGTGGAGGTTGCAAGTCAAGATCGTGCCATTGCACTCCAGCCTAGCAACAAGAGTGAAACTCTGTCTCAATTTAAAATATAAAAACAGATTATGATTCTTTCTCTGTAGCATCAGTGGTAACAAAAGGTGTCTGAGTTCTCAACTCTTATTGTCATTTGGGGTCTGAGTGATTTATTTTCCAGCTGTGGAACACTTTTGCTAAAACAAAAAAAAAGAATCAGAAGTATTCAGTGCTGATTTATTTGCATGTGTAAAACAGACTGTTTTGGATTAATCAAATTTTGTAAGTTTAACAAAGATGATGCACTTTGTTTACTGCTGACCATTGTATTTGTGCCAATCATGATGTTATCATGCCAACATTTATTCCCTGAAAGTTTTTCCTTTCCTTCTTTTTCTTACCAGATACTCCATATCAAGAAGCAGAATGTCCTGAGTGTGGCAGCAGAAGGAGCGAATGTATGTCGCCATGGCAAACTGTGCTGGCTGCAGGTGAAAGATTTTTGAAAACTTTTTATTTTGAAGTAATTATAGAGCCACTGGTAGATTTTTTTCTTTCCTTCTTTTTGAAAACTGTATTTTAGAGATGGGATCTCACTCTGTCACTGAGGCCACAGTGCAGATCATAGATCACTGCAGCATTGAACTCCTGGGCTCATGCTGTCTATCCTCACTTTAGCCTCCTGAGTAGCTGGGACTACAGATGCATGTCACCACACCCAGCTTTGTTTTTTTGAGATGGGGTCTTGCTGTGTTGCCCAGGCTGATCTCAAACTCCTGGCCTCATGTAATCCTCTTGCTTTAGCCCCCCTAGTCACTGGGATTACAGGGATAGGCCACTGCACCTGGCTCACTGGTAGATTTATTAATTGTCTTCTTTCTGTCACCCTAGTGTCATTGTTGCATAACTTGTTGGAATGTTCTTCCTTCTCCTGGTACTCACTTTATTCTTTTCAAAAGGAGAGAGCTTCTGTCTCCTTATAGATTCACTTTGTTTTTTTTTTTAAGCTCAGTAGCAAGAATAGGTTCGCTGTTAAAGCCATTAGTGCTGTCTCTCGGGCTCTGCTGGAGGTCTTTCCCAGTTCTGTTCTATCACCTTAGTTCTATGAAGAGTGTCGTCTCTTTTCATTCTGGGGTGGTAGCTTTCCACAGCAGGTTTCTCACCACATCATTTTAGTTTCCCTGGACCTGGGAGATATTAAATGAGAGTCTCTATTATTATTACTATTATTATTATTATTTTGAGACAAAGTCTTGCTCTGTCACCAGGCTGGGGTGCAGTGGTGCATCTCGGCTCGCTGCAACCTCCGCCTCCTGGGTTCAAGCGGTTCTCCTGCCTCAGCCTCCTGGGTAGCTGGGACTATAGGCATGCGCCACCACACCTGGCTAATTTTGTGTTTTTAGTAGAGACGGGGTTTCACCATGTTGGCCAGGCTGGTCACAAACTCCTGATCTCAAGTGATCCACCCACCTCGGCCTCCCAAAGTACTAGGATTACAGACGTGAGCCACCACCCCTGGCCAATATTTTTTAAAAGTTTGTAGTTAGCCTTGAAGAATAGCTAGAGGATGGATAGCTTTTGGGTCCCTCTTCCTTTACTTTTTTTTTTTTTTTTTTTTTTTTCAGAGATGAGTTCTCCCTATATTGTCCAGGCTGGTCTCAAACTCCTGGTCTCAAGCAATCCTTCTGAGTCAGCCTAACCGCAAAGTGCTGGGGTTACAGGCATGAGCCACTGCAGCTAGCCAAGCTTAGCTTTTAGATGACTAGGTTTGAATTAGCAGCACAAATACAAATTACTTAAAACAACCCTAAACTTCCATCTACCAAAACAAAAGAGAGTAGACTTCCTGGTAACACAGGTCTGGGCAGTTCTAGGTTATTTCCTAAATTGTCCCCTTTGGTTTTCTGGGTATCAGAGGAACATGCAGTTGTCTACAGCTGTCCTTTCTTTTTGTTTTCTCTCTTTCTTTTTTTTTTTTTTTGAGGCAGGGTCTCGCTCTGTTGCATGGGCTGGAGTGCAGTGACACAATCTTGGCTCACTACAACCGCCGCCTCCCAGGTTCAAGCAATTCTTATGCCTCAGCCTCCTGAGTAGCTGGGATTACAGGCATGAGCCAACATGCCTGGCTAATTTTTGTCTTTTTAGTAGAGATGGGGTTTCACCATGTTGGCCAGGCTTGTCTCGAATTCCTGGCCTCAGGTGATCTGCCCACCTCAACCTCCCAAAGTGCTGGGATCTGGACTACAGCTGTCCTTTCTGCAACTGGAAGCAAATTAATGGACAGGTTTTCCCCAGCCAGATCCTTGGGCTTGTGTGTTTAATTTTTTAACTAAAAGCATCACGTGCACTTGTATTAAAAGCAAAAGAAAAAAATCAAATTTAAGAGAAAAAAAAACCCTCCACTCCACTTCAGAGGCACTACGTTTATTTTTTTTATTATTTTTTTTTTGAGATGAAATTTTGCTCTTGTCGCCTGGAGGCTGGAGTGTAGTGTCACGATCTCGGCTCACCACAACCTCCACCTCCCGGGTTCAAGAAATTCTCCTGCCTCAGCCTCTCCCGAGTAGCCGAGATTACAGGCATGTGCCACCACTCCCAGCTAATGTATTTTTAGTAGAGACAGGGTTTCTCCATTTTGGTCAGGCTGGTCTCGAACTCCCGACCTCAGGTGATCCACCCGCCTTGGCCTCCCATAGTGCTGGGATTACAGGCATGAGCCACCACACCCTGCCAGAGGCACTACTTTTTTTTGAGACGGAGTTTCACTCTGTCGCCCAGGCTAGAGTGCAATGGCACAATCTCAGCTCACTGCAACCTCTGCCTCCTAGGTTCAAGCGATTCTCCTGCCTCAGCCTCCCGAGTAGCTGGGACTACAGGCTCCCGCCACCACGCTCGGGTAATTTTTGTATTTTTAGTAGAGACGGGGTTTCACCACGTTGGCCAGGCTGGTCTCGAACTCCTTACCTCGTGATCTGCCCGCCTCGGCCTCCCAAAGTGCTGGGTGTGAGCCACCACACCTGGCGCAGAGGCACTACTTAAAAAAAAAAAAAAAAAAAAAAAAAGAGTTGAATAGGGCAGGCACAGTGGCTCATGCCTGTAATCCCAGCACTTTGGGAGGCTACGGTGGGCAGATCACAAGGTCAGGGGTTTGAGACTAGCCTGGCCAACGTGGTGAAACCCCGCCTCTACTAAAAATACAAAAATTAGCCAGGCGTGGTGGCGCATGCCTATAATCCTAGCTACTAATGGTGCTGAGGCAGGCGGATCACTTGGACCTGGGAGGAGGAGGTTTCAGTGAGCCGAGATTGTGCCACTGCACTCCAACCTGGGCAACAAAGCGAGACTCCTTCTCAAAAAAAAAAAAAAAAAAAAAGAATTGAATAACAGGATTGTTATATTTGTGCAGTACTTTACAGTTTACAAAATACTTTGACAAACATTAGGGGAGTCAACTACTTTTAACACATTGAAATGTAGTTTCTGCTATTTTCCTGTTTCTTTTTTTTTTTTTTTTTTTCGAGACAGGGTCTCTCTGTTGCCCAGGCTGGAGTGCAGTGGTGCAATCTCTTGGCTCACTGTACTGCATCTCTGCCTCTCAGGTTCAAGGTATTCTCCTGCCTCAGCCTCCCAAGTAGCTGGAATTACAGGCACTCACCTCTACGCCTGGCTAATTATTGTATTTTTAGTAGAGACAGGATTTTACCATGTTGGCCAGGCTGGTCTTGAACTTCTAACCTCAAGTGATCTGCCTGCCTTGGCTTCCCAAAGTGCTGGGATTACAGGCGTGAGCCACCACCCCTGGCCCGGATTTTCCTGTTTCTAATAACATGCTTATTGCTTTCTCTTGATTTATCAGTTTTACACATAATCTATTCAATTTTATTGTGATAAATAAAGATTTTGCTCCTTTATTGCACCCACTCTTCCCTAGGTCTTTCCAACTTAGTTATGTCACAATTTTTTACTAAGACAGAATTCAGAATTTATGGGAGGCTGAGGCAGGAGAATTGCTTGAACTTGAGAAGTGGAGGTTGCAGTGAGCCAAGATCATGCCCCTGCACTCCAGCTTGGGCCACAAATGAGACTCCATCTCAAAAAAAAAAAAAAAAAAAGACCAAATTTAGTCTATATGTTATTACGACTGTAATGATAACTCTCTGCTGAGTCAAGGAGAATCGTTTCTCTTCTTGAACAACTTTTTGTTTTACATAGAGTTAGTAATTGCCTCATTTTATTCCTCCCTCCCTCCCTCCCTTCCTCTCTTCCCTCCTTCTCTCCTTCCCTCCTTCCTTACTTTTTTGAGACGGGGTCTCACTCTGTTGCCCAAATGGGACTACAGGCACATCCCACCGTGATAGCTAACTTTTTGTATTTTTTGTGGAGACAGGGTTTCACCATGTTGCCCAGGCTGGTCTCAAACTCCCAGACTCAAGCAATCTACCCAGCTCAGCCTTCCAAATTGCTGGGATTACAGGCATGAGCCACTGCACCCAACCAACTTTGTTTTCTTTATACCTATGACTAAGCTGTTCCATATCTTTAAGGATGCCATACAGTTTTTTCACATGCTTAAATTTAGTGGGCTAGGGCCAAGCATGGTTTCTCATGCATGTGAGAGTGAGACCCTGTCTCAAAAAACAAACAAACAAACAAAAACACGATTCTGCCAACCTATGCTGCATTTTTGTCTTGAAGTCATCTCTCCTGGAGCCCTCTACCCTCCTGTTCCAATGCAGGCTGTTTTCTCAAGCCTGGAAGCTGCAAGATGCAGGGGCCAAGGGAAAATTTTCCCTTTGCCTTCTGTAGGTTTGCTGAAAACTTAACTCACAAAAAGGCAGATTAAGAGGAGAAAAGACACAACAAATTTAACGCGTACATGAGAACCTTCAGAACGAAGACTCAAAGATACACGGGTAATTGTCCATTTTTATGTTTAGGTTCAACAAAGTATGGACAGCTATGGAGAAATATGATTGAACAAAAAGATATGATCTAATGTTAATAGACTGACTGGGAAACCCAGCAAGGCCTGTCTGTCTAGATTCGTCTTGGCTCTCATAGCATGTATTTCTTCTTTCCTGGTATGTAGCGGGACCCTCTATAGAATGGGGATCTATGACCTACTGTCAAATAAGGTGGGTCAGATCATTTTTATGGCCCTTTTTTACATACAGAGGCAGAGGGAAAGTTTTATCTATATGTGTGTGTATGTGTATATGTGTATATATATATGTGTATGTATATATACAAGTACATACATTTTTTGAGATGGAGTCTCTGTTGCCCAGGCTGGAGTATAGTGGCTCCATCATGGCTCACTTCAGCCTTGAACTCCCGGGCTCAAGAGATCCTCCTGCCCCAGCCTCCCAAGTAGCTGGACTACTTGGGACTATAGGTGCATACTACCACACCTGGCTAATTTTTGTTTGTTTTTTGTTTTTGAGATGGAATCTTGCTCTGTTGCCAAGGCTGGAGTGCAGTGGCACCATCTTGGCTCACTGCAGCCTCCATCTCCTGGGTTCCAGCGATTCTCCTGCCTCAGCCTCCCCAGTAGCTGGGATTATAGGTGCCCACCACCATGCCCGGCTAATTTTTGCATTTTTAGTAGAGACAGGGTTTCACCATGTTGGCCAGGCTGGTCTTGAACTCCCAACCTCAGGTGATCCAACTGCCCTGACCTCCCAAAGTGCTGGGATTACAGGCGTGGGCCACCGTGCCTGGCTGATTTTTTTTTTTTTTTTTTTGAGACAGAGTCTTGCTGTGTCGCCCAGGCTGGGGTGCAGTGGCATGATCTCGGCTCACTGCAACCTCCGCCTCCCAGGTTCAAGCAATTCTCCTGCCTCAGCCTCCCGAGTAGCTGGGACTACAAGTGCATGCCACCATGCCTGGCTAATTTTTTTTGTATTTTAGTAGAGATGGGGTTGCACTGTGTTGCCCAGGCTGGTCTCAAACTCCTGAGCTCAAGTGATCCTCCTTCCTTGGCCTCCCAAAGTGCTGGGATTACAGGTGTGAGCCACCGCACCTGGCCTAGAGTAATATTTTTAGGGTTTTTTTTTTTTTTTTTTTTTTTTTTTTGAGGAGAAGTCTTGCTCTTTTGCCCAGGCTGGAGTGCAATGGCACGATCTTGGCTCACTGCAGCCTCCACCTCCTGGTTTCAAGCGATTCTCCTGTCTCAGGCTCCCAAGTACCTTGGATTACAGGAGTGTGCCACCACGCCCGGCTAATGTTTATATTTTTGGTAGAGACGGAGTTTCACCATGTTGGGCAGGCTGGTGTCGAACTCCTGAACTCAAGTGATCCACCCACCTCGGTCTCTCAAAGTGCTAGGATTACAGGTGTGAGCCACCACACCTGGCCTATTTTTAGGTTTTATGGCTGGCTTTGGGGAAACTGGGTTCTGGTTTCCGTGATCGCCTTCAGGGAGAATGATTCTAGTTTCTATGGCTAGCTTCAGGAAATAATGGGACCAAGAGACAGCAGGGCTGAAGGTCAGAGAAAAACTTTTACTTCTGAGGCTATTTCAGAGGCCTTTCTTTGCTTTGGGGTATTATTTTCTGAGTCTCAACAAAGGGAAGAGGGCTAGAAGCCCACAATTCAGTGTGCAGATTTTCATTTTTCAGGCCACTACTGAACTTCCACCCTCTTCTGTCTAAACATTGTCAACCCCAGAGCCTCTCTGGTTAGATTTATCCAGAGAATACATGATCTGTCCTCAGTGGGAGAGGAATGGGGGAGGATTACTTGGGGGGTTACGTCTCCTCATATAAACCTTCAGCCCATTCCCCTGTTTCCAGCTCCTCACTTTTCTTAGTATCTGGCACCTTTAATTCTTAAACCTTTATTTTTATTGTTTTGTTTTGCCTAATCTGCTTTCTTTCTGTCAGTATTTCCCACAGCATGTCTTAACTTTAAATTATTTAAATATTTAATCTTTATCTCTGGTCAGGTATCTTCACCATAGTTTATAGTACAGCAGATAATTATTTTCCAAACTTTTATACTGCATCTACTCAATTTTTATAATTAAAGTAGCAGGGGAAAACATCAGGGGTTCGCTTTTTTTTTTTTTTTTTTGAGACAGAGTCTTGCTCTGTCACCTAGGCTGGAGTGCAGTGGCACAATCTCAGCTAACTGCAAACTCTGCCTCCTGAGTTCCAGCGATTCTCGCGCCTCAGCCTCCTCAGTAGCTGGGGCTACAGGCACACACCACTGGGCCTGGCTAATTTTTGTGGTGTGGTGGCTAATGTCTGTAATTCCAATACTTTGGGAGGCTGAAGTGGGAGGATTGCTTGAAGCCAGGAGTTGGAGACCAGCCTGAGCAACTTAGTGAAACCCCGTCTCTACAAAAAACAAAAACATTAGCTGAGCATATAATATAATCCCAGGTACTCAGGAGGCTGAGGAGGGAGGATCTCTTGAGCCCCCAGGAGTTAGTTTTAGCCTGCAATAAGCTATGGCTGCGCCACTGCATTTCAGCCTGTGTGACAGAGCAAGACCATCTCAAATATATATATATGCTGGGTGCGGTGGCTCACACCTGTAATCCTAGCACTTTGGGAGGCTGAGGCGGGTAGATCACCTGAGCTCAAGAGTTCAAGGCCAGCCTGGGCAACATGGCAAAACCCTGTTTCTACTAAAAATACAAAAAATTAGCTGGACCTGGTGGCAAGTGCCTATTAATCCCAGCTACTCAGGAGGCTGAGGCACGAGAATTACTTGAACCCGGGAGGCAGAGGCTGCAGTGAGCCGAGATCACGCCACTGCAATCCAGCCTGGGCGACAGAGTGAGACTCTGTCTCAAAAAATAAAATTAAATTAAAAAAAATATATATATATATATATAATGAAAGTTCTGAGAATGGGTGCTAGGTAGGTCTGGCAATTGTAGCTATAACATAGTTCAGCTCCTGAAATGACAGAAGTGGCATCACACTGTCATATGCCTAGCTTTCTAGACCCATTTGGATGTTTTGTTTTAAATTTAAAATTCTTTTGTTTTTTGTACAGACAGGGGTCTTGCTTTGTTGCCCCAGCTAGTCTTGAACTCCTGGCCTTAAGCGATCCTCCCACCTCAGCCTCCCAATATGCTGAGATATAGACATGAGCCACACCACGCCTGGCGTTTGGATGTTTTTTGTCTTTACTCTCTTAGTAGATCATCCAGCTATGCTGCTTTTGTGATTTTTGTGATTAGAAGCAATCTTAGCTGGGCACGGTGACTCAGGCCTCTAATCCAAGCACTTTGGAAGGCCGAGGCAGGCGGATCACGAGGTCAGGGATTTGAGACCAGCCTGGCCAATATGGTGAAACCCTGTCTCTACTAAAAATATGAAAAATAACCAGGCATGGTGGTGGGCACCTGTAGTCCCAGCTACTCGGGAGGCTGAGACAGGAGAATTGCTTGAACCTAGGAGATGGAGGTTGCAGTGAGCCGAGATCGCACCACTGCACTCCAGCCTGGGTGACACAGCGAGACTCTGTCTCAAAAAAAAAAAAAAAAAAAAAATCTAGAATTCTTAAATTATATAAAATTGATCTGTAAGCAGCATTGAATATTTGACATCTTACCATTTGTGCCAGTGTATTTGTTGCCTGTTTTAAATTGCTAGAGGGTAGGGATCTTCTCTTATGAATAATTTTGTGTAACACCTAACAATCATGCATATTAAGGAACTCAGAGAAATAGCATTTCCAGTTGTTAATAATGAGATACTGTTCATTCACCTTAAAATGGTGTTCCCTGGAGTATTAGACTTATAGGGAAAAAAACTAAAAGTGCTCTTTTTTCCTATACTTTCTACTCAACACAGAACATTCTGGCCAGGCACAGTGGCTCATGCCTGTAATCCCAGCCCTTTGGGAGTCTGAGGCAGGCAGATCACCTGAGGTTAGGAGCTTGAGACCAGCCTGGCCAACATGGTGAAACCCTGTCTCTACTAAAAATACAAAAATTAGCCGGGTGTGGTGGCACGTACCTGTAACCCCAACTACTTGGGAGGCTAAGGCAGGAGAATTGCTGGAACCTGGGAGGTGGAGGTTGCAGTGAGCCGAGATCACACCACTGCACTTCAGCCTGGCGACAGAGCAAGACTCCATCTCAAAAAAAAAAAAATAGAACATTCTGTCACCCCAGATGTGTGGGGGTTGTTTCCTCACACATGAAGCAAAACAATTCTACTGCTACTCTCCAGTATACACCAGCTTAGTGTCCTCCAATTCAATTCTGAGACTGTTTACCTGGAAATAGTGTCAGACCCCACAGATTGAGGGCTCAGTCCCACAAGACTGCCCTCAACTTCAGGTGCCATTCACAAGCACAGCTTGTGACCTGTGCTTCTGACCAACCAACTATAAGTTGGAGTCCCCATGACCTCCCTTTTCTGGTTCAGTTAATTTGCTAGAGCAGCTCACAGAACTCAGAGAAACATTTTACTTACATTTACTCATTTATTATTATCATTATTTTGAGACAGAGTCTTGCTCTTTCTTGCTCAGGCTGGAGTGCAGTGGCGAGTATCTCAGCTCACTGCAACCTCTGCCTTCCAGGCTCAAGCAGTTCTCCTGTCTCAGCCTCCCGACTAGCTGGGACTACAGGTGCACACCACCACGCCCAACTAATTTTTGTATTTTTAGTAGAGATAGGATTTTGTCATATTGGTCAGGCTGGTCTCGAACAGCTGACCTCAGGTGATCCACCCACCTCAGCCTCCCAAGGTGCTAAGATTACAGGCATGAGCCACTGCACTCGGCCTACTCATTTATTATTTTAAAGAATATTACAAGTCCAGGTGTGGTGGCTCACACATGTACTTCTAGCGCTTAGGGAGGCCGAGGCAGGCGGATCACTTGAGCTCCGGAGTTGGAGACTAACCTGGGCAACATGGTGAAACAAACCCTATCTCTAAACAAAATACAAAAAAATTAGCCAAGTGTAGTGTTGCACGCCTGTAGTCCCAGCTACTTGGGAGGCTGAGGCAGGAGAATCACTTGAAGCCAGAAGGCAGAGGTTGCAGTGAGCTGATATGGTGCCACTGTACTCCAGCCTGGGTGACAGAGCCAGACTCTGTCTCAAAAAAATATATCTGTATATATATTATATATATCATATATATATGATATATATACAGATCATATATATGACATATTATATATATCATATATTGACATATATCTATATATGACATATATAATATATATGACATTATATAATATATGACATATATATCATATATGTATCATATATAATATATGACATATATATCATATATAATATATCATATATATGATATATGTAATATATCTCATATATATGATATATATAATGTGTATATCATATATATGATATATATTTTATATATGTAACACCTAACACAATATATATAATATATAATATATATAAAACAAATTATATGTATATGTATATGAAACAAAGGATACAGATAAACTCTTAGATGGAAGAGATATATAGGGCAAGGTATGGGGGAAGGGGTGCACCACCCACCCCCTCCAGGAACCTGCTCAGCTATCCAGAGGTGCTGTGAATTTAGGCCTTTTGTGTTTTTTTTTTTGAAAGACTCTTAAAAATTAATACAAGAAAAAAAAGGGGCCCAACATGGTGGTGCATGCCTGTAATCCCAGCACTTTGAGAGGCTGAGACGGGTGGATCACTTGTGTTGAAGAATTCAAGATCAGCCTTGGCAACATAGGGAGACCCCATCTCCATATTAAAAAAAAATTTTTGGCCAGGTGTGGTAGCTCATGCCTGTAATCCCAAGGAGGCCAAGGCAGGCGGATCACCTGAGGTCAGGAGTTCACGACCAGCCTGGTCAACATGGTAAAATCCCGTCTCTACTAAAAATACAAAATTAGCTGGGTGTGTTGGCGTGCACCTGTAATCCCAGCTACTTGGGAGGCTGAGGCAGGAGAATTGCTCCCAGGAGGCAGAGGTTGCAGTGAGCCGAGATCATGCCATTGCACTCCAGCCTGGGCAACAGATTAAGACTCAATCTCCAAAAAAGAAAAAAGGCCATGTGTGGTGGCTCACGCCTGTAATCCCAGTACTTTGGGAGGCCTAGGTGAGTGGATCACCAAACCTAGTCCCTACTAAAAATGCAACAAATTACCCGGGCGTGGTGGCAGGCACCTGTAATCCCAGCTACTTGAGAGGCTGAGGCAGGAGAATCACTTGAACCCGGGAGGCAGAGGTTTCAGTGAGCCGAGATTGTACCATTGCACTGCAGCCTGGGCAACAAGAACGAAACTCTGTCTTAAAAAAAAAAAAAATTTTTTTTAATTAAAAAATAAAAAGAGAGTCTATTTCTGTCACCTAGGCTAGAGTGCAGTGGTGCAAACACGGCTCACTGCAACCTGGAGCTCCTAGGCTCAAGTGATCCTCCCACCTCAGCCTCCCGAGTAGCTGGGACCACAGGTGCACCACCATGCTCAGCTGATTTTTAAATTTTTTGTACAGATGGGGTGTCCATAAGTTTTCCAGGTGGTCTTGAACTCCTGGGTTCAAGAGATCCTCCTACCTTGGCCTCCCAAAGTGCTTACGATTACAGGTGTGAGCCACCTTGCCCAGCCTCCCTTTGGGGTTTTTAATGGAGGCTTCATTATGTAGGCATAAATGATTAAGTCATTGGCCATTCGTGATCAACTTACCCTTCAGCCCCTTTCTCCTCCCTGGAGGTTGGATAGTGGGGATGAAAGTCCCAGCCCTCTAATCATGGGTTTGTCTTTCCTGTGACTAGTGCCTGTCCTGAAACTCTGGGAGCATCTAGGAGCCCCCAGGCACCAGTCATCCCATTAATACACAAAAAACACTCTTATCACTCACTTTCAAGATTCCAAGGGTTTTAGGAGCTATATTTCAGGAAATCAGAAGGAAGACCAAATATTTAGTTCACAATTAGAATGCCATAGATGAGACTGGTAAAATTTCTTTATTTCTTTATTTTTATTTTTTTTGAGACAAAGTCTCACTCTTGTCCTCCAGGCTGGAGTGCGATGGCGCAATCTTGGTTCATTGCAACCTCTGCCTCCAGGGTTCAAGCGATTCTCCTGCCTCGGCCCCCCAAGTAGCTGGGATTACAGGCTCCAGCACTTTGGGAGGCCAACGTGGGTGGATCACCTGAGGTCAGGAGTTCGAGACCAGCCTGGCCAACATAGTGAAACCCCATCTCTATTAAAATATACAAAAAATTAGCCAGGTGTGGTGGCGGGTCCCTGTAATCCCAGCTACTCAGGAGGCAGGAGAATCACTTGAACCTGGGAGGCAGAGGTTGTAGTGAGCCAAGATCCAGCCTGGGCAACAGGAGTGAAACTGTCTCAAAAAAAAAAGGGAAAGTCTCTTTCACCAGCTTGTCCTTTTCTTTGCTTTTGAAAATCACAATGATTGTGTCTTACTTTTTTTACTTAAGAACAAATTTTACCTGTTTTCTCCAAGAATCAAGTACCTATCATTGGCCGGGCGTGGTGGCTCATGCCTGTAATCCCAGCGCTTTGGGAGGCCGAGATGGGTGGAGGTCAGGAGATCGAGACCATCCTGGCTAACATAGTGAAACCTCATGTCTACTAAAAATACAAAAAGAAAAACAATTAGCAGGGCATGGTGGCAGGTGCCTTTAGTCCCAGCTACTCAGGAGGCTGAGGCAGGAGAATGGCGAGAACCCGGACAGCAGAGGTTGCAGTGAGTCGAGATCGTGCCACTGCCCTCCAGCCTGGGCGACAGAGCAAGACTCCGTCTCAAAAAAAAAAAAAAAAGAAAAAAGAAAATCACAGTGATTGTGTCTTACTTTTTTTACTTAAGAACAAATTATACCTGTTTTCTCTAAGAATCAAGTACCTATCATTTAAAAGTGAAGATGTGGTGGGGCCTGGTGGCTCACGCCTGTAATCCCAGCATTTTGGAAGGCCAAGGCAGGCAGATTGCTTTAGCCTAGGAGTTTGAAACCAGCCTGGGCAACATGGCAAAGCCCAGTCTCTACAAAAAATACAAAAATTAGCTGGGCGTGGTGGTGGGTGCCTGTAATCCAGGTACTTGGGAGGCTGAGGTGGGAGAATCACAAGAGCCTGGGTGGTTGAATTTGCAGTGAGCCAAGATAAAGCCACTGTTGTCCAGCCCGGGTGACAGAGCAAGGCCCTGTCTCAAAAAAAATAAAGTTTTGGGAGGCTGATACGGGTGGATCATTTGAGGTCAGGAGTTTGAGACCAGCCTGGCCAACATGGTGAAACCCCATGTCTACAAAAAATAAAAAAAATTGGCCAGGTGCAGTGGCTCATGCCTGTAATCCCAGCACTTTGGGAGGCCGAGGTGTGTAGATCACCTGAGGTCAGGAGTTCGAGACCAGCCTGGCCAATATGGTGAAACCCTTTCTCACTGGACATGGACGCTCACACATGTAATCCCAGCACTTTGGGAGGCCAAGGCGGGTGGATCATGAGGTCAAGAGATTGAGACCATCCTGGCCAACATGGTGAAACCCCTTCTCTACTAAAAATAACAAAACTTAGCTGGGCATGGTGGCGTGCACCTGTAATCCCAGCTACTTGGGAGGCTGAGACAGGAGAATTGCTTGAACCCAGGAGGCAGAGGCTGCAGTGAGCCAAGATCGCGCCACTGCACTCCAGCCCAGGTGACAGAGCAAGACTCTGTCTCAAAAAAAAAAAAAAAAAAAAAATTAGCTGGGCGTGGTGCCGCATGCCTGTAATCACAGCTATCAGGAGGCCGAGGCAGGAGAATTGCTTGAACTCAGGAGGCAGAGGTTGCAGTGAGCCGTGATTGTGCCACTGCACTCCAGCCTGGGCAACAGAGTGAAACTTTGTCTCTAAATAAATAAATAAATAAAGTGAAGATGTTAGATATTTTATCACGTCTTTTACTCTTCATCCTCAAATTTCCCTTCCTCAGTTCTTTCTTATCCTATGGTATGTGTGTCTGGATGGTCTATTGTAGGTGGCCACAAATTGCCGAGTTTACTTATTTGACATTTTCCTTCTGGGAAGTCGAGCTTTCCACAATGGACTTCAGATGATACTAGAAGACAAGAGAATTTTGAAGGTAAGTATATAAACTGATTCCTGTGCTATTAAGATTAGCAGCCAGGTTCTAATGACTGTTTCCTTCTGATTCCTTAGGTTATCCATGATTGTCGTTGGCTTTCTGATTGCCTCTCTCATCAGTATGGAATTTTGCTGAATAATGTCTTTGACACACAGGTACATGAAGGGAAGCACTGGATTCAAACCAGTATATACAGCTCCTGTAGATAAAAGGGCTCATCTGGTCATCTGATGAGTGAAAGTCTTTTTAATTTTTTTTTTTTTTTTGGTGCTCCATTTCTGCTCACTTTTCATGTAAAATGTTTGTACAATATGTGAGAACATTTGGTGTTCTATAAAAGCACTGCAGTAAAGTTGCTTAAAATTATTTATAAAGATGTTTTCCTCATTTTGCTCCAGAATTTGTCAAAGAAGCAAGATTCAGACTCCATAGCATTCAGAAACTTGAGCAATTTAGGGATCATTCAGAAGCCTGACATGGGAGACATAGCATGAGATGAACAATCACATATCTGCCTCTACCACATATGTGACAATTAAGGCAAGCTGACATCTAGTTTAGGGGTACAGGTCGTCCTGCATATGCCCCCCAAATCTATGTGGGCCCAAACAGCCTGAAGTGATATAATTTGTCTGTCCTCTAGGGGACCTTAGATAAATGAGAAAGCCCTAGATTCTACCAGCATTATTGTTGTTGTTATTATTATTTAGAAGTGGAGTCTTACTGTGTTGCCCAGGCTAGTCTCAAGCCCTTACTCTCAAGCCATCCTCCTGCCTCAGCCACCCAAGTAAAGGCATGAACCTCTACTAGCTCTTAGAGCTGATCTGGGTTTCTGGTTTGGCTGTGAGAGCAGTAAAACCACTAGTTTCATTATGTTTTCTTCAGGTTCTTCTAGTCTTTTAGGTTTATGATAGTAAAAGGGAAATCTTGATTACACAAGCTTAGAGCCTTTGGAGAGAAACTGAACTAATAAGTTGGCCAATTATTTTTGAGCAGCAATCTCTAAAAGTTCAATTTTATGTTACTATATTTGGTTCACTTTTTCTGTTTATGTATCTACTTATAATGTATTTGCTGCCATTTGTAGAGATTGCTTTTATGCTTACTCCAAAATCTAACATAATTGCTGTTTGTTTCCTTGAGGCCATTAGGCTTCTTGATTAGATCTTATACGTATTGTCTAATGAAGACCTTGGCATATCTGTTCATGTTTTTCTTTTTAGAGTTACATAGTCCAAGAAGCAGAATTTTCACCAATTTCTTTTTCTATAACAGTGTATTAGTTTCTTATTGCTGCTGTAACAAATCACCACAAATTTAGTGGCCTAAAACAATGCAAATTTATTATTTTATTGTTTTAGGGTCAGAAGTCTTGAATCATTTTCACTAGGCTAAAGTCAAGGTGTCTTGCAGGGCTGATTTCTTCTAGAGGCTCTTCTGAAGAGAGAGTTTCCTTGCCTTTTTCAGCTTCTAGTGGCCACTTGTATTCCTTGGCTTGTAGCCCCTTCCTCCATTTTCAAAGTGCATCACTGTAATCCCTGCTTCCATCATCACATCACCTTCTCCTCTGACTGTAGTAAAATCTCCGTCTGCCTTGCTGTTAAAAAAATCACTTTTCAGGCCCGGCACGGTGGCTCACACCTGTAATCCCAACACTTTGGGAGGCCAAGGTGGGCAGATCACGAGTTCAGGAGATTGAGACCATCCTGGCTAACATGGTGAAACCCTGTCTCTACTAAAAATACAAAAAATTAGCCGGGCATGGTGGCAGGCGCCTGTAGTCCCAGCTACTCGGGAGGCTGAGGCAGGAGAATGGTGTGAACCTGGGAGTCAGAGCTTGCAGTAAGCTAAGATTGCACCACTGCACTCCAGCCTGGGAGAGAGAGCAAGACTCCGTCTCACCAAAAAAAAAAAAAAAAAAAAAAAAAAATCACTTGTCATTCCATTTAGGGCCTACCTGGGTAATTCAGGATAATCTCATCTCAAAATCCTTAACTTAATCACAGCTGCAAAGTCCCTTTTGCATGTAAGATACAGGTTCCTGTGGTTATGAAGAAGTTATCTTTGGGGGCCATTGGCCAGCCTACCACATATAGATAAATAATTATAATTATTTATTTTATTAGCTTTTCTTACAAAATTTTCTTGGTTACCAGTAGATAATAAAAGTAATTTTTTTTTTTTGAGACAAGGTCTGGCTCTGTTGCCCAGGCTGGAGTGAAGTGGCATGATCATAGCTCTCTGCTAATGTGGCCTCGAAGTCCTGGGCTCAAGCCATCCTTCCACTTCAGCCTCCCAAGTAGCTGGGACTACAGGTACACACCACCATGCCTGGCTGATTTTTAAAATTTTTTTAAGATATGGGGTCTCTCTATATTGTCCAGGCTGGTCTTGAACTCCCGACCTCAAACAGTCTTCTAGCCTTGGCTTCCAAAGTGCTGGGATTACAGGTGTGAGCCAACATGCCAGGCCCATTTTTTTCCCCCCCAGAAACGGAGTCTCACTATGTTGCCCATGCTGGCATCGAACTCCTGAGCTCAGGAGATCCTGCTGGTTCAGCTCCCGACTAGCTGGCACTATAGGAATGCATTCTCAGCCCACTAAAAATAATTCTTGAATTTTATCTTCCTTTCTTGATTCCCTAAAGGGTAACAAAGACTAATAAATAACCATAAGGCAGGTAGGTATTATAACACAAGGAGAAAATAAAAACATTAGGTGCAGTGGCTCACGCCTGTAATCCCAACACTTTGGGAGGCCGAGACAGGAGGATTGCTTGAGCCCAGGAATTCGAGATCAGCCCGAACAACGTAGTGAGACACTGTCTCTACAAAAAAATTTTAAGAGGCCGGGCGCGGTGGCTCACACTTGTAATCCCAGCACTTTGGGAGGGCGAGGCGGACGGATCACAAGGTCAGGAGATCGAGAGCACGGTGAAACCCTGTCTGTACTAAAAATACAAAAAATTAGCTGGGCGTGGTGGCGGGCGCCTGTAGTCCCAGCTACTTGGAGAGGCTGAGGCAGGAGAATGGCGTGAACCCGGGAGGCGGAGCTTGCAGTGAGCCGAGATCGCGCCACAGCACTCCCGCCTGGGCGACAGAACGAGACTCCGTCTCAAAAAAAAAAAAAAAAAAAAAAATCTTAAGAATACTAGCCAGGCATAGTGGGATGTGCCTGTAGTCCTAGCTACTCGAGGCTGAGGTGGGAAGATCCCTTGAACTTGGAAGATTGAGGCTGCAGTAAGCCATGATTGTGGCGTTGTACTCCATCCTGGGAGATAGAGCAAGACCCTATCTCAAAAAAAAAAAAAAAAAAAAAAAAAAAAAAAAAAAAAATGCCTGGCGCAGTGGTTCACGCCTGTAATCCCAACACTTCGGGAGCCCAAGGCGGGCGGATCACGAGGTCAAGAGATCGAGACTATCCTGGCCAACATGGTGAAACCCTGTCTGCACTAACAATATGAAAATTAGCCAGGCATGGTGGCACACACCTGTAATCACAGCTACTCGGGAGGCTGAGGCAGGATAATTGCTTGAATCCGGGAGGTGGAGGTTGCAATGAGCCAAGATCACACCATTGCACTCCAGCTCTGGGCGACAGAGGAAGACTGCCTCAGGAAAAGAAAAGAAAAAAGAAAGTAGTTAAGGAAACGCAAAGTTGGGTTGCTGGGTGTGATGGGTTGTGTCTGTAGTCATGGTTACTATGGAGGCTGTAGTGGGAGGATTGCTTGAGCTAAGGAGTTTTGGACTGTAGGGCGCTGTGCTGATTGGGTGCCTGTACTGAGATTGGCATCAATGTGGTGGCCTCCCAGGAGCGGGGAGAACCACCAGGTTGCCTAAGGGAGGGTGAACGAGTCCAGATCAGACATGGAACAGGTCAGAACCTCCGTGCTCATCAGTAGTGGAATCCTGCCTGTGAATAGCCACTGCACTCCAGCCTGGACGACATAGTAAGACCCTGTCTCTTAAAAAAAAAAAAGTTGAAAATTAGCCAGGCGTGGTAGCCTGCACCTGTAGTCCCAGCTACTCGGGTGGCTGAGGCAGGAGAATTACTTGAACCTGGGAAGTGGAGGTTGCAGTGAGCTGAGATCATGCCACTGCACTCCAGCCTGAGCGACAGAGCGAGACTCCACCTCAAAAAAAAAAATTGAGCTTTTATTCCGTTTTTTTTTTCTCATTTTTCAGAATAAGTTGGCTGAACAACTTTAAATTTTCCGATGACATGGTCTATCGTGTGGGTCCTTGGGGAAAATGTTATTTAGACATTTCTCTAAATATATTTCTGGCATGAGATAGCTCTCTGTATATATTCAACTGGTCTGTTTGTCTTTTTAAAATACCACAGGTAGCAGATGTACTTCAGTTTTCCATGGAAACGGGTGGCTATCTTCCAAACTGCATCACTACTTTGCAGGAGAGTTTAATCAAACACCTTCAAGTAGCCCCTAAATATCTCTCCTTTCTAGAAAAGAGACAAAAACTAATTCAGGTGGGTGTAAAGGATGTCCTGTATGACATTATTTTTTTTCAAGTGTTTTCTGAGCAGTATTATCAGCCTGTTATGTAGAAAAATGACAGCTGCCATGTTATCATATGAACATTGCCAAAATCTTAACTGTACCAAATGGGAATGGTTTATATCTGGTCTCAAGTGGATAAAAGCCAGGATCCAGATTTGTTAGCTATTAATTAAAAAGCAGTCTTAGGCCGGGCTCGGTGGCTCACGCCTATAATCCCAACACTTTGGGAGGCTGAGGCGGGCGGATCACCTGAGGTCAGGAGTTCAAGACCAGCCTGACTAACATGGTGAAATCTCCTCTACTAAAAATACAAAAATTAACTGGGCATGGTGGCAGGTGTCTGTAGTCTCAGCTACTCGGGAGGCTGAGGCAGGAGAATCGCTTGAACTTGGAGTTGGGGGCAGGGGCGGTGGACATTGCGGTGAGCTGAGATCGTGCCACTGCACTCCAGCCTGGGCAACAGAGTGAGACTCTGTCTCAAAAAATAATAAATAAATAAATAAATAAATAAACAAATAAGCACTCTTAAATAAATTTTCTAGCTGGGACAAGGGGGAAATTTTTGTGAGAATTTTGATCAAGGCAATGGAACCAAAATCACCCTAGTTATTTCTCCCAAAGTAAAGTAAATTTTCTTTACCTTCTGACATCCTTGCATGCAAACTTAGGTCATAATTGTATTGGCTGCAATTCTGTTCACATAATCAAGTTTGCTGCCTCTAGCTTTGAGAAGTCTTGATTGACCAACCTCTACCCCTCTCTTTCTCTGTTACACACACACTGTTAATGTAGGAGTATGTGTGCAAGCATGTGTATGCTCAAAGGCTATCAATAGTGTGAAAATAGAAGGTAATAATAGAAGAAAATGATAGTGTCTTAAATTAAGCAATACTTTAAACAGTTCTTTTCTTTTCTTTTTTTTTCTTTTTTTGAGACGGAGTCTCGCTCTGTCACCAGGCTGGAGTGCAGTGGCGCAATCTCAGCTTACTGCAACCCTGCAAGCTCCGCCTCCCAGGTTTAAGCGATTCTCCTGCCTCAGCTTCTTGAGTAGCTGGGACTACAGGCGCGTGCCACCATGCCCAGCTAATTTTTGTATTTTTAGTAGAGATGGGGTTTCACCTTGTTGGCCAGGATGGTCTTGATGTCTTGACCTTGTGATCCGCCTGCCTCAGCCTCCCAGAGTGCTGGGATTACAGGCATGAGCCACTGTGCCCAGCCTAAAACAGTTATTTTCTTTAAAGTCTTGCTTACTGTTCAGAGGAAATTGTTTTATTGTCTCCAGGAAAATCCAGAAGTATGGTTCATCCGACCTGTTTCACCCTCTTTACTGAAAATTTTGGCCCTGGAAGCTACCTACCTGTTACCCCTTCGCTTGGCACTCCTAGATGAGATGATGTCTGACCTAACCACCCTGGTGGATGGTTACCTAAACACGTATCGCGAAGGGTCTGCAGACCGGCTTGGAGGCACTGAGGTAGGTGCAGCTCTCTGTCTTCAGGACCTCCTTTCTGCCTTCTCAAGGAAGGCAGACACAGTGATACCCTTTCTTCATAGCTGCGATAGTTTTCATGGGGTCAACTTGGGGATAAATACTCTTGAAGGGGCAACAGCTTGGGCATGATCCATCCCCTCACTTTTTCATAATGTTAAGTTAGGTATCCAAGAAATACTTCTGTCTAAGAATGGGTAAGTTTAATATTTCCATATTTTTATTTTATTTTATTTTATTTTATTTATTTATTTTTTTTGAGACAGAGTCTCACTCTGTCGCCCAGGCTGGAGTGCAATGACATGATCTCAGCTCACTGAAAACTCCGCCTCCTGGGTTCCAGCAATTCTCCTGCCTCAGCCTCCTGAGTAACTGGGATTACAGGCATGTGCCACCACGCCTGGCTAATTTTTTGTATTTTTAGTAGAAATGGGGTTTCACCATGTTGGCCAGGCTGGTCTCAAACTCCTGACCTTGTGATCCGCCCACCTTGGCCTCCCAAAGTGCTGGGATTACAGGCATGAACCACCACGCCCAGCCTATTTTTATTTTTTGAGATGGAGTCTCGCTCTGTCACTCAGGCTGGAGTGCAGTGGTATGATCTCAGCTCACTGTAGCCTCCGCCTCCTGGGTTCAAGGAATTCTCCTGCCTCAGCCTCCTGAGTAGCTGGGATTACAGGCACCTGCCACCATGCCCTGTTAATTTTTGTATTTTTGGTAGACATGGGGTTTTACCATGTTGGCCAGGCTGGTCTTGAATTCCTGACCTTAGGTGATGAGCCTGCCTTGGCCTCTCAAAGTGCTGGGATTATAGGCATAAGCCACCGTGCTTGGCCTCCATATTTATTCTTATGCAGCAGAGAGATATAAAAAACTATAGGCCTGAGGTCAGGAGTTTGAGACCAGCCTGGCCAACATGATGAAACCCCATCTCTACTAAAAATACAAAAAATGAGCCAGGCGTGGTGGCACATGCCTGTAATCCCATCTACTCAGGATGCTGAGGCAGGAGAACAGCTTGAACCCGGGAGGTGGAGGTTGCAGTGAGCTGTGATGACACCACTGTACTCCAGCCTGGGTGACAGAGCAAGACTCTGTCTCAAAAAAAAAAAAAAAAAGAAGAAAGAAAAGAAAAAAAAGGAAAAGCTTAAACTATTAAACTGAGAATTTCAATCATTTTTCAAGCATACTATGAATATTAACAATGACTGTCTCAAAAAAAAGGGCCAGGGCCAGGTACGGTGGCTCATACCTGTAATCCCAGTACTTTGGGAGGCCGAGGCTGGTGATCACCTGAGGTCAAGAGTTTGAGATCAGCCTGGCAAACATGGTGAAACCCCGTCTCTACAAAAAATACAGAAATTAGCTGGGCATGGTGGCGGGCACCTGTAGTCCCAGCTACTTGGGAGCCTGAGGCAGGAGAATCGTTTGAACCCAGGAGGTAGGGGTTGCAGTGAGCCGAGATTCTGCCACTGCACTCCAGCCTGGGTGACCAGCAGAAACTCTGTCTGAAAAAGAAAAGAAAAGACAAGAAATGAGAGGGAAGGGGAGGGGAAGGGAGGAGAGTGGAGGGGACAAGGGGAGGGGGAAGAGGAGGGAGAGGGAGGAAAAAGAGGGGAGGGAGACTATAGATCAGGATTTGGCAAACTATAGCCCGCTGGCCAAATCTGGCCTGCAGACTGTTTTCTCCAGCTCATGAGCTAAGAACAATTTTTACATTTTTAAAGTATTGTTAAAAAAAAAAGTAGTAGAAGTAGTATATGAGACTATGGCTCACAAAGCCTAAAATATTTGCTGTTTTGTTCTTTACAGGAAAAGTTTGCCAGTTGCTGTTATAAACCACTTTTACTTATGAATATTGATGTAAAATCTTAAAATACTAGCTTTTTTTTTTTTTTTTTTTTTTGAGACGGGGTTTCGCTCTTGTTGCCCAGGCTGGAGTGAAGTGGTGTGATACCGGCTCACTACAAACTCCACCTCCTGGGTTCAGGCGATTCTCCTGCCTCAGCCTCCTGATTAGCTGGGATTACAGGCATGCACCACCCCGCCTGGCTAATTTTGTATTTTTAGTAGAGACGGGGTTACTCCATGTTGGTCAGACTGGTCTCGAACTCCTGACCTCAGGTGATCCACCCGCCTCGGCCTCCCAGAGTGCTAGATTTACAAGGCGTGAGCCACTGCACCCGGCCTAATACTAGCATTTTTTATATGAACCCTATATATGTTATTATTTTTAATGTGTCATTGGATTCTAGTTGCAAGCATGGTTCAGTGTGACAAAATCATACATTTCAGTAGAGCCAAGAAAGTGTTATGATTATCTTATAAATGCTGAATAAATTATAATACTCTACATGCATTATTGGTCAAAGTTGGAATAGATGGTAACTTTTCTAACATAATAAAACATATACAGTCATCTCTCAGCATCTGTGGGGGATTGGTTCCAACATCCCCCCATGGATACCAAAACCCATAATGCTCAAGTCCCTTATGTGAAATGTATGGATGATTATATGAAACGTATGGATGAGCCGGGTGTAGTGGCTCATGCCTGTAATCCCAGCACTTTGGGAGGCCAAGGTGGGTGGTTCACCTGAGGTCAGGAGTTCAAGACCAGCCTGGCCAACATGGTGAAACCCTGTCTCTACTAATAATACAAAAATTAGCTGGGCATGGTGGTGCATGCCTGTAATCCCAGCTACTTGGGAGGCTGAGGCAGGAGAATTGCTTGGACAGACCGGGTGTGGTGGCTCACACCTGTAATCCCAGCACTTTGGGAGGCCCAGGCGAGCGGATAACCTGAGGTCAGGAGTTTGATACCAGCCTGACCAACATAGAGAAACCATATCTCTACTAAAAATACAAAATTAGCCGGGCATGGTGGCGCATGCCTGTAATGCCAGCTACTCGGGAGGCTGAGGCAGGAGAATCGCTTGAACCTGGGAGGCGGAGGTTGCGGTGAGCTGAGATCACGCCATTGCACTCCAGCCTGGGCTCGAAACTCCATCTCAAAAAAAAAAAAAAGAAAAAAAAAAAGAATCGCTTGAACCCAGGAGGTGGAGGTTGCAGTGAGCCGAGAGTGCACCATTGTACTCCAGCCTGGGCAACAAGAGCAAAACTCCATCTCCTAAAAGAAAAAAAAAAGAAATATATGGATGAAATGTATGTCCCTTATATGAAATGTAAGGATGATTTAAAGTATAGGGGAGGATATGTATAGGTTATACGGAAATGTGCAGCAGCATTTTTTCATTTTTCACTATCATATCCTCTCCTATACTTCAAATCATTCTTAGATTACTTATAATAGCTAATACAACGTAAATGCTATGTAAATAGTTGTTATATTGCATTGTTTAGGGAATAATGACATGGAAAAAAAAGTTTGTGCATCATCATTTCAAATGCAACCATTCTTTTTTTTTCTGATTTTTTTTTTTTTTTTTTTGAGACAGAGTCTTGCTCATCACCCAGGCTGGAGTGCAGTGGTGCAATCTTGGCTCATTGCAACCTCCACCTCCTGAGTTCAAGTGATTCTCCTCCCTCAGCCTCCTGAGTAGCTGGGATTAAAAGCATGTGCTACCGTGCTCAGCTAATTTTTATATTTTTAGTAGAGATGGGGTTTGGCCATGTTGGTCAGACTGGTCTGGAAATCCTGACCTCAAGTGATCCACCCACCTCAGCCTCCCAAAGTGCTGGGATTACAGGCGTGAGCCACTTTTTCCTGACTATTGCAATCTACAGTTGGTTGAATCCATGGATGCAGAACCCATGGATATGGAAAGTATCTCAAGAGAGAAGACTGCATATTTGTTTGAGAACACTAATATCAGGAACAGTACAAAAATTGTGACTATCACCACTATTTTAGTATTTTTGAAGCTATTAGCCAGTGAAATTAGAAAATAAAATATGAGCTATGGAAATTGAAAAAAGGAATCAGAATTATGACTTGCCAGCTATACAACTAAAAACTGAAGAGAAACAACTGAAAAAGACTACCACAAACAAAAAGACAATTTATAAAGTGCCTGGGTACAAATGTAAAAATTACTAGATTTTTGATATCCATACAAGCAGCTAAAAAATATAATCGGATGCCGGGTGTGGTGG
Organism: Homo sapiens; assembly: GCF_000001405.40. Classification (NCBI taxonomy): domain Eukaryota; kingdom Metazoa; phylum Chordata; class Mammalia; order Primates; family Hominidae; genus Homo; species Homo sapiens. The sequence goes on along the minus strand of NC_000015.10, from coordinate 41,185,805 downwards.
CTCATGCTTATAATCCCAGCACTTTGGGAGGCTGAGGTGGGAGGATCACTTGAGCCCAGGGATTCAAGACCAGCCTGGCCAGCATAGTGAAACCCTGTCTCTACAAAAAAATTAAATATTAGCCAGGCGTGGTGGCACACACCTGAAGTTGCAGCTCCTCTGAGTGGGGGAGGCTGACGTGGGAGGATTGCTTGAGCCCAGGAGGTGGAGATTGCAGTAAGCCATGATCACACCACTGTACTTCAGCCTGGGTGACAGAGCAAGGCCCTGTCTCAAAAAAAACCCCACAAAAATTAGCAAGGCATGGTGGCATGCACCTGTGCTTCCAGCTACCCAGGAGGCTGAGGCAGGAGGATCACTAAAGGCCAGGTGTTATAGGTTACAGTGAGCCATGATCACACCATTGCACTCCAGCCAAGGCAACAGAGCAAGACCCTGTCTAAAAAAATCAAAACAAAACAAAACAAAAAACTTCCCAAAACCTGAAAGAGATAACAAAATAAAAATTTGGAGGAAAATAAAAATGTAATCCAATGAAAAAATATGTATATGATCATACATGAGTAGACTATCTTTGGGAGATAACACAAGAAACTGCTCTAAGAAGATGTACCTGCTAACGCAGCTGAGGCCAGGCTGGAAGGGAGACTAACTTTTCCTGTATAGTCTTTATACATACGTGCATACACACAGAGACACACAGCCCTATGGATTCACTGCCTTTTCAAAATATTGAAATTACTAGAAAAATGATACTACTATAATTGAAGACACCAGAGGGTGCTATATGAACACATTTGAATAGACTCTCATTTACCAATTACCATTTGGTACAACAGAAGTGATTTCAGGCCGGGCACTATGGCTCACGACTGTAATCCCAGCACTTTGGGAGGCCGAGGCAGGTGGATCACGAGGTCAGGAGATCGAGACCATCTTGGCTAACGCAGTGAAACTCTGTCTCTACTAACAATAGAAAAAAAATTAGCTGGGCGTGGTGGCAGGCGCCTGTAGTCCCAGCTACTTGGGAGGCTGAGGCAGGAGAATGGCCTGAACCCAGGAGGCAGAGCTTGCAGTGAGCCGAGATCGTGCCACTGCACTTCAGCCTGGGCGACAGAGCGAGACTCCATCTCAAAAAAAAAAAAAAGTGATTTTAAGTACCATATTCAGAAGTTTAGTTATAATAAACTTGTGTTCGCTTTCTCTTCTTAGCCTACATGTATGGAGCTGCCAGAGGAACTGCTTCAACTCAAGGACTTCCAGAAGCAGCGCAGGGAGAAAGCTGCAAGAGAATATAGGGTGAATGCACAGGGACTCCTGATAAGGACAGTGCTACAGCCAAAGAAATTAGTGACAGAGACAGCAGGGAAAGAGGAGAAAGTCAAAGGCTTCTTATTTGGTAAAAATTTTAGGATAGATAAAGCTCCAAGTTTTACATCTCAAGACTTTCACGGGGATGTGAATTTACTGAAAGAAGAATCTTTGAATAAACAAGCTACAAATCCTCAACATCTACCTCCCACAGAGGAAGGGGAAACCAGTGAGGATTCCAGTAACAAACTCATTTGCACAAAGTCAAAGGGGTCAGAGGACCAGAGAATAACTCAGAAAGAACACTTTATGACACCCAAACATGAGTTTCAGGCAAGTTTATCTTTGAAAGAGGAGACAGAACAGTTATTGATGGTGGAAAACAAGGAAGATTTAAAATGCACAAAACAGGCTGTTTCAATGTCTTCCTTTCCTCAGGAAACCAGAGTGTCTCCAAGTGACACTTTTTATCCTATCAGAAAGACTGTGGTTTCCACACTCCCTCCCTGTCCAGCCTTGGAGAAGATCGATTCCTGGATAAGTCCTTTTCTAAATCTGCCCTAGAGATGGGCAGTTTGTTCTTAAGGCCATACAGATGGCTTATTTCCTTTGCCATCAGGGCTTTCCACAGTGCCCAGGTTTCTCATGTTGTAAATGTAGTAATGCTTCAGTCACAGGGGAAAATTATATCCTCTTGCTTACTCCTGTGTTCCTGGTATGCGGAGAATGAGAATGAATAAGTTAAATAATGGAAGAAGTATAATTTCTGATTATGTCACTGTGTAGAAATGTTCTCAGTGACCAGAGTGCATTATTTTTCATAATTTGGGTTTAGAGGATTTGAAGAAAGGAAGAATCTTGGGCTTAGTATCAGGAAGACTCCATCATTTTCAAATTTTGTTTTGCTTCTTGACTTTTGGATTCCTTTGAAGAGACCTGGTAAAACTATTAACAATTCATTTAAAAAATTGGTACCTGATAACTTTACCAGTACTTTTTTCCTTTTTATTTATTTGTTTTATTTATTTTTTTTTACCGCTCCTTGTGGAGCAGGGCTACACCATAGGCAGTGTGCCCAGAGTAACCACTTTTTTCCTTTTTAAAATATAATATTAACTTTATGTTTGAATGTTGAATGTTTTGTCTGTCTCTTAGGCAAATAATGTTATAGGAATCAATAATTTAATTTTTGTTTTATTTGTTTTTTGATGGAGTCTCACTCTGTCACCCAGGCTGGAGTGTAGTGGTGTAATCTCTGCTCACTGCAACCTCCGCCTCCCGGGTTCAAGCAATTCTCCTGCCTCAGCCTCCTGAGTAGCTGGGATTACAGGTGCGTGCCACCACGCCCGGCTAATTTTTGTATTTTTAGTAGAGATGGGGTTTCACCATGTTGGCCAGGCTGGTCTCGAACTCCTGACTGACCTTGTGGTCCACCTGCCTTTGGCTTCCAAAGTGCTGGGATTACAGGTGTGAGGCACGGTGCCCAGCCAATATCTTTATTTTAATTTGTTTTTATTTCCTTTATTTTTAGCTGGTTTTGTCCATTTTCCTAACAAAGCAGGGACCCTGGGTTTCTTTTTAGTCTGTCTGTTATATAAACTTGAAGCCTGACTCCATTCTATTTGCCTGGAGTTAGTATACTTTCTTAGGGTGAAAGGAAGGCAGCTTGTATTGAGCCTTTTAAAGTATTGAATGCTTGCAAATTGCTAACATTCTTTTGTGTAAAATAACCAATAAACCTGTTTTGTCATACTCTACTTAAAAAAACAATCTCTCACTTTTCTTAATTGGGTCAGGGTGGAAAGAAATGTCTGGATTTCTAGGTCCAGAGTCCAGTTTATAAATCTGTGATTCGACTCTGTTATTCTTTTTGCTCTTAGGAACAATCTAAGATCAGGAGCATCCTTGTCTGCACTAGTTGATTCTGACTGCCACTGAAAGAATTTTTTTGCCTTTCCGAACTCCAGAGCCCAGATCTAGTCTGAGGTTAAGATTAAGGCAGGCCTGAGGGCAGTTGGCTCAGCCCTGCAGTTGCGTTGTCTCACCTTATACTTAGATTAGAAAGTCACTTGGGGCCAAAGTAGTTACTGGTTCATCTTTGGTGAATGCATCTTCAGATTGAGCCCGGTATGTGGTCAGTCTAGGTTTACTCTGCAAAAGGCATGGATTCCTGTAAAATTCTTGAACTTCATTTAGCTTCTTATAGAACCATTCAGTTGCTGGTCTTGAACTCCTGACCTCAGGTGATCTGCAAGACCATTCAGTTACTACTCATAACATATTTACATACATGGTATAAAGTACAATTTGAAAAAAAAAAAAAAAGAAAAAAGTACAAGGTATTACCCCTCAGGCTGGGCGCAGTGGCTCACGCGTGTAATCCCAGCACTTTGGGAGGCCGAGGCAGGTGGATCACAAGGTCAGGAGTTTGAGAACAGCCTGGCCAAGACAGTGAAACCCTGTCTCTACTAAAAATACAAAAATTAGCTGGGCGTGGTGGCACTTGCCTGTAATTCCAGCTACTTGGGAGGCTAAGGCAGGAGAATCGCTTGAACCTGGGAGGCAGAGGTTGCAGTGAGCCGAGATCACACCACTGCACTCCAGCCTGGGTGACAGAGCGAGACTCCGTCTCAAAAAAAAAAAAGGATTTTTCTGCCGGGTAAGGTGGCTAATGCCTGTAATCCCAGCACTTTGGGAGGCTGAGGCAGGCGAATCACCTGAAGTCAGGAGTTGGAGACCAGCCTGGCCAACATGGTGAAACTCTGTCTCTACAAAAAATACAAAAATTAGTCAGGCGTGATAGCGCACAAGTAATCCCAGTTACTTGGGAGGCTGAGGCAGGAGAAACACTTGAACTTGAGAGGTGGAGGTTGCAATGAGCTGACATCGCACCACTGCACTCCAGCCCGGGCAACAGACTGAGACTCTGTAGCAAAAAAAAAAAAAGCCAGGCACAGTGGCTCACGTCTGTAATCCCAGCACTTTGGGAGGCTGAGGCAGGTGGATCAATTGAGGTCAGGACTTTGAGACCAGCCTGGCCAACATGGTGAAACCCTCTGTCTACTAAAAATACAAAAATTAGCCAGGTATGCTGGCAGGTGCCTGTAATCCCAACTACTCGGGAAACTGAGGTGAGAGAATCATTTGAACCAGGGAGGCGGAGGTTGCAGTGAGCCAAGATCATGCTACTGCACTCCAGTCTGGGTGACAAGAGCGAAACTCCATCTAAAAAAAAAAAAAATTAGCCCGGCGTGGTGGCGCGCACCTGTAGTCCCAGCTATTCAGGAGGCGGAGGCGGGAGAATCGCTTGAACCCGGGAGGCGGAGGTTGCAGTGAGCCAAGATTGCACCACTGGACTCCAGCCTGGGCGACAGAGCGAGATAATGTCTCAGAAAAAAAAAAGAGAAAAAAAAAGTTCTACTGGACAGTGTGTTTGATAACTACTAGACTCCCCAAACTAAATGAGCCTTTGGGCTTCATTACAGTATTCTCTCAAGTGAAACACTCATCTATACCTGAAACAGCACTTTTCTCTACATCTTAATTCTAGCCTGGAGTGCCTACCTAAATTCTGTGTGTGCGGTTACACCTTAGGATGAATTTCTGTTCTTTGCTAGATAAAGTCCAAAAAAATTCCTGTTAACGCAAGACCTGTTGCTAGTGCTGTGCGCCATTGCCCAGATTTCTTGTCTACATTTTGGGAAATCCTGCATTTTTGTCTCGAACCACTGTTGAGTTCTTTACTTACTCTGTATTTTCCTAGTCTGAGAAGTCATAAACCATGCTTCCCAAACTCTTGGAGTCTTGCTCTAGTCTACCACTAATTTTCTGTATCTCCTCTACTCGGCTGACTTTTCTGTACATAACCTATAATTAGCGACTCACAAGTAATCTGACCCTTTTAGTATTGGAATAAGGAAAGGAGGTTAAATGACCACCCTGGACAAAAATGCAGCACTGAAAACAGAACCAGTGTTTCTTGGCTTCTTGTCCCATTCAGCGTTCTTTCAGCTATAGTACGAAAAGTCACTGCAGCGGCTTTGCCCCTATCTGTCTAAGAGCTTGATAAATTATGGCACAATAGAACTTTAATTCCCTATAAGCATCTTATTGTTTTGAGACAATGCATGTCCCAGCAGCAAGCTGAGATGAGGCCTGGGGTAAACTAGGGTGCCTGGGTGCAATTGACTCCCTATGAGTCAGCCAGGTAATTTGTCAAAAGGGTATTTATTTTAAAAGTAACACAAATAACTTACAGAAAATTTAGAAAATAAGAGAAAAAATAACTACAACCCTACTTTATACAATCCTTCCTGGCATTTTGATATTTTTCTTTCTATTTTCTCTCTCTCTCACCATACACACACACACACTTGAAACACAGTTACAATTATACTGTAAATACAATCATTGTGCTTTTGAGATGTATTTTCCTGTTTTGATGTTTCATCATTTCATATTATGTATTTTTCTATTGTGCTTTTTATATTATGTATTTTTTTATTTTAAATCCTAACAGCCAACATTTCACTAGATATTTTATTTTTTATTCATTTTATTTGTATTTTTTTTGAGACAGGGTCTCACTCTGACACCCAGGCTGGAGTGCAGTGGCACAATCTCGGTTTGCTGCAACCTCTGCCTCCCAGCCTCAAGTGATCCTCCCACCTCTGCCTTCTGAGTAGCTGGGACTACAGATGTGCACCACCAGACCTGATTAATTTTTGTATTTTTAGTAGAAATGGGGTTTCACCATGTTGGCCAGGCTGGTCTTGAACTCTTGACCTCAGGAGAGCCACCAGCCTTGGCTTCGGCCTTCCAAAGTGCTGGGATTACAGGCGTGAGCCACTGCACCTGGCCAGATATATTAGATCTTTCTTCCTTTCTTTCCTTTCTTTCCTTTCCTTTCTTTCCTTTCTTTCCTGTCTTTCCTGTCTTTCTTTCTTCCTTCCTTCCTTTCTTCCTTTCTTCCTTTCTTTCTTTTGACAGAATCTTGCTCTGTCCCCTGGGCCGGAGTGCAGTAGGGTGATCTCGGCTCACTGCAACCTCTGCCTCCCAGGTTCAAGCGATTTTTCTGCCACAGTCTCCTGAGTAGCTGGGATTACAGGTGTGCACCAACGCACATGGCTAATTTTTGTATTTTTAGCAGAGACAGGGTTTTACCATGTTGGCCAGGCTGGTCTCAAACTCCTTACCTCATGTGATCTGCCTGCCTCTGTCTCCCAAAGTGCTAGGATTACAGGCGTGAGCTGCAGCACCTGGCCTAGATATTTTATTTTAAAATTAACATGCTATTAAATAGAATTTGGAAAATGGCTGGGCATGGTGGCTCACACTTATAATCCTAGCTCTTTGGGAGGCCAAGGTGGGAAGATTGCTTGAGGCTGGTGTGCTAGGATCACAACACTGCACTCTGACCTGGGCAACAGAGCAAGATCCTGTCTCTACAAAACGAATAAAATAAAATAGAATTTGAAAAATACAGAAAAACAGAGAAAAATGTACTTATTTTTCTAACCCAATGGAAAAAGCAGCTGACATTTTTGTTAATTCCAGCCTCTACGGATAGGACTTTTTTCCCACTACATAGTTGTAACCATACATGTGTATTTTTCCTGCCTCATGCATGCTTTCCTGTGCTGCTACACAAACTGAAGATTTTTAATGACTGCATAATAGTCCTAAGAAGATATAGTATGGCTTATTTAACTATTTGGGTATGTTCAGGTTGTTTCCAATGATTTCATGCATAAAGCTTTTTCCGTATCTTGGATCACTTTGTTAGAATGAAAATCCAATATTAGAACTTGCAAATCAAAGTTTGTTTTTAACAATTGTTTTTTACAGCTCTTGCTAAGTCGCTTTCTAAAAGTATTAACCAATTATATTGCCACCTCTAATTTTTGTAGTAATCACCATTGAGAGCGTGAGATTTTTTTCTTTTCTTTTTTTTTTTTTTTTGTGGCAGGGCCTCACTCTGTCACCCAGGCTGGAGTGCAGTGACCCGATCTTGGCTCATTGCAACCTCCACCTCCCGGGTTGAAGCAATTCTCCCTCCTCAGCCTCCTGAGTAGCTGGGATTACAAGCATGCACCACCATGCCCAGATAGTTTTTGTATTTTTGGTAGAGATAGGGTTTCACCATGTTGGCCAGTCTGGTCTCAAACTCCTGACCTCAAGCAATCTACTTGCCTCAGCCTCCCAAAGTGCTGGGATTACAGGTGTGAGCCACAACACCCAGTCAAGAGCATGAGATTTTTTTCTTGAGAGGCATGGCATACTTTTAACTTTAAAAGTTCAAACTTCTTGGCTGGTGCAGTGGCTCAGGCCTGTAATCCCAGTACTTTGGGAGGCTGAGGAGGGTGGATCACAAGGTCAGGAGACTGAGACCAGTCTGGCCAACATGGTGAAACCCCATCTCTACTAAAAATACAAAAATTCGCTGGGCATGGTGGCGCATAGCTGTAATCCCAACTACTTGGGAGGCTGAGGCAGGAGAATCGCTTGAACCAGGGAGTCGGAGGTTGCAGTGAGCAGAGATCGCGCCACTGTAATACAGCCTGGCGACAGAGCAAGACTCTGTCTTAAAAAAAAAATTCAAACTTCTTTATCCAGAAACCTTAAAAGTTTCTTGTCATTTTTTGGGTAAATTACCTGAATTGGATGCAGTGAAAATTAATGAGAACATAAGTATTAGGAACATGTGAATTCTGATAAATGTTCCTCATCTCTAAGGATAATATTATGTACATCTTTATTTTATTTTATTTTATTTTTGAGATGGAGTTTTGCTTTTGTTGCCCAGGCTGGAGTGCAATGATGCGATCTCAGCTTACCACAACCTCCGCCTCCTGGGTTCAAGTGATTCTCCTGCCTCAGCCTCCTGAGTAGCTGGGATTACAGGCAAGCACCACCCCACCTGACTAATTTTGTATTTTTAGTAGAGACAGGGTTTCTCATGTTGGTCAGGCGGGTCTCGAACTCCAGACCTCGGGTGATTCACCCGCCTCAGCCTCCCAAAGTGCTGGGATTATAGGCATGAGCCACTGCGCCCGGCCGTCTAATATATCTTAATCATAGAAACTCTAAAAAAGTTAACATACTCATTATAAAAGGTTACTTTGAAATGTCTTCAGAGCTGGGCAGGGTGAGGTGGGTCACGCCTGTAATCCCAACACTTTGGGAGGCCAAGGCGGGTGGATCGCTTGAGGTCAGGAGTTCGAGACGAGCCTGGCCAACATGGTGAAACCCTGTTTCTACTGAAAATACAAAAATTAACCAGGCATGGTGGCCCACACCTGTAATCCCAGCTACTCACGAGGCTAAAGCAGGAGAATTGCTTAAACCGGGGAGGCAGTGGATGCAATGTAAGCTGAGATCGTGCCACTGCACTCCAGCTCTGGGCGACAGAGCAAGACTATGTCTCAAAAAAAAAAAAAGAAGAATGAAAGAGCAACAACAACAAAGAATGAAAGAGGGGCTATCATTTTAGACTCTACATACATTTAAAGGATAAAGGAATACTACAGACAATGCTATGCCCACAAGTTGATCAACTTAGTTTTATGGACAAATTCACTGAAAATCACAAATTACTAAAACTGATTCAAGAAGAAAGGGTAGGGGGCCAGGCGTGGTGGCTCACACCTGTAAATCCTAGCACTTTGGGACACCAAGGTGGGTGGATCACTTGAGGTTAGGAGTTCGAGACCAGCCTGGCCAATATGGTGAAACCCCATCTCTACTAAAAATACAAAAATTAGCCAGGCGTGGTGGCACATGCCTGTAATCCCAGCTACTTGGGAGGCTGAGGCAGGAGAATCACTTGAACCCAGGAAGCAGAGGCTGCAGTGAGCCAAGATCTCACCACTGCACTTTAGCCTGGCTGACAGAGGGAGACTCTGTCTTGGAAAAAAAAAAAAAAAAAGGGAAAGGGTAGGATAAAGGGACGTCGATTAATGGGTACAAATGGCTGGGCGTGGTGGCTGTAATCCCAGCACTTTGGGAGGCCAAGGTGGGTGGATTGCTTGAGGTCAGGAGTTTGAGACCAGCCTGGCCAACATGGTGAAACCCTGCCTCTACTAAAAATACAAAAATTAGCTGGGCGTGGTGGTGCATGCCTGTAATACCAGCCACTCGGGAGGCTGAGGCAGGAGAATCGCTTGAACCCAGGAGGTGGAGGTTGCAGTGAGCTGATATCGCGCCACTGCACTCCAGCCTGGGTGGCAGAGCGAGACTCCATCTCGGAAAAAGAAAAAAAAGAATACAGGCTGGGCAGGAGATTGAAACCATCCTGGCCAACATGGTGAAACCTCGTCTCTACTAAAAATCGAAAAATTAGCTGGACCTGGTGGTGTGTGCCTGTAATCCCTGCTACTCGGAAGACTGAGGCAGGAAAATTGCTTCAACCCAGGAGGAGGAAGTTGCAGTGAGCTGAGATTGCGCCACTGCACTGCAGCCTGGGCGACAGAGCGAGACTCCGTCTTGAAAAAAAAAAATAAAAAAATAAAAATAAATAAAAATACAAAAATTAGCTGGGTGTGGTGGCAGGTGCCTGTAATCCCAGCTTCTCAGGAAGTTGAGGGAGGATAATTGCTCGAACCCAGAGGCGGCGGTCACAGTGAGCGGAGATCATGCCATTGCACTCCAGCCTGGATGACAAGAGTGAAACTCCATCTCAAAATATAAGTAAAATAAAATAAAATAAATGGGTATAAATATACGATTGATAGGAGAAATAAGACGGTGTTAGATCAGTAGTGTGACTATAGTTTGCAATACTCTATTGTACCTTTCAAAATAGCTGGAAGACAGTAATTCAAATGGTTCTAGCATAAAGAAAATAAACATATTTAAAGTGATGGATATCTAGCTACACCGACTTGATCTTTACAAATTATATGAATATATTAAATTATCACATGTTCTCCAAAATTATATGCATGTATTATGCATCAATAAAAATTAATGAAGAAATAGAAAACCTGAATGGTCCTAAATCAATTAAAGAAATTGAATTCATCATGTAAGACCTTCCCAAAAAGAAAACTTTGTACCCAAATAGTTTCACCAGTGAATTTCTATCACACATTTAAGACAAATAATACCAATCCTGGCCGGGCGTGGTGCCTCATGCCTATAATCCCAGCATTTTCGGAGGCCAAGTCGGGCAGATTGCTTGAGCTCAGCAGTTCAACACCACTTGGGCAACAGGCAAAACCCCACCTCCACCAAAAATATAAAAAAATTAGCTGGGTGTGGTGGCACGCGCCTATGGTCCCAGCTACTCCAGAGGCTGAGGCAGGAGGATCACTTGAGCCCAGGAAGTGGAGATTGCTGTGAGCCGAGATGGTGCCACTGCACTCCAGCCTAGGAGACAGAGCGAGACCCCGTTTCAAAAAGAAAATTTTTTTTTTTTTACAAAAAATTACCAAAAAATACCAATCCTTCCAGGAAATAAACAAAGGGGATGCATTTCCTGACTCAGTTTATGATGCCAGCATTACCCAGATATCAAAACCAGGCAACCACGTTGCAAGATAACTATAGACCAATATTCCTCATTAACATAGATGCAATTTTTTTTTCTTTTGAGATAGGGTCTCATTTTGTCGCGATGGAGTGCAGTGGTGTGATCACAGCTTACTACAGTCTCGACTTCCCTGTGCTCAGGTGATCCTCCCACATCATCCTCCTGAGTAGGTGGGACTACAGGTGCACGCCACCATGCCCAGCTAATTTTTCTATTTTTTTTGTAGAGACACGGTTTCGCCATGTTGCCCAGGGTGGTCTCAAACTCCTGGGCTCAAGTAATCCAACTGCCTCAGCCTCCCAAAGTGCTGGGATTACAGGCATGAACCACTGCACCCGGCTCCAAATTCATCAACAAAATATTTTAAAATAACATCTTGAAATATATAAAAAGGATAATACATATAATTAAGAAATAACTATAAAAGTAGCTGGCAGCCCTCGGGGCTGCTCTGCCTATGGAGTAGCCATTCTTTTATTCCTTTACTTTCTTTTTTTTTTGTTTTTTTGAGACAGAGCCTCGCTCTCTTGCCCAGGCTGCAGTGTAGTGGTGCGATCTCGGCTCACTGCAAGCTCTGCCTCCCGGGTTCACGCCATTCTCCTGCCTCAGCCTCCCAAGTAGCTGGGACTACAGGCGCCCGCCACCACACCCGGCTAACTTTTTGTATTTTTAGTAGAGACGGGGTTTCACCGTGTTAGCCAGGATGGTCTCGATCTCCTGACCTCGTGATCTGCCCGCCTCGGCCTCCCATAGTGCTGGGATTACAGGCGTGAGCCACCGCGCCCAGCCTTCCTTTACTTTTTTAATAAACTTGCTTTCACTTTACTGTATGGAGTCGCCCCAAATTCTTTTTTGCACGAAGTCCAAGAACCCTTTCTTGGTGTCTGTATTGGGACCCCCCCTTTCCGGTAACAAGGGGACATGGGAACCTTCTCAGGTGATATGAATGTTCTATATCTTGATTATGCTGGTAGTTACACTGATGTATACATTTGTTGAAACTCATTGAACAATATACTTTAATTGGTGCTTTTTATTGTATGTAAATTATGCCTCAGAAAATTAATTTTAAAACATTTGGAAGCTGCTGGTCTAGTGGGTGTCAGGAAAATAATCATTAGGGCTACAATATTTTCGTTAAATGATGTCAATGAACAGAAGGAGCAAATATGTGTTGCTCTTATAGTTGGATAAAATTCAAACATAATTTTAAAGGAGGCAGTAATACATTCACATGATTATAAAAGAAACAGAGGCTGAGTGCGGTGGCTCATGCCTGTAATCCCAGCACTTTGGGAAGCCGAGGCGGACGGATCACCTGAGGTCAGGAGATCAAGACCAGCCTGACCGACATGGTGAAACCCCATCTCTACTAAAAATACAAAAAATTAGCCGGGCGTGGTGGCGGGCGCCTGTAGTCCCAGCTAATCAGGAGGCTGAGGCAGGACAATCGCTTGAACCCGGGAGGCGGAGCTTGCAGTGAGCCGAGATCGTGCCACTGCACTCCAGCCTGGGCGACAGAGCGAGACTCCGTCTCAAAAAAAAAAAAAAAAAAAAAAGAAAGAAAGAAAGAAAAAGAAACGATACAGAAGGGCTTATTAATGAAAGTAGATGTTCCCTTGGCTCCTCCTTTCCTAACCACAGTCCTGTTCCCTAGAACCATCCGCTTTTAATACATACAATTTTGTTTTGCTCTTTTTCTGAATGAAATAATGTCCTTTGGAGCAACATGCATGGAGCTGGAGGCCATTGTCTGAAGTGAAATAACTCAGATACAGAAAATCAAATACCGTATGTTCTCACTCAAAATAGGAGCTAAACAGCAGGTACACATGGACATAAGGATGGAAATAATAGACATTGAGACCTCCAAAAGGGGAAAGTGGGGGAAGAAGGGTTAAAAAAATTACCTGTTGGGTACAATAGAAGCCCAAACCTCACCATTATGTAATATAACAGGTAACAAACCTATACATGTACCCCCCTGAATCCAAAATTTAAAAATTAAAAAATTGGCTGGGTGCAGTGGCTCACGCCTGTAATCCTAGCACTTTGGGAGGCCGAGGCGGGCAGATTACGAGGTCAGGAGATCGAGACCATCCTGGCTAACACGGTGAAACCCCATCTCTACTAAAAATACAAAAAATTATCCAGGCATGGTGGCGGGCGCCTGTAGTCCCAGCTACTCAGGAGGCTGAGACAGAAGAATGGCGTGAACCCGGGAGGTGGAGCTTGCAGTGGGCCGAGATCGCGCCACTGTACTCCAGCCTGGGCGACAGAGCGAGACTCCGTCTCAAAAATAAATAAATAAATTAATTAATTAAATTAAAAAATAAAAATTAAAAAATTAATTTTTTTTTCTTTCGCCCAGGCCGGAGTGCAGTGGCCCAATCTGGTCTTACTACAACCTCTGCCTCCCAGGTTCAAGCGATTCTCCTGCCTCAATCTCCCAAGTAACTGGGATTACAGGCATCCACCACCACGCCTGGCTAATTTTTGTATTTTTATTAAGAGACGGTGTTTCACTGTGTTGGCCAGGCTTGAACTTCTGACCTCAGGTGATCTGCCCGCCTTGACCTCCCATAGTGCTGGGATTACAGGCGTGAGACACTGCACCTGGACAAAAAAGAAATTTTTGTTCCTCTTTTTCCCAAATGAACCAGAGTGTAAACTAGTAGATTTGGAAGAGTTGATCGAAGGCATTTAATTGCAATGCAAGCCAGAGAAACCAGAGGGCCAGTAACTTCAGCCTCTTGCTGTTGATCTCTCCATATTGCAATAGTAGCCTGTCTAATTAGGATGAGACACTTCCACATTCTGGAATTCTCCAATTCCCCAAGTACATTATTGTTTATAACTTGAAAGGCACCTGATGGCTAAACCCTGAGTATTTTAAATAAGAACTTTGTAATGGAAACAAATTCTAATGAAAACATTCCTTAGGAAGAGCCAAAATGGCAAGTTCCAGGAATGAGGGAATTAAGGGAAAGAAATTTTTTATTGTGTAACTTGTTGGGATGCCATTGAAATAGCAAAATCTTTATGTGGAGAAAAGGAAATTCCTCCTCAGCACTTCCTTCTGAGAAGGCCCACTTAAATGAAAAAATATATAAATGAAAATATTACATGTACGTCTAGTAGGTGTTCATACTTGCCTTTAAAATAGAGAACACTGGGCCGGGCACGGTGGCTCACGCCTATAATCTCAGCACTTTGGGAGGCTGAGGCGGGCGGATCACGAGGTCAGGAGATTGAGACCATCCTGGCTAACATGGTGAAACCCCGTCTCTACTAAAAATACAAAAAATTAGCCAGGCGTGGTGGCGGGCGCCTGTGGTCCCAGCTAATCGGGAGGCTGAGGCGGGAGAATGGCGTGAACCCGGGAGGCGGAGCTTGCAGTGAGCCGAGATCGCGCCACTGCACTCCAGCCTGGGCGACTGAGCAAGACTCCGTCTCAAAAACAACAACAAAAATAGAGAACACTGAGCCGTGGCCGTAAAGCTGCCTTATACAGTGTCCCACATGGTAAGCTTCATTTGTTTTTTTGTTTGTGTGTTTGTTTGTTTTTTGAGATGGAGTCTTGCTCTGTCACCCACGCTGGAGTGCAGTGGTGCGATCTGGGCTCTCTGCAACCTCTGCCTCCCAGGTTCAGGTGATTCTCCTGCCTCAGCCTCCTGAGTAGCTGGGATTACAGGCGCTCACCACCATGCCCAGCTAATTTTTATATTTTTAGTAGAGACGGGGTTTCACCATATTGGCCAGACTGGTCTCAAACTCCTGACCTCAAATGATCCACCCACCTTACCTTCCCAAAGTGCCGGGATTACAGGTGTGAGCTACCGCACCCGCAGGCTTCATTTGTTTTGTGCATTCGTTAGCAAACATTTTGGAGGGCCGTTTTGAAGCCAGGCACTGGACTAGATTGGGGAATCAGAGAAAAAAACACACAATCCCTACTCTCAAAGGACTTCGAGTCTAGTGGGCGATATGTACACAAAATTATAACCGAAATAATAGTTATGTTCAAGGTGTACTGGTGCATTGTACGCATGTTGGGAAAGGCAGAGTAGCCCTGGAAAGGAGATAGCACTTGTCCTGGAACTGAGATCCGTGTCAAAAGCTTTCTTCAGAGGAAAGGGTGCACTTTGAGTAAGAGAACTATGAGGATTTCACCATTGAAAGAGGGGAAAAAATACGGTATGATAGTGAGAGATAAGGCTAGGAAATAGACAAGGTCCATGTATCTGTTACAGTTTTTTGGTCATAAGCAAAACAACTGACTCGGTGTGTTAGTCCCTTCTCACACTGTTCTCACACTGCTATAAAGACATACCTGGGCTGGGTGCGGTGGATCACGCCTGTAATCTCAACACTTTGGGAGGGCAAGGTGGGCGGATCACCTGAGGTAAGGAGTTTGAGACCAGCCTGGCCAACATGGTGAAACCCTGTCTTTACTAAAAATACAAAAATTAGCCAGGCATGGTGGCACGCACCTGTAGTCACAGTTACTCAGGAGGCTGAGGCAGAAGAACTGCTTGAATCCAGGAGGCGGAGGTCGCAGTGAACTGAGATCACACCATGGCACTCCAGCCTGGGTGAAGGAGCAAGACTCCATCTCCAAAAAAAAAAAAAAAAAAAGATATACCTGAGACTAAGTAATTGGTTGCCTGAAGCCAATTAAATCTCTTTTCTCTATAAGTTATCATTATCAAATCATAATGCTTCAAACTAAATGTATTCTCTCTGTAAATGGCACCAACTTCCAAACAGATGCCCAAGTCAGAAACCCAGGAGCCAGCTAAGACTGTACGGGATTGTACAGGCTGTATAGACGTCTGTATCTTGGGAGGCCTCAGGAAACTTACAATCCTGGTGGAAAGCAAAGGGGACGCAAGCATGTCTTACATTGCTGGAGCAGGAGGAAGAGAGCAAAAGGGGAAGTGCTACACACTTTCAAAAAAACAGATCTTGGGAGAACTCTATCACAAGACAGCACTAGGCGGATGGTGCTAAACCATTAGAAACCACCCCATGATCCAGTCACCTCCCACCAGGCCCCACCTCCAACCCCTGAGTGGGGACACAGGGCCAAACTATATCACTTGGGTAATATAAACAAGAAGGGAATTTACTGGAAAGATGAGTGGCTCACAGAACTGACTAGAAGGCTAAAAAACTAAGCTTGGAAATAGGATAGAGGGCTATGGCAGAACTCTAGTTAGCAGGAACAACTCAACTGGCAGAGTGAGTGCCAGTTATGAACAAGGAAGTGAGATGATCGGAAATGTAGATTATATATATATATATATATAATTATTATTTTTTCTGAAACAGACTTTCGCTATTTTCGCCCAGACTGGAGTGCAGTGATGTGATCTCAGCTCACTGCAACCAGAAATGTAGATGATAGATCGTCCTGGTTTAAGCTGTAGGATGGATTGAAAAGGAGCAAGAATAATATGAGGAAGACTTGTATGAAAACTCTTGCATTGATTAAGGTGGAAGATGTGAATGCTTGAATTTGGGAGGGATACAGTGGGATACAGTTGGTAGGATGGAGAGGAATACACAAATACAGGATTTTAGGAAGCATAATGAACCAAATGACCAATTGAATATGGATGGTAAAGTGTGGAAAGGAGTCTTGGCTGGCTCCCAGGTTTCTGACTTGGGCATCTGTTTGGAAGTTGGTGCCATTTACAGAGAGAATATATTGAGAGGATAGTTTGCAGAACTGTGATTTGATAGTTGAATTTTACATGTTTCTCATTTAGAATACATTTGGAATTCCTACATGGATGTGTCTACTAGACAGTCAGATATATGTGAATATAGAGAAGGAGAAAGATCTGAGCTAGAGAGATTGGGAGATGTAAATGGCCCTTGAAGTGATGAGCATATACAGTATTTTCCAGGTTTGAGTATAGAGAGTAAGAGAAAAGGAATGAGAAAGATCACACTCCTAAAATAGGGCAAGGCTGGGCGCTGTGGCTGATGCCTGTAATCCCAGCACTTTGGGAGGCTGAGGTGGGTGGATCACCTGACGTCTGGAGTTTGAGACCAGCCTGACCAACACTAAGAAACCCTGTCTTTATACTAAAAATACAAAATTAGCTGGGTGTGGTGGTGCATGCCTGTAATCCCAGCTACTCAGGAGGCTGAGGCAGGAGAATCACTTGAACCCGGGAGGCGGAGGTTGTGGTGAGCTGAGATCTCGCCATTGCACTCCAGCCTGGGCAACAAGAGTAAAACTCCTTTTCAAAAAAAAAAAAAAAAGGTAAAAGCCCGGGTGTAGTGGCTCACGCCTGTAATCTCAGCACTTTGGGAGGCTGAGGTGGGCGGATTACGAGATCAGGAGATCAAGACCATCCTGGCGAACACAGTGAAACCCCATCTCTACTAAAAATACAAAAAGTTAGCCGGGTGTGGTGGGCACCTGTAGTCCCAGTTACTCGGGAGGCTGAGGCAGGAGAATGGCGTGAACCCAGGTGGCGGAGCTTGCAGTGAGCCGAGATTGCGCCACTGCACACTCCAGCCTGGGCGACGAGCGAGACTCCCTCTCAAAAAAAAAAAAAAGTAAACAGGAAGAGATACACACAGAGACCAAGAAGGAGAAGACAAATAGGAAGAAAATCAGAATAGTATTATGTAAACCAGAAACCTCATTTGTAGTTTGATGAACTCTCATTGTAAGTTATATCAACCACAAATTATTTTTAACGGTTTTACTAAGATATAATTTTTTTTTTTTTTGAGACAGAGTTTCACTCTTGTTGCCTAGCCTGGAGTGCAATGGCTTGATCTCAGATCACTACAACCTCCGCCTTCTGGGTTCAAGCGATTCTCCTGCCTCCTCCCAAGTAGCTGGGATTACAGGCATGCACCACCCCGCCTGGCTAATTTTGTATTTTTAGTAGAGCCAGGGTTTCACCATCTTGGTCAGGTTGGTCTTGAACTCCCGACCTCAGGTGATCCACCTGCCTTGGCCTCCCGAAGTGCTGGGATTACAGGCGTGAGCCACCGCGCCCGACTGATATAATTTTTTTTTTTTTGAGACAGTGTTTCACTCTATCACCCAGGATAGAGTGCAGTGGCGAAATCTTAGCTCACTGCAACCTCCACCCTCTGGGGTTAAGTGATCCTCCCACTTCAGTAGCTGGGACCACAGGCGTGCACCACCATACCCAGCTATTTTTTTGTATTTTTAGTAGAGACAGAGTCTCGCCATGTTGCCCAGGCTGGTCTCGAACTCTTGGACCCAAGCGAACTGCCCACCTTGGCCTCTTTTTCTTTCAAGTCAAATGATTTTGTTAGACTATGTTTTGGTGTTGGTCATTCTGGATCACCATTTTCAGATACAGTGTGATTTTTAAAATATGCTGTATAGTTTTTTGTTTGTTTTTTAGAGATGGGGTTCTTATTATACTGCCAAGGCTAGACTCCAACTCCTGGCCTCAAGTGATCCTCCCAAAGTGCTGGGATTACAGGCATGAGACGCCCTGCCCGGCCATCTTACATAATATTCTTAATGCATTTTAGCTTTTTATGCACCAATATATTAGAGTGTTCATCTATTTATTTTTTATTTTTTTTATTTTGAGACACTCTCACTCTGTCACCCAGGCTGGAGTGCAGTGACATAATCACTGCTCACTGCAGTCTTGACTTCCTGGGCTCAAGCAATCTTCCCACCTGAGCCTCCCAAGTAGCTAGGACTAGAGGCATGTGCCACCATGCCCAGCTAGTTTTCAAAAAAAAATTTGGGGCTGGGCGCAGTGTCTCACACCTGTAATCCCAGCACTTTGGGAGGCCGAGGCAGGCGGATCACAAGGTCAGGAGTTCGAGACCAGCCTGGCCAGTATGGTGAAACTTCATCTCTACTAAAAATACAAAAATTAGCCAGGCACTGTAGCATGCGCCTGTAGTCCCAGCTACTCAGGAGGCTGAGGCAGAAGAATCGCTTGAACTCGGGAGGCGGAGGTTGCAGTGAGCCGAGATCACGCCATTCCATTGCAGCCTGGGTGATAGAGCAAGACTCCATCTCAAAAAAAAAAAAAAAAGGGGTTTCTTTGGGCCAGGCATGGTGACACATGCCTGTAATCCCAGCTACTGGGGAGGTGAGGCAGGAGAATCACTTGAACCCAGAGGTGGAGGTTGCAGTGAGCTGAGATCACGCCACTGCACTCCAGCCTGGGTGAAAGAATTAGACTTCGTCTCAAAAAAAAATTTTTTTGGCGGGGGCAGACAGGTTCCCACTATGTTGTCCAGGCGGTCTAGAACTCCTGGCTTCAATCAGTTTTCCTGCCTTGGCTCCCCAAAGTGCTGGCATTACAGGTGTGAGCCACCACATCAGGCTAGGCTCAATTAATTTTTTAACTTCACAGAGCTTCCTATTTTGTTGTTTTTGTGTAGTGTTAAAATCACAGTTATTTGCTTTCTGAGATTTCTTGGCTTTGTCTTCTTCCCTAGTACTTTTATCTCTCTTTCCTTTCTGTTTTCCCTACCCTGCTCAGTTTTTGTTCCATTTCTAGAAGTTTCTCCCCAGTGTGTGAACTTGTCCTGGAAGGGATCCATGGTTGGTTATTATACAGAGCTTATAGGGTCTAGACTGTTCAAGCCTGGGTATACCTTCAGACTGTGGGATCCTTTCATGCAATTGCTATTGGAGTGAAAAAACCCCTTTTGGTTTCAGCTGTTGTTCTCAAATTGGCGCTTAACACTCTCTAGTGAATACCAATTTTCTTCTTAGGTCTGTCAGATACCCCATTGCTTCCCTCTACTGTTTTTCCCACATGGTTGTCAGTATCTCTTGGGTTGTCCCCACCTCTTTGCAATTTCAGGTTTATGAGTTACTTCATCACCCAGTATGTTGTAAATATTGTTCATGGGTTTGGAGTTTTGTCCTCTAATTATTCTGTTTTTACATGGGGATTTGAGAAGATCTAGAAAGTATGCCACCGTTACCACCCTGCCATCTTCCCAGAATCTTGGTATATACTTTCCTTGCTTCTAAAAGGCCTAATACTATGGCTTCCATCTTGGGTGCACTCTTTCTGTCAGATCACTTGTTCTGGTTGCCATGTTGGGAGAATACTTTTGGGAGGATTCGGCCCGACAGAGAACCAAGGACTCCAGCCGACAGTCTGTGAGGGACTATGTCTTCATCTCCCACAACCAAACAGTGGTCATTCCTCTCCAGTAGATCCTCCCCAGTCAAGCCTTCAGGTGACTACAGTCCAGCCTATAGCTTGACCACAAACTTATAAGAGAACGTGAACCAGAATCATCCAGCTCAGCTGATCCTGGATTCCTGACCCCCCAGAAACTGGGAGATAATAAGTATTTGCTGCTTTTTTTTTTTTTTTTTTGCTTTTGAGAAAGTCTTTATTTTTCTGTTATGAATAATTGAATTTTCTAATTATCCCAAATGATTTTATAAATTCCATAACTTTGATATGCCTGCCTGGGATCCATGAAATAAAAGTATAATTCCTTACCAAAAGAGAAGCATCATATACACTGAAAGTCTCCATGTTTCATATTTTCAAAAATAAAAGTGACTGTATACCCTTTTATTAACTATATGGTAGCTTGGTAAAATTTTTATATAATTTTTAATGATCTGTGGTGTTCTATGATGAGGCAACATTCCACCAAATTAGCCTTCCAAAAGTTGCAGTATCATCTATAATTATGACAGAAGTTTTGTTTTAAAACCAGAGTCAGACTGAATGTGGCTTTTTTACAGCTGAAATTTATGCCTTATGTGTATTCATAAAACACTGATATCTTAGTGTCACATTATCTTTACTCTTTGATTATACCCTTCTTGAAAAGTAAATTTACTTATCAAATGATAAAGTTTTAGGGAAAGTTATAAAAAATTTTTTTTCTTAAGGCTTCATGGAAGGCCGGGCACGGCGGCTCACACCTGTAATCCCAGCACTTTGGGCGGCAGAGGCGGGCGGATCACGAGGTCAGGAGATCGAGACCACGGTGAAACCCCGTCTCTACTAAAAATACAAAAAATTAGCTGGGCACAGTGGCGGGCGCCTGTAGTCCCAGCTACTCGGGAGGCTGAGGCAGGAGAATGACGTGAACCCGGAAGGCGGAGCTTGCAGTGAGCCAAGATCCCGCCACTGCACTCCAGCCTGGGCGACAGAGCGAGACTCCGTCAAAAAAAAAAAAATACTTCATGGAATAGAATTACATGTAATCAGAATGACTACATAAGACCCTTTTCTGGTAATGAAAGCATGGAGTCTTAACCAAAAAGCTAAGCAGAATTGTTAGATCTTTTGGTTTCTGTCATAATGCACTATTGGAACTTCAAGTAGATATAGTACATTAATATGAAATACTTTGAAATACACCATCTTCTAAAAAAAGGCACTTACACAAAAATCATGTAACACTAGGTAGGATGTTGAAATGACTGGTATGCAATATTTTTTTAAAGACTTCATTTTTGGTCAGCATAAGTTTTCTTTAAATATTTTTCTGTTTCCAGTTGGACTTCACTTTGAGGCTTAACATATCAAAGTGAGTATAAAGTTCTACAATTTAGTCATTGTGGATTTTATGTCATTTATGATGAAAATGGAAATGTGTAGTTAAGAAAATTTTCTTCTTCTGTAACATCTAACTCTTCATCCTCATCATCTTCTGCTTGTTGATCCTTTCTTAGTCGACAAGTGGATACCTGTCTTGTTCCAGATACACACTTAGCTGACAGTGATCTCTGAAGAGGTGACTTTGAATTCGCTCTTACAGTATCTAAACAAGATGAATAATCTGGTGCATACAGAGAATTTCGGAAAACCTCTAAATCTTCATCTTCATCAATGTTTTGTATATTCCGGTAGGCAGCAGTGTAGACCTCTAAAGCTTTGCCGTGAAATAACATTTCGATTGTGATAAATTCAGAAAATATAGTCTTTATATCCTTCATTTTCTGCCTTTCAAAGTTGTTAATAGTTTCCTCCAGATGACGACTTGTTCGGCTAGCATCCATTGCAGTTCTCTGTAATTCCGTTTCTGCCTGTGAAATAACATGTCGATCAGATGGGTTTCGCTGACGTGTTCTTTCTAACTGAGTTAATTGCTTAGCTTCTCGATTCCTTGCTGTGAATGTTGCTTTGAGGTCATCCCGTTTCATTTTCACAATGGTCCCATAAGCTTTCAAGGGTTCAACTACTTTGTTTTGTTTTGTTTTTTTGAGACGGAGTCTCGCTCTGTCACCCAGGCTGGAGTGCAGTGGCGCGATCTCGGCTCACTGCAAGCTCCGCTCCCCAGGGTTCACGCCATTCTCCTGTCTCAGCCTCCCGCGTAGCTGGGACTACAGGCGTCTGCCACCTCGCCCGGCTGATTTTTTGTATTTTTAGTAGAGACGGGGTTTCACCGTGTTAGCCAGGATGGTCTCGATCTCCTGACCTCGTGATCCGCCCGCCTTGGCCTCCTAAAGTGCTGGGATTACAGGCGTGAGCCACCCACCGCGCCCGGCCCAGGGGTTCAACTACTTTGGCTTCAAGTCTTTCAACCTCTGCTTGTCGATAATCCTGAAGTTTGGCAAACTCATCATCAAAGTTCATCAGGCCCAGCTTTAAATGTGGGGTCTCTGTAGCAGCATACGCATTGATTTCATTCACCAGGTGGTCTGCTTTGTCTCTCAGCCTGGCAGTTTTCCGCACATAGGCAGCGAAGATTTGGCACAGTTCTCCAAAATGCTTCTCCACATTTGAGACAGCTGTTTGCAGTTGTTTCGTTTGAGCGTTCCGATTTTCCAGGGTGCACCTCATCATGCTGCCTCGCGCACGGCAGGGGACCTTGCGGGGGCCCAGTATTTGCTGCTTTAAGCTGCTAAATTTGGGGTAATTTGTTACCCAGTGATAGATAACGAATGCACCTGTGAACAGATGATCCCACCTTGTGGTCCTAGATGTCTTGCTGCCTTTGATGGTGTTTTTCTAACTTTTTTTTTTTTTGGACATTTAAAATATACAGTAAAGTCAAAAGATTACACAGTGAGCACCCACATACCCACTACCTAGATTCTACCACTCACATCTTTCTGTGGCTTTTTTTTTTTTTTTTTTTTTTATTGAGATGGAGTCTCGCTCTGTCTCCCAGGCTGGAATGCAATGGCATGGTGTCGGCTCACTGCAACCTCCACCTCCTGGGTTCAAGTGATTCTCCTGCTTAGCCTCCCGAGTAGCTGGGATTACAGGCACCCACCACCACACCTGGCTAATTTTTGTATTTTTAATAAAGACGGGGTTTTACCATGTTGGCCAAGCTGGTCTCGAACTCCTGACCTCGTGATCCGCCTGCGTCGGCCTCCCAAAGTGCTGGGATTACAAGCATGAGTCACCATGCCCAGCTGGCTTTTCCATCTCTTGATGTGCCATGGAGAATAAATCCATTCCCTCTCCCAAGTGATAGTCCTTTGACTGCTTGGAGATGAGTGTCACGACTTCTCCAAACCTCCTTTTTTTCCCAAACCCTTCATTTCTTGCCCTTGCCCTGTACTCCTGCTGCTGTTGGTTTTTAGCTGGATTTGGCTAAAGGAAAGCACTGGTGGAATCTAGGAGGGAAGCGGGAGGACACCAGGATATTGTACCTGCCTCATTCTGCCCTGGGTAGTATTTCCAGCATTGGCTACATCTCCTCTATGGCAGCATTACCAGCCTGACAGGCCTGCCATGGTTTCAGCTTCTACAAGGTCATTCTGGCTCCTAGGCCCTAGTAATACCACTTCTTTGCTTTGTTCCTTCAGCTAAGGTATAGTAGTGTCTTCCCACTGTTGATAATCTCTAGACTGCCTCACCTTCTCATCTCCTCCATCAGCCATGCAATTTATTTCCTGTACTAAATTTCCTGTTTCCAATACTTAGAATGCTTCCTGTTTTCCTGGTTAGAGTCTGACAAATACAGGGGTATACCACATAATTTTTGAGGAAGATATATGTCATAAGAGGACACCTGTAGTGCTTACCACAATCATCTATGATTTCTCCCAGAGACAGGAAATCATGTTGCATGAATTTATGTTGTCTTATCTGTGCCCCGCTGTCCACATAATGCCTGGAGGAATGAGAAAAGCCCTCTTTTCAGAGGTGCATTGTAATTAGAAGTAAAAAACTTACAATAATATTTTGGAACATGGTATAGTAGTGAGTTATAAGTGTAGGAAAGGAAGTGGTGTTTGGAGTGATATCCTATAAATGAGATTAGAAGAAACTTGACAACCAAGAAAGATTTAGATGTCAGAGGATTAGATTTTGGTCAGGCAGATGAATGAAAAGCTAACTGTATGTTGAAAATCTCCCTTCGGTTAGAAAAAATTAGGCCTAGTGATGATGAAATGCAAATACCAGTAATATTGTATGACTCGTTGCTAATGTTTAAAAACAACAGGGAAATCAAAGTATCATCCATCAGTTGTGTTTCTCATTGTATGACATAGATTAAATCTTTCATTTGCTGTTATTTTTGTAAATATCAACGATGTGTCATTGTGATATTCCTACGTCCCCCGCCCCCCTGATTTTGTTGTAGGTGCTGAACAAATAATAGGAATTCAGGAAGAATGAGGAAAGAATACATGAATTTCGGAAAATGTTTCTGGAAATCACCACAGTGCGATTCTAATCTCAAAATTAAATCAAATAAAGAAATAAATATTTAAAAAGAAAAAATGTGTACGCCTCTAAAGGATGAAGGAATTCTGACTAATCAACAGCAGTGATGAATTTAAATAGTTGACCTTGTCAGATTGGTATGAGTGGTTTTCTGGGGGATTTTTGGATTAAGAATTCCAGGAATGAGAGAAGAAGAGAAGTGTTAGATATTCAAAATTGGGCTATCGGTAAAGCATTTTGATCTAGCATCTTGTGAAATCTCAATTACGAAACTAATTTGTAGTGATTTCCAGGTGAGAGTGGTAACTGGAAACTTTCAAGGAAGCCTTAGAGGAACAAGAGAGGAATGCCAGGAAATTTTAAAAACTTTTTTATTGTGAAATATACTTAGAAGTTAACTAAATGAAAATGTACTGTTTACGGAAAAATCCAAAGTGAACATCCAGTTCAAGAAATAAAACATTACGCGGCCAGGCAGGGTGGCTCACGCTTGAATCCCAGCACTTTGGGAGGCTGAGATGGGTGGATCCCGAGGTCAGGAGTTCGAGACCAGCCTGGCGAACATGGGGAAACCCGTCTCCACTAAAAATACAAAAATTAGCCAGCCGTGGTGGCACATGCCTGTAATCCCACGTACTCGGGGGGCTGAGGCAGGAGAATCACTAGAACCGTGGAGGCAGAGGTTGCAGTGAGCTGATTTCGCACCACTGCACTCCAGTCTGAGTGACACAGTGAGACTCCATCTCAAAGAAAAAAAAAAGGAAAGGGGGTGCATTTTACCACCACTTACCACCACTATTGATGTTCCCTTTGTTTAGTTATTGCAAACAGTGTTGCTACGAGGTTTCTTATATATGTATCCTGGTGTAAACATGCATGAATTTCTCCAGGAGTGGATTTGTTACATATGTATATATTTAACTTTGCTGCCTTCTGCCAAACTGTTTACTGATTTACATACCCAACAGCAGTGTATGAGAGTTCCTAATATGCCACATTCTCACTAACATTAGGCGTACTGTTTTTTATTTTATTTTATTTTATCTTATTTTTTGAGATGGAGTCTTGCTCTGTTGCCCAGGCTGGAGTGCAGTGGTGCAATCTCGGCTCACTGCAACCTCCGCCTCCCAGGTTCAAGCGATTCTTCTGCCTCAGCCTCCTGAGTAGCTGGGATTACAGGCATGCGCTACCACGCCCAGCTAATTTTTGTATTTTTAGTAGAGACAGGGTTTCACCATATTGGCCAGGCTAGTCTTGAACTCCTGACCTCAGGTGATCCACCCATCTTGGCCTCTGAAAGTACTATGATTACAGGCGCGAGGCAACACACCCAGCCAGAAGAGAGAAATAACTTAATTTGTATGGGTCAAAATCATTTTTGAGGATACAGTCTAAGTAGAAATAAATTAATAATAAGGAAAATAAACAGAATAGCAAATACAATTACTTTGTAAACAAAATTAAATATTATAAAATAATTTTTTTTTGAGATGGAGCCTCAGCCTTTCAAAGTGCTGAGATTACAGGCGTGAGCCACTGCGCCCAGCCTAAAATTAAAATTTTAAATTTTAATAAAAAAAATTAGCCTGATGTGGTGGCATCCACCTGAAGTCCCACCTCCTAGGGAGGCTAAGGTGGGAGGACTGCTTGAGCTGGGGGGATGGAGGCTGCAATGAGCTATAATTGCACCACTGCACTCCAGCTTGGGCAACAGGGCAAGACTCGGTCTCAAAAAAAAAACAAAAATTATTTTCTGGCCTGACACAATGGCTCATGCCTGTAATCCTAGCACTTTGGGAGACTGAGGTGAGAGGATCGCTTGACCCCAGGAATTTGAGACTGCTGTGAGCCATGATTGTGCCACTGCCCTCCAGCCTGGGCAACAGACCAAGATCTTGTCTCAGAAAGAAAAATTATTTTATTTTTCTTTTCTTTTCTTTTTTTTTTTTTTTGAGACAGAGTGTCACTCTGTTGCACAGGCTAGAGTGCAGTGGCGCGATCTCAGCTCACTGTAACCTCCACCTCCAGGGTTCAAACAATTCTCCTGCCTCAGCCTCCCGAGTAGCTGGGACTACAGGTGCATACCACCACGCCTGGCTAATTTTTGTATTTTTAGTAGAGACGGGGTTTCACCATATTGGTCAGGCTGGCCTTGAACGCCTGACCTCACGCGATCCACCCGCCTCAGCCTCCCAAAGTTCTGGGATTACAGGCGGGAGCCACCACACTCGGCCAGAAAAATTATTGTCTTACTCCACCATTCTAAGGATATTTCCTTTGTTATGTTTTTTGGTTTTGCCATTTATGTTTAAATCTCTAATTTACCTGGGATTGATTTTTTAATAAACTGTGAGGTAGGGATAAATTTAACATATTTCTGTATATGGACACCTAATTGTGTGGCATCATTTATTGAAAAACTGCAGTGCTCCCACCATAAATTATCCAGTGTCAATGCATGATGGGTCTTTGCTGGGTTCTCTGCTCTGTACTATTGGTTATTTATTTATTTTATGCTGATAACACACTGTCTTAATTATTATAGCTATTTTATTTTATTTTTATTTATTTATTTATTTTTGAGACAGAGTCTCACCCTGTCACCCAGGCTGGAGGGCAGTTGTGCGATCTCGGCTCATTGCAACCTCTGCCTCTCAGGTTCAAGCAATTCTCCTGCCTCAGCCTCCTGAATGGCTGGGATTACAGGCCTTGTGCCACCATGCCTGGCTAATTTGTATATTTTTAGTAAAGATAGGGTTTCACCATGTTGGCCAGGCTAGTCTCAAACTCCTGACCTCAGGTAATCTGCTGACCTTGGCCTCCCACAGTGCTGAGATTACAGGCATGAGCCACCGCGCCCGGCCTACTGTAGCTTTATTTTATTTTATTTTTTATTTTTTGAGATGGAGTCACATTCTGTCGCCCAGGCTGGAGTACAGTGGCACAATCTCTGCTCACCACAACCTCCGCCTTCCGGGTTCAAGCAATTCTCCTGCCTCAGCCTCCCGAGTAGCTGGGATTACAGGCACATGCCATTATGCCCAGCTAATTTTTGTATTTTTAGGAGAGATGCCGTTCAACCATGTTAGTCAGGCTGGTCTTGAACTCCTGACATCAAGTGATCCGTCTGCCTCAGCCTCCCAAAGTGCTGGGATTACAAGCGTGAGCCACTGCTCCTGGCTTTTTTTTTTTTTTTTTTTGTCTTTTTAGAGATGGAGTTTTAGCCTGGGGTTGCCCAGGCTGGTCTTGAACTCCTCAGCTCAAGAACCCACCTTGGCTTCCCAAAGTGCTAGGATAACAGGCGTGAGCCACTACACCTGGCCAGTAATTTTTTATTTTGAAATAATTTTAGATTTACAGAAGAGCTGCAAAGACAGCACAAGAAATTCCCACATGCTCTTCAACCAGGTTCTTTTTTGTTTTGCTTTGTTCTTATTTTTATTTTTTCTTTTCTTTTTTTTTTTTGAGATGGAGTCTCACTCTGTCACCCAGGCTGGAGTGCAATGGCGCGATCTCCGCTCACTGCAAGCTCCGCCTCCCGGGTTCAAGCGATTCTCCTGCCCCAGCCTCCTGAGTAGCTGGGACTACAGGTGTGCGCCATCATGCCCAGCTAATTTTTTTATTTTTAGTAGAAATGGGGTTTCACCATGTTGGTCAGGCTGGTTTCGAACTCCTGACATTGTGGTCCGCCTGCCTCGGCTTTCCAAAGTGCTGGAATTATAGGCGTGAGCCACCGCGCCTGGTCTTTCTTTCCTTTTTTGAGACAGAGTCTTGCCCTTTCGCCCAGGCTGGAGTGCGGTGGTGCGATCTCAGCTCACTGCAACCTCCACCTCCTGGGTTCAAGTGATTCTCATGCCTCAGCCTCCCACATAGCTGGGATTACAGGCACATACCACCTTGCCCATCTAATTTTTGTTTTTTTTTAGTAGAGATGGGGTTTCACCATGTTGGCCAGGCTTTTCTTGAACCTCTGCTACTATAGTCATTCCTCTGTAAGCCATATGGCACTTTTTATTGTGCCTATCCTCATTCAAATCCCCTGAAGTTTTACTGGTGCAATTATCCTCATAATTGCCCATGGACTTACTTTGTCCTTACTATTCTGCCTAGCAAATTCAAACTATGAGCGAATCCACAACCGAATCATATCGAACTTGGCCTCAAGTAATCTGCCCTCCTTGGCCTCCCAAAGTGCTGGGATTACATGTGTGTGCCACCGTGCCTGGCCTATTTTCTATATTTTTAATTGATAAATAATAATTGTTCATATTCATGGGTTACATAATGACGTTCCACACATAGAGTGTATGAGGTCATCACCTAGATTGTTCTAATGTTAATATCTTTTTTTTTTCTTTGAGATGGAGTCTTGATCTGTCGTCCAGGCTGCAGTGCAGTGACGCGATCTCGGCTCACTGCAATCTCTGCCTACCGGGTTCAAGCGATTCTCCTGCCTCAGCCTCCCAAGTAGCTAGGACTACAGGTGTGTACCACCATGCCCAGCTAATTTTTGTATTTTTAGTAGAGACGGGGTTTCACCATCTTCCTCTATTTTTAGTAGAGAAGGGGTTTCACCATGTTGGTCAGGCTGGTCTCGAACTCCTGACCTTGGGTGATCCACCTCCCTCGGCCTCCCAAATTGCTGAAATTACAGGCATGAGCCACTATGCCCATCCGCTAATGTTACTATATTAGAAACCATGATACATCTGTAAAAACTAAGACATAGACATTGGTAAAATAAGATTAAATTACTGGCTATATTTGGATTCTACAATTTTTCCACTAACCACCTTTTTCTGCTCCAATATCAAGTCCAAGATAATACATTGTTAGCTACTCTTAATAGCGTATTTTATAAAACTTCATTTTTGGCTGGGCATGGTGGCTCACGCCTGTAATCCCAGCACTTTGGGAGGCCATGGCAGGTAGATCACCTGAGGTCAGGAGTTTGAGTCCAGCCTGGCCAATATGGTGTAACCCTGTCTCTACTAAAAATATAAAAAATTACCTGGGCATGGTGGCACGTGCCTGTAATCCCAGCTACTCAGGAGACTGAGGCAGGAGAATTGCTTGAACCCGGGAGGCGGAGGTTGCAGTGAGCCAAGATTGCACCACTGCCCTCCAGCCTGGGTGACAGAAAGAGACTCCATCTCAAAAAACAAAAACAAAAACAAAACAAAAGAAAACGAAAAAAACCCCACAGAACTTTCTAGTAATTCTAATTACTCTGTAGATTCATTAGTATTTTCTACATATACAATAATATTGGCTGAGGATGGTAGTTCCCGCCTGTAATCCCAGTAATGTCGGAGGCCAAGACAGGAGGATCACTTGAGCCCGGGAGTTTGAGACCAGCCTGGGCAACATAGCTAGACTCCACATCTAAAAATACATAAAAAATTAGCCGGTCATGGTAGCACACCCCTGTAGTCCCAGCTACTCAGGGGGCTAAGGTGGGAGGATCATTTGAGCCCAGGAAGTTGAGGTGGCAGTGAGCTGTGATCGTGCCAGTGCACTCAGCCCAGGATACAGAATGAGACCCTCTCTCACAAAAATATTTTTTTCCTCGGGAGGCTGAGGCAGGAGAATTGCTTGAATCCAGGATATGGAGATTGCAGTGAGCCAAGATCATGCCACTGCACTCCAGCCTGGGTGACA